>NC_000002.12:81667625-82292625 GCF_000001405.40 Homo sapiens | reverse complement strand
TGGAATAGAATAGAGAACTCAGAAATAAGGTCACTCACCTGTGACCCTCTGATCTTTGACAAAGTTGACAAAAACAAGCAATGGAGAAAAGACTCCCTATTCAATAAATGGCGCTGGGATAACTGGCTAGCCAAATGTAGAAGATTGAAGCTGGACCCCTTACTTACAACATATACAAAAACCAACTCAAGATGGATTAAAGACATAAATGTAAAATCTAAAATTACAAAAACCCTGGAAGACAGCCTAGGCAATATCATTGTGGACATAGGAATGGGCAAAGATTTTATGACAAAATGCCAAAAACAATTGCAAGAAAAGCAAAAATTGACAAACAAGATCTAATTAAACTTAAGAGCTTCTGCACAGTGAAAGAAACTATCAACAGAGTAAACAGGCAACCTACAGAATGGGAGAAAAATTTTGCAAACTATGCATCTGACAAAATATTCAGCACTATAAGGAACTTCAATTTACAGGAGAAAAACAAACTCATTAAAAAGTGGGCAAAGGACATAAACAGACAGTTTTCAAAGGAAGACATATGTCCAGCCAACAAGCGTATGAAAAAATGCTCAATATCTCTGATAATTAGAGAAATGTAAATCAAAACCACAGTGAGATACCACCTCACACCACTCAGAATGGCTACATTAAAAAGTCAAAAAATAACAGAAACTGACAAAGTTGCAGAGAAAGGAGAACACTTATACATCGTTGGTGGGAGTGTTCAACCATTGTGGAAAGCAGTGTAGCAATTCCTCAAAGAGCTAAAAGGGGAACAACCATTCAACCCAGCAATTCCATTACTGGGTATACACCCAGAAGAATATAAATCATCCTACTGTAAAGAAACATGCATATATGAATGTACATTTCAGCACTATTCACAGTGGCAAAGACATGAAATCAACCTAAATGCTCATCAATGACAGATTGAATAAAGAAAATGTGGTACATATACACCACTTGTATATGTATTATATACCACTTGTATATGTATACATATACACCATGGAGTACTATGCAGCCATAAAAAGAATGAGATCATGTTTTTTGCAGGAATATGGATGAACCTGGAGGCCATTATCCTTAGCAAACTAACACAGGAACAGAAAACCAAATACCACACTTTCTCACTTGTAAGTGGGAGCTAAATGATGAGAACCCATGAACACAAAGAAGAAACGACAGACACTAGGGTCTACTTGAAGGTGGAGGTTGGGAGAAGCAGGAGAAGCAGAAAAGATAACTACTGCGTACTGGGCTTAGTACCTCGGTGGTGAAATAATTTGTATAACAAACCCCCATGACATGAGTTAACCTATACAATAAACCTTCACATGTGCCCCTGAACCTAAAATAGAAGGTTTTTTTTTTTTAAAACTATTACTTGGAAATTTTTTATATTTAAGAAGGTATGAAAAATTCTTAGTTACACTAACCACACATTTATTTAACTATATATATACTGACTAGTTAATATATACTTAACCAGTGATTACATTTAATTAGTATTTTTAGAGCTTCCAATATTAATAGCAATCACAGCATCATAAATTTTGAAGACTTAAGTAAGAAATATAATGTCTAATATTCTCAAACATATTTAATCAATGGCTTCTTTTTCCCTCGATAATTCCAGGAAAAAAGAAACTGATTTGTGCATAATAATCAACAAGAAAGGTCTTGGTAGTGATGTTCTATGTTTATTAAAATTAAACAAATATTCATGGGCTCAAGGTTTTGAAGCTCTGGGAGTATTATTTCTTTCATTAAATATATGCTACAGCTATGGAATCTGTACAGCAAGTATATTCATCCATTCATTCATTAATTCATCCATTCATTGTTTGGATATTTATAGAGAGAATATTTTACTCTGAAAAGTCAAGATACGCAAGTGTATAATGTATACCATCAATCTTAAGAGTTCACAGTCTAGCAGTAAGGTGGAGATACACTTGATTTTAATTTAACACAAGAGTGTGATAATAAAAATATGACCAACATGCCACCAGCTGCAAATAAGAAAGTCATCTACTGACAGATTGAGTACTGTCTACCATTTTGTATTTGAACGTATACCTTCATCTTGTTTTATACTTTCAGATTTGCCATCTTTGCCATTTCATTTTATTTCTGCGCTTGTTTTCATTGCTCTTTTGGCTCTGGTGATTTGGGACAAATTCATCTTAATTTAAATTCTGCTAGTGGCTGTGTTGAAAATCTTAAAATGTAATTGTACATACATTTTCAATTAAGCAAACCATAGACTTATTTTAATGTTTTTCTCATTTATGTATATAGGATTTTGAAGTTTGTTTTTTAAAACTGTCTACATTAAATGCTGCTTGATTTTCTCATTTTCAAATCCATTATGGTTAACTTTCTAATTAATAGCTGTAAATCTAACATGCTCTTTTAAAATTTATGTAATATCCAACACCATGGAGTGCAGTTCTATATTGCCCTATCATTTCACATTGAGAACATTTATGTATTTCTTTGTCATTACAAATTTATGTACATATACATATACATACCCATACACATGCACATACATGCATACTGTTGACCCTTGAACAATGTGGGAGTTAGAGCTGTTGACCACACACAGTCAAAAACCCACATATAACTTTTTACTGCCCTAAAACGTAACTACTAAAGCTTACTGTTGACCAGATAGAAGACTTACTGATAACATAAACAGTCAATTAACACATATTTTCTATGTTATATGTATTACATACCATATTCTTATGATAAAGTAAGCTAGAGAAAAGAAAGCATTATTAAGAAATTAATAAGGAAGAGAAAAACATCTATAGTACTGTACTGTATTCATCGTTACCATAAGTTTATGTCATCTGCTTACAAGATGTATTTTCTGCCTGAAATAGTGAGCACCCACAGCTGCAGACCCCAATCTACTGTACACATCAAGCAACTCAACTTTTTCTTGTAATGTCATGACTTTTCTCTGCTTCTTGGATGCACTTTCAAAAGCACTAGTGGCACTTCAAATGAATCCCATGGTGTTATCTGAGGTTTTCAGTATTGCAGTAAACAGGATGAAAAATATGTAAGAACTGCTAGAGATCACTTTTTACTGCTATATGCAATTTACTGGAGAGATGAATTGCTTACTCAAAGATTATTAGCATCATACAGCATTTTAAGTGGGCACCTTTAAAATTTGAGCTCACCACGATAGCAACAGGAGGTGGCTATAAAATTATTAGGTAGTTCAGTATATACTACAGTTAATTTTATTCAGTTATGATTTAATACTGCATCTTTGTGTTTGTTTACATTTCTCTCAGCTGTGAATGGTGCCATGTGCAATCTGAAAGTGTTTGTGTGCAAAAGTGTTAATAAATTTTAACTTTTTATAATAGATTTGTGTATATTTTACCGTAGTAAATGATAGAATAGACTTGTATATGTATATATTTTATACACTTATGACGTATTTGAATTTTTCAATACTTCTAGGCTATATAGTTATCTGTGAGATTTTTTAAATTGCTGCAAATCTCCAAAAATTTTTCCAACGTATTTATTTTTAAAATACAAATGTAAGTGACCCACACAGTTCAAACCCATGTTGTTTGAGGGTCAACTGTGCAATATATATCCTGTCGGTATACAAATATGGACATGCATGTGTGTATATGTATACTCTCCTTTTGCTTTGAAATATATAAATGGCATACACACATGCACACACACACACACAAATGAAATTTTCAAAAGCGTAGGGGCTTCAATTGGAGGTGGAATTAGCAGTTGAAATCCAATCAAGTCCTGGAAACCTAGCGTGGTATGTAGCAAACATCCAATACCTCAGATAAATTAGAAAAAAGGGGTTCTCAAAAGTAGGAATGGGGAACCTAGATACTACTTTTCTGAATAACAAGAGTTAAAGCTATTTTATATTTATCTAATCCAGGTGGTAGGTCCTTGAGTTAAGTCATGTAAGCTGCTTAAAGTAGAAACAAGTGATTTTCCATTCACTCATTCAGAGAAAACAAACTTATTTAAAGATTTACCCTAGTTTTACCAACCTGAATCTCCATAATTCTAAAGGAAAGTAGGCCTGCTCATATTTTATTTGCTTTGGCTGTTATTTATGTTTTTCTATGCTTGAAATGTGGCTATTCATTTCCTTAGGATATTATGGTTATTGTAAAAGAAAATGAATAACTTGAGGAAGAGAAACTGGAATGGAAAGAGCAGAGAAATTGGTGGTAAAGTTATGGTTAGTAGCCATATTACGGGAACAGAGAAGAAAAATGAATCATTGAAGAAGTGATGATCAGGAGACACAAAGAACAAGCCCAATATTATACTGTCTGGGTAAGGAAGGAGAAAAAGAGTATTCATACCACTTTATCATCAGATTTAGAGAGATAGTTGCCAAGAATGGCACCATGCAAGGACATTTGAAAATTATTTTAAAAAGGTAGGAAAATATTTAGATAAAAATTTCGGGATCAAATAATATTTTCTTAAGCAACATTATTAGAAATATGATATTTGCATTTATTTAGCATTTACTATGTTTCTAGGAACTACTTAACTCTTAGAACCACCCAATAACACCTATAGATCAAATTTCAGAGATACTTTATAACTCTTACAAAGTCACATGGTTAGTAAACGGCAAAATCACAGTTCACAACAGTCTTTCTGATCGCTGAATTTCCGAGCATTCTGTCTGTATTTTCAATGTAAGTAGAAAGAGCAAAGAAGGCACATTTGAATGAGCTACAGTAGCATACAGAATGGACAGTTGAGTGGAGATGGGCATATAAGCAATGTGCGAAAGAGATGGAATTATCAGGTGACGTGTTTAGAATGAGGTGCGAATTAAAAAGAATGACAATAGGAATCTAAATAATGTCAGTGAGGAGGATGAGGGAGTGAGAAACTAGCTTATGCCAGACGACTCATATCTTCATCGCACGGTATTTTCAATCATGAAGACACGGTGGACATACAAAGATACAGTCATTTTGGGTAAGAAATTAGGCAATTATGTCTATTTCACATTCACTTCTCTCAAAGAGGCTTCAATTGTTTTATGTAATTCAAAATAAATTATCTGTCACCAAAATGGAAATCTGATATGTTGTGTCATTTCACACGTATAGAACAAAATTTAGTGCTTTATTTTCCATTTAAATTATACTTTTTAAAATTCAATAAATATTTTTAAAAATAGTTGTATAATCTTTACATTCATTATTCTGTTGATGTCTCAGTGGTTGTGCTACATTCATTCTGCTTCATATAGGCATTTGGTCAATGGAGATGAATGAAGGTAAAGTAAATAAATATATAAATGAAGCAGTAAATAAATAACATAGTTAAACTCTTTCATCTGAAACATACTATGCTGCTTCTATTTTCATGCAAATATGTTAAAATTTACTTTTTCCTTAAAAATAAATATGAATAAATTTGTCACATGAAGATAAGCCATTAAATATTATTTTAACAGTCATTTCTGCAATAGTAAACTGGTATAATTATAAAATGAAGAAATTAGTAGAATCATAGAATCAAGAAAACTCCAATGTTAAAAAGATGATGCCCACTTCAAAATATTAATCTATAAAAAGTAATATGAATTTAATTAAAGTGGGATCTTACACAATCTGGACTAATTCATATATGAGGACTATTGATAGACAATGATGATATGTAGATAGATGACAGATGAATAGAGGGCTTCTATGTGATTTCTGCTCTGATACACATTTCAAAAAGGAATATAAAGACCTAAACTGGGAAAGGAGACTTCAATTAGTTTAGTCAATAATTTGTAGACCATAAAGCACACAATATTGTCTTCCACAAAGGATACATCCACTCCCTGCAAAAAAATCTCAAAACAAATGTATGCTCCTTTCTAATCTTCCCGCTACCACTGAAATCTCCCTCTCTTTCTCCTTTCCTTAAACCTCTTTTAACCCACCTCTTAATGTTGGAGTGCCTTAGGCCTCAGTTTTCCATTTTCTTCTTTTCAACACTAATTCAGGCTGCTGATTTTATTTAGTCTCATGGTCCAAATTTTTCTCCACTTTTATGCACAATGGACAGATAAAACATATTTCACCAAAATTAAATTCTGCCCTTCCCACCACCGCCAACATATTCCCCCAATCTTCTTTACCCAGTCCCTTAGCTTAGTTGACAGAAAATCCATCCTTCCAGTTGCTTAGGCTGAAAACCTTGAAGTTATCCATGACTCTACTCTTTCTTTTAAAACTCTGCATGTCATCACAATATCTACAATGTGACCAGTTCTTAGCACTTCCACTTGCTTTGTTCACAGGCATAACTCAAGAGCCTGGAACAGTGCCTGTCATATAGTATCACTTGTTCACTTGATGAGTATTTTGTGAATAAACGAAGAAAGATAAATAAATTTGAAGAGCCATTAGAAAAACCCTAAAAACAGAAATGTACATGGTTCTCTCAGGTAAAAATAAGTAACCAGAGTGAATGTTGGGCAAAACATTTTTGTAGGGGTGATGTGGAGGGGAAGGGGAAATGGAACGTAAGTTTCAGTGAAAAAGAAAATTAAGCATATGTTGCAAAACTTTTTATAGCCATGAGACATTTTAATTTAATCCTAGACATATTGTAAGAAAATAATTTGAATTTTCTAAAAAGACTTTAAACCACACTGGGTTAAATTACATCAGATTTTCTAACCAAAAAGCTGAAACTACTATGAAATTAAATGCCCTCATTAAAAGGGGTACTTTAAATTTTTGCAACCTTAAAAAAAATGCTCATTAAAATGTTTAAAATGTCAACTTGTTCTTAAATTATATTAATTAGGAACAACAGCAAACACTTTTATTTTGCCTCACAGTCATACTAACTAAAAAATGTCCAATGTTCACTTAAAAGTAAGTTTCCTGCAGCTTGTTCAGGGAATGTCAAAATAAAAATACTACAGCATTTTGTGTATTAGCACCTAAGAAAGTTCAATAAACCCATTAAGCTCACACACACACACAGGATGTACTTTTTAAAGTTTTCCTGAGTCCATTGTCGATATTAAACACACCAAATAGGAGCTTATTTCTATGATGAGTATAAAGCAAATTTCTTTTTCATTTTTTTTTTTTTTGAGGCAGTCTCGCTCTGTTGCCAGGCTGGAGTGCAATGGCGCGATCTCGGCTCACTGCAACCTCCGCCTCCCGGGTTCAAGCGATTCTCCTGCCTCAGCCTCCCAAGTAGCTGAGATTACAGGCGCCTGCCACTGCGCCTGGCTAATTTTTGTATTTTAGTAGAGACAGGGTTTCACCAGGTTGGTCAGGTTGGTCTCGAACTCCTGACCTCAGGTGATCTGCCCACCTCAGCCTCCCAAAGTGCTGAAATTACAGGCATGAGCCACCGCACTCGGCTAAAGCAAATTTCTTAACTCATTTCTTCAGTCACTTATTAAAGAAATAGTTTCTGCAGAACACTCAGGCCTAAAAAAAAAATGCATTGGGAGCTATGGAGGTCACAAATAAGCATGGAGCTTTTGGACTATATGATAAGAGGATAGAGAAACTGTGTGCTCACCATTATCTCCCTAACACCTATCACACTTGAGCACATAGTAGATGCTCCAAAAACAAATGTCAAATCCCGTGGAAACTGGGTTGATGCAATAAGGTACACACCTGTAGAACATTAAATGACAATCACCTACTATTTATCATTAATTCATCCTATTTGCATGACACTTGCCACTTTTCCAAGTACATTTCTAAATAATGTCATTTGATTTTAACAGCTCCACAGCATAGGGTAGACATTTTCCTTTCACTAATTAGTATATATTAAGTGACTTCTCCAAATTCACACAGTAGAGCCATTAAAACTTCCTTTTTTTTTCAAACTTCCTTTTTTCATGAAATTACCATATTTTTATATGCTATCTTTATATAATAGGAAATATAAACTAAGGAAATTGCTTCAAACACACTTATTGTGTCATTATTCTCTATAACATTTCCCCCTCATGCTGGTAAAATAATTTATCAGAAATACCCAAATCCAGTTCTGCCAGTAAGCAATTATTATTTCATATATCTTTATTTCTCTAGCATACTGTTATATTAAATATGAAGTAAAATATAAAAAGCTTTTTGAATAATTTATTTCATTTCCTAGATCCAAGTACCCTACGATTAAGAGGATGATGGGTATTACAGAATCTGCTTTAATATTCTGAATAATTATTTCAATTACCCATTTTTTAAAGTTACTTTTCTAATGTGTATCTATGTATGAAGTAGATACTTTTATATTCTATTATTTTGATGAGGATATTGAGGCTTAGGGAGTTCAAGTAACTTTTCAAAGTTAGATATTAAAACAAAAACTGAAACAGAGGCAATTTGATTCAAAAGCCCTTCTTTGAATACCAGGCTTACTTAAATTTTTTGCTTGTGTGTGTTATCCAGCATGTAAGCATAAATGTAGTAACTATCTCTCTGCATTTGCAACCTCCTGATATTTCCTAATACATTATTTCACAATGATTTTATACATACATATATATATGCACATATGTATTTATATTTAGCCTCATAATCCAAGACCAGTTACAAACCTTAGATGAGAAAGAGGAAAATAATAACTTATTTGGTATTTCTGTACCTCAACAATGAATCAGTCAGAATGCTCTGCCTAATTTAGCTTTACTGGATTCCATTTAAGTGGTTGTGATCTGTCAATGAGATCTCTTTTTCTTAGTCACTATTCACATCTTAAGGACACCGTGCTGTGTCTGTTATCACAGAAGTTTGTAACCCAACATCAGTTTCTATCCGTCCAACACTGAGTCCTTATAATCTGATGCAAAATAGTTTAGGCTATGGAGTGTGAATTGTAACAGTGGCAGTAAGTATGAAAACACAATGGTTAGTTTTAAATAATTAGACTGGAGTCACTGGAATGAAATTATATATGCAACACATATTACATATATCTAGGAAGTCTAATTAAGTAGGCCCTGTAATATATCTAGGAAATTCAGAAGTAGGAACTGAATGAAATGGATGGATTACTGATGAATCAAGAAATCTGATTTTAAAATAAATAAATAATAGAAACTAAAGAATCTGATATAGAATTCATAGACGGAATATGATTTATAACTTTGAGGCATTTTTGACTCATCCTTCTCTTTGATTTCCTTTTGCTCCATCCCTACATATATTGAACTGTCTAAGGTCTCTATCTGCCATGACTCTTGAGTCTTCCCACTTAGTCTAATGTTCAATCAACACTGTCTTCTTCAAATATGTATTACCACTTTGCTAGGTTACTCCAGTGACTCAGCAGTAATTGCTGTTATCTGACTATGGAGATAATTCTTTCGTATGCCAACCAGAGTTGTAAAGTAGTGCTTTCTGGGTCACCAGCACAGAATAATCAACAAGATATGCCAGGGAAGCACATACCTATAGCCTTTCATAGAGATTCTCAGCACAATATTTGAGGGCCAAAGCACCTTTAAGAACATATTTAGGTGTCAAAGATCATCGGTATATATTTAGTTGTGATGTTGATATGGGAGGAGGCAGGGAAGTGCTGGGAAAAGAACGTGGTCCCTGGCGAGGGCTCTACCCCTAGGTGGTCTGTGCTCACAAACCTAGGTGAGGACAGGCATTACTGTTTTCGTGCCCAGGCCTGTACCCGCAGACCTAGGTGAAGGCAGGCATTTCTGTTTTCCTGCCCAAATGTTGCATTTTCCAAGACCATCCTGGCCCACTGTGCCCCCATCCTGTGTCTATAAAAACCCTGAGACCCTAACACAAGCAGTTGGACTTCGAGAGGAACACACTGGCAGAAGAGCACACTGACAGGCACAGGCAGACGCTTGCAGGCCATTGACCAGTGGAAGACGCGGTGTTTGGCTGGGGCGGTTGGAGGAGAGCTTGGCCGCTGGGCTGCCTGACTCCAGGGGAAAACCACCTTCCTACTCCATCCCCCTTCTGGCCTCCCTATCCATCTGTTGAGAGCTACTTCCACTCAACAAAACCTTGCACTCCTTCTCCAAGACTACAGGTGATCCTATTTTTTCAAACCCTAAGGCAAGAATCCCCGGGATACAGAAAGCCTTCTGTCCTTGCGATAAGGCAGAGGGTCTAACTGAGCTGATTAACATGAGCTGCCTGCAGTCAGCAAAGCTGAAAGAGTGCATTATAACACACACTCACTGGGCTTCAGGAGTTGTAAACGCTCATCCCTAGATGCTGCCATGGGGTTGGAGCCCCACAGCCTGCCCGTCTGCTTGCTCCCCCTAGAGGTTTGAGCAGCGGGGCACTGAAGAAGCGAGCGACTCCTGCTGTGTCGCAGGAGTGTTCTGCGAAGGGGACAAGTGAACTTTTCCCGTTTCAGTGTGATTTAAAGAATTCTGCTAAGCACAATTGTTAACTGGGACTATTTTTATTGACTCATTTTTAGGAAATTTTTTCCTCATTCATTTATAAAAGAATACTATTTGTGCTATGATCTAAGAGTCTCAAAATTCACTCTGCTTTAGACATGATATGTAAATACATGTACTGCTATCTACTAAATTAAATATGGACTTCTCAGCCTGACATTCAAGGTCTCCCATGCCTGTTTGAACATCCACGTACCTAGCTTCCTACCTCCTGCTCTTTCTGCAACTACAAACATACACTATTTTTATAAAGGTGTTTTTCATCTTTTCCTTAAACACAGCACATATGTGTGTGCTTTTTATTATGCTGATAGTTATTTGCGTTCCCCTTGCTGGTTTTTGAATCCTTATGAATCTTTAAAATATTTCTTAAAATCATGTTATTCTGTTGCCCATCCTGATTTCCATAGTACCTCTTTCAGAGCTTTCTTATTAAATTTATTTGGGACTTTGGTTTATCCTCCAACTCTTAGATAATAAGTTTCTTAGCAGTGTTTTGTGTGCACATCCTGCTAGTGTGCCTCTTCTTGCACTGTGTAAATGCCTAAATGGTTGAGAAACTCTTAATATATCCCAATAAGCATGAATTGTGTTGCTCATACTCTCTGCTCCCAAACCAATGCTATCCATATTGTTCTGCTAACACCAAGGGGGATTTCAGGCAGGCTGAACCTGTAATCATACCCTGGGTCTCCTGCTAACTCACCTGGGAACTCAAAAGAAGTATCTGGACTTCGTTTTAGTAGGAGGCCTAACCGGCTTTTTTTTTTTTCTTTGCCTCCCAAGAGTCTTTGACACTTTTTTTTTGGAACAACGATCTTTAAATTATAGCTTCGTCTAGGCTGCTGTGAGCCCAGAACATGCCCTCAAATTACAAGTCTATTTGTGCTGGTCAGCAAGTACATTTATTAGCATTAATGTATCAATTATTTTTAATGAGTTCTTAGAACTTCTCTTTCACCAATAGTAAAGTCATTAACTGCAATTTGCAAATGAAAGTGATCACACTGTTTCTTATGCCCCCACACAATAGTGCCTGTCATTATCTAACCCAGAAAACCACTTATTATTTCCTCTTATTTTAGTCGCTCTTTTCTCTTTATCTGTTTGTCCCACAGCCTATGGAAATCTTAACAATGCAGCAAAAGTTTCCTAATTGCTCTCATCCACCCCATACTGATATCAGAGTGAATTCTGACCTCCGCTATTCTTTTTGCTAGCTTATTTCTGGGTAACTCAAAAAACAGAACACTTCCGCAACCTCCAAAAACCCTGCCTTTGGAATTCACAATGGTTTTGTGTTTGAGGCCAGAGAGGAGGAACTTTCAATCTCCATTCTCCAGATCATTTCAGACCATAAGTGATTATGTTTTTTCCATTTAAGGCAATTCTTTGTACGTTTAAATTAAAGAGAATTGATTTTTAAATGTCATTTTAATATTTTTTAAATACTGAAACAAATCTAAAGACAGTTCTTAAGCGGAGCAGGTGGTTCACCTTGAGGCAGAAGATATTATCACAAATGAACACCAGGAATAAACAAAATGTGGGATGAAAGATTGAGTTGCTCTATGTAAAAAGGACTCAGATGAACCTGCGAACCAATAACCAAATTATAATTAGCTCACTGAGCATTTAATCTAACATTTGAAATCATTAAATTATGAAATAAACCTAATTCATAACCACTTAATTTTTAAGTTCATATAAAAGTAGTTTAAATGAAGATACAGTATATATATATATATATATATATATATATATATATATATATATATATATATAGTTTACTTGAATAAGTTAGAATTCCAAAAGTCCTTGAACAGAAATTTAACTTGATTTTTATTTTTGATTATAGTACAAAGACATCACTACACTGCATCTGGCATGGAATATTATTTCAATGGCTTTCAAGCCATGCTATTGGAACAAACTTTGGTTTGAACTACAGATTGCACTTAAATATTGTCCTGGACACACTGGTGATGATTATAGACTATCCTAGCTATGTGAAAATTAAGAGAAATTTGGTATGTAAAATACGAAATAGATTACATTTTCCATATTATTTATATTTCCAAAAGCATTCACGTGTGTGTGTGTGTGTGTGTGTGTGTGTGTGTGTATAGTTTTCACTAATGACAGGATTCCTCAAACACTGTAAGTGACTTACTCAAGATCAATAACTAATTAGTGAAAGAGACAGGACTGGAACCAAATTCATCTGATTCCTGTTTTTATTTCACTTCTATCACAATATTGTTTTTACAACAAGATATCATGTCCACTATGTACGATCTTATATTAATTTAATCAATACATACATTGAATGGCTTCTTTGTAAGCTAAATTTTAAACAAAAGCGAAGGATACTGAGAAAAATCCGTCAATGATCACATACAGAAAACTGGAGCAGATGCTGAAGACCAGCAAGGGCAATCATGATAAAAATGTATCAGTTCCAGTTAGGACAAAAAGGGGACAGGCAAGAACTGAGAAAATAAGAATGAGCATTTAAACAGGACTACTCGTGCTACCCAGACATAGTTTGTGCTGTGATTTATCCACAAGACTGATGAGGTAAGACTGTTTGCAGTCATGTTTACAGATGAGGAAATGGGCTGAGGTCATTTAGAGCATCTAATGAATATCACAGTACATGGGAAGAGAAATGCTAGATGTGCAGTCAACTCTGTTTTGCATCAAAGTCATGATCTTTAAGTGTTTAATATCAGTGACAAAGAATTGGCCTGGATGGAGCAGTCACATATTTAATGTGTTTAATGCTCAAAAAATAGAAATCAAAAGTTTTCAGAAAACAAACAGAAAAAAAGATAGGAAAGATAGAAAGATTTTTGCATTAAACATAATTTTTTAAAACTTTTATTATAGGTTCAGGGATACAGGTTCAGTTTTGTTATGTAGGTAAACTCATAACACAGGGGTTGGTTGTACAGATTATTTCATCACTCAGGTACTAAGGCTAGTACTGAAAAGCTATTTTTTCTGCTCCTCTCCCTCCCACTCTTTACCCTCATGTAGACCTGAGTGTCTGTTGTTCCCTTCTTTATGTCCATGTGTTCTCATCATTTAGCCCTCTCTTGTAAATGAGAACATATGATATTTGTCTGCTAAAAAAAATTGCCTCCAGCTCCACCCATGTTCCTGCAAAAGACACGATCTCATTCTTTTTATGGCTGCATGGTATTCCATGGTGTATATGTACCACATTTTCTTTATCCCATCTATCATTGATGAGCATTTAAGTTGATTCCACGTTTTTTCTATCATAAGTAATGCTGCAATGAACATTCATGTGCGTGTGTCTTTATGATAGATTGATTTATATTCCTTTATTCCATTATTCAAATAATGGGATTGCTAGGTCCAATGGTAGCTCTTTGAGAAATCACGACACTGCTTTCCACAATGGTAAAACTAATTTACACTCCCACCCAACAGTGTATGTGTTCTCTTTTGCCTGCAACCTCACCAACTTCTGTTATTTTTTGACTTTTTCTTAGTAGCCATTCTGTGTGGTGTGAGATGGTATCTCATTGTGGTTTTGATTTGAATTTCTCTAAATATCAGTGGTTTTGAGTTATTTTTATGTGGTTGTTGGCTGCATGTATGCCTTCTTTTGAAAAGTGTCTGTCCTTGCCCTTTACCCACTTTTTATTGGGGTTATTTGTTTTTTTCTTGTAAATTTGTTTAAGTTCTGTATAGATGCTGGATATTAGACCTTTGTCTGATGTATAGTTTTCAAATATTTTTTCCCATTCTGTAGGTTGTCTGAGTACTCTGTTAATAGTTTATTTTGTTGTGGAGAAGCTCTTAAGTTTAATTAGAGCCTATTTGTCAATTTTTGCTTTTGTTGCAATTGCTTTTGGCATTCTGTCATGAAATTCTTGCTCGTTCCTATGTCCAGAATGGTATTGCCTGTGCTATCTTCCAGTGTTTTATACTTTTGGGTTTTACATTTAAGTCTTTAATGTATCTTGAGTTGATTTTTGTATATGGTACAAGGAAGGTTCCAGTTTCAATCTTCTGCATGTGGTTAGTCAGTTATCCCAGCACCATTTATTGAATAGGAAGTCTTTCCCCCATTGCTTGTTTTTGCCAGCTTTGTCAAAGATCAGATGATTATAGGTGTGCCGTATTTCTCAGCTCTCTATTCTGTTCCATTGGTCTGTGGTTCATGTTTTTGTATCAGTACCATGCTGTTTGGTTTACTGTAGCCCTGTATTATAGTATGAGGTAATGTGCTGCCTCCAGCTTTGTTCTTTTTGCTGAGAATTGTCTTGGCTATTCAGGCTGTTTTTTGGTTTCATGTGAATTTTAAAATGATTTTTCTAGTTCTCTTCTTGATTTGGCTATTGATTTGGCTGTTGCTGGTGTATAGGAGTGCTAGTGATTTCTGTACATTGATTTTGTACCCTGAGACTTTGCTGAAGTTGTTTATCAACTGAAGGAGTATTTGGGCTGAGACTGTGGGGATTTCTAGAGATAGAATTGTGTCTTCTGCAAACAAGGATTGTTTAAATTCCTTTCTTACTATTTGGATACCTTTATTCCTTTCTCCTGCCTGATTAATCTGGCCAAGATGTCCAATACTATGTTGAATAGGAGTGGCGAGAGAGGGCATCCTTGTCTTGTGCCAGTTTTAAAGAGGAATTGTTCCAGCTTTTCCCCATTCCATGAGATTGCCCCAGAGCTGCAGTGGGCAGCCCAGGAGTGCTAAGCCACAATCTACCGCCGGCACTCAAATGGGAGAGGAGCCTACACTTTCAGAGCATTGAGAGGGAGCACGGCTGCAACTGTGAGGAAATATAAGGAAGCCACACAATCAAGCAAGTGCCTACCAACTGACCCATTACACCCTAAGCACTACCTATTTGATCATACCCCAAAGCTTCAACACCAAAAATATCTTGCTAACATACTTCCCTGTGAAACCAAAGACAAGAAATGAGCTACAAATAAAGACCATGCACAAAGCCTCAGCCCTGTGGAAACATCTAGAAAAGAAGTTTATTGTCTGTACTCAATCTACACTGCAGTTAATAGATCATCCATATGCAGAGGTGAGAAAGAACTAATGCAAGAACTCCAGTAACTCAGATGATCAGTGTCTTGTGTCCTCCAAACAACCACACTAATTCTCCAACAAAAGTTCTTAACCAGGCTAAGTTGGCTGAAATGACAGAAATAGAATTCAGAATATAAATAGGTGTGAAGATTGTTGAGATTCAGAATGACAAAACCCAATCTAAGGAAACTAAGAATCATGATAAAATGATACAAGAGCTGAAAGACAAAATAACCAATACATAAAGAACCTAATGGATCAGATAAGTCTGAAAAACACACTACAAGAATTTCATGGCCAGGCACGGTGGCTCACGCCTGTAATCCCAGCACTTTGGGAAGCCAAGGCAGGTGGATCACCTGAGGTTGGGAGTTCGAGACCAGTCTGGCCAACATGGAGAAACCCCGTCTCTACTAAAAATACAAAATTAGCCAGGTGTGGTGTCGCATGCCTGTAATCCCAGCTACTTGGGAGGCTGAGGCAGGAGAATCACTTGAACCCAGGAGGAGGAGGATGAGGTGAGCTGGGATCATGCCATCGCACTCCAGACTGGGCAAAAAGAGCAAAAATCTGTCTCAAAAAAAAAAAAAAGGCTTTTACAAAGAAATAACAAGTATTAACAGCAGGATAAACCAAGATGAGGAAAGAATCTCAGAATTAGAAGACTGGCTCTCTGAAATATGATAATCAGACAAAAATACAGAAAAAAGAATGAAAATGTATAAACCAAACCTCTGAGAAATATGGAATTATGTAAAGAGACCAAGTCTATGAATCACTGGTATCCATGAAAGGGAGGGGCAGAAAGCAAATAACTTGGAAAACATATTTCAGGATATTTTCTATGGAAATTCCCCAACCTTGCTAGAGACACCAACAGTCAAATTCAGAAAATACAGAGAATTGCTGCAGATGTCTACACAAGAAGATCATCCCTAAGACACACAATCAACAGATTTTCGAAAATCAATACCAAAGAAAGAATGTTAAAGGCAGCTAGAGAGAAGGGGCAGGTCACCGACAAAGGGAACCCCATCAGGCTAACAGTGAACCTCTCAGCAGAAACCCTACAAGCCAGAAGAGATTGGGGACCTATATTCAACATTTCTGAAGAAAAACTTTTCAACCCATAATTTCATATCCAGCCAAACTAAGCTTCCTAGGTGAAGGAGAAATAAGATCCATTTCAGCTAAGCAAATGTTGACGGAGTTTGTTACCACAAGACCTGCCCTACAAGAGATCTTGAATGGAGCACTAAATATAGAAAAGAAAGTCTGTTTACCAGCCAATAAAAAACACACTTAAATACACAGACCAGTGACACTATAAAGCAACCACAGAAACAAGCTGGCACAGTAACTAGCTAATAATACAATGCCAGGATCAAATTCACACTATCAGTACTAACCTTAAATGTAGACAAGTTAAATCCCTCACGTAAAAGGCAGAGTGGCAAGCTGTATAAAAAGGCAAGACCAAATGGTATGCTGTCTCTGAGATTCATCTCACATGTAATGACACCCATAGGCTCAAAATAAAGGGATAAAGGAATATCTACAAAGTAAATGGAAATCAGAAAAAAAGCAGGGGTTACAAACTTAATTTCAAACAAAACAGACTTTAAACCAACAGAGATAAAAAAAGACAAAGAAGGGCCTTACATAATGGTAAAGGGTTCAATTCAACAAGAAGACCTAACTGTTCGAAATATATATGCACCCAACACAGGAGCACCCAGATTCATAAAGCAAATTCTTAGAGACCTACCAAGAGACTTAGAAACCAATACAGTAATAGTAGAAGACTTCAACACTCCACTGAGAATATCAGACACATCATCGAAGCAGAAAATTAACAAAGAAATAATTTAATATAGATAACTAGGAAAAGACTCTAAAATGCCACATATACCTATTTTTCTCTAGATCACGCTCATTATTTCAGTCTCTCCTTCACCTATTCTTTCCTCATTCAATAATTATGTCGTTATGCCTAATTAAATATCAGGCAAAAAAAAAAACAACTAAATTTGAGCAATGGTTGAGCCTTGCCATATAGCAGGCAAGGTGCCAAGTGTCTTGACAAATATATAATCACACTACATTTTCACTGAGACTGCAAGTTATATTGTCTGCAAGTCTCAGAATGTTGTCAGGATAAAGACAAGCTAAATCAGTAAAGACAAATATCTTTTACTTATTTGATGGAAAGAAAAATCAGGTGATCATCTTCTCCCTTGGAATTAATTGGTTATCCCGGGATATGATATCAGAGACCCAGTGGTAATCACCACCACCAGAAATGTAAACACATAACAAAAGGCAGTAGCCTAGTCAGCTTTAGAGAGCCAAGGTATAAACTCCACTCCTGCTCCCACAGCTACTTTGCCCACAAACTAATTCAGTAAGACTGGAAATGCTGAAAAAAGAGGCTGGGAGAAATCCATGACATCTTTAAATCCTTGTCTACAGAGTCAGGCTTTTAATAAGCATTTCATCTGGGCTATGCATAGTATCATAATCTCTGTCATATCAAGATGTTTAACTACATATGTCTTCCTCAAATACTCAAATTGTCTTATGTCCCATTCTCTTTGTTGTTGTTGTTGCTTTAATTCCTTGACCATTTAGACAAAGTATTAGATACTACCCTTGTATCACAGTAAATCCACATCATAGAATATCTCTTATACCCGGCAGAAAGGATGAGAAGTTATTTTTGAGATTCTAATGCCCCTTGGATCAACTTGAGGCTGGTTTCAACACAATGTTCAATGACATCTCTGAAGTAGGTTCATTTTTTTTTTCTACCTTGGTCAACCGGTAATAGAAAATTCAGTATAAGCTTACCAGCATTCCAAGCTTCAACAACTTTTTAAAACCCCTTTTCAAGGGATTGCAATGCCTACATTACCAGTTTATGTCAAAAATCTTAGTTCCTGAAATAAATTTGCAGATATTTTGGAGAGTGAGGCAGGAGTATCGATATAGTAGATTCATCAGTTTTGTTATTGTGTAATTCATCATTCTACTAAACATGTTTTAATAGGCCTCTATTTCATCTGGATTTTCATTAACTTATTCTGTATAATGATAGAATCTCTCCCACCTGAATGAATTAAACATGGACTCTGGTATATACACACACATAACTTCCCATTCAATCTGAAACAAAATGTATACTTCTTCTTCCTTCAGAAAACTCCCTAAAATCAATTCTACATACACATTCCCAGTTTTAATGAATTGTTACAATCACTTTCTTGAGCAATCCTTTCTTGTTAAACTTATGGCTCCAACTGATCTATGTTCCTTTTGTTGGTTATATTATCCATTTAACAGTGTTGGAAAAGTAGGATGCAAGACCATTTATAAAAATAGTTGTGATAAATAACAAGGAAATCAAGCTACCTCTGCTTAGGGCATTTCCTCAGGTGAGGAGGGTACAACATCTTCAACAGAAAATGAACAATGAAGGAAGGGTCAATTTCTTCTAACGGGAAGGCAACGGCAGAAGATAATTTTTCAGGTATCAGGGAAATCCAGATGCCCCCAGATAACACTATTTCAATATTCCAGGTTGTATTATTTTCTTATTTGTGTTATTTTCATGAATATCTCTTCACCCAAGAGACTAGGCAAGGCTGAGAATACAGATGACTTGCAATTCAACAGTCTGCAGAAACACTTATAAATTTTGGTTTTTGGCTATTTCAACTACCCAGTTGTAAGAAGATTGCTGTTTTAATAAAATCATGCATACTCCTTGAGTTTCAGTGTGCAGCCTGAGGAGAAAATTTAAATATTTGAGCTAGGTGATTCTTTTTCTCTGAATTTCTCCAGTCATTCAGCTATGACTACCCTACTATGTGGCCTTTGACCTCCTCTTGCTCTTCACAATAATCTGCGGCAATAACCAAGAGCAAATTCTTCCATAGAGCAACTTACTTGTTTTATCCTTACATCTCACAGACTCTGAAGTCCCATGCCAGATTATGAAGAGTGTTTTCCTTCCTATTGCAAATGGATTTCTTTGAGGATCTATTGAATAGATGCAGTCCTCTAGATTGTTGTTTTCTATTTGTTAGAATTCTTTAGATGCAGTCAAGATGGTCTTAGTATAGTTAACATAAGCAGAAGGGGAATTGTTGGAGATATATTTGGACACACAAGAACTAGAAATCAGACTTGGAAATTGGCAGTTATCAATGCAGTTCAGATGTTCTTGGAACAGATATAGTCATATAACAGGAACATCCTCTTGGGGATTTAGCTGCAAGAATAGAATGAGCTCTGAACATTTAGGTGTCTTTGTTCATCTCTTCATAATTCATATTTCAGGAAAAGAAGATTTAATTGTCTAACTTTGATTCCACATTTACTACTTAGCTAGGCTAGGAGAGAACTTCATTACAATAAATTATGTGGGGAAGAGTTAAATCATCAAAAGGATATCAGGGTAATTTTACAAAATGAAAATCTGTGATGGATGTGTGGGTTACATTGCATTTAAATATTTGTATTTGGGGCCTCAATTTCCCTGCTTGGCATTATACAGGCCTAAATGTAGCTATGAAACTTACATATAAAGTGTCCAAATCAACTGACTTATCTATCACAGATATGAGAGTCTCAATACTCACCTTCCCAAAAACAAAGATGCTGGTTTTTATGATCCTCATTATAACATTCTAACAGGCTCTGAGGACAGAATCAATTTCACATTTGCCTCTTTATGTCCCACAATGCTTTACCTATAGTAGAGGCTTTATAAATGTTTGATGAATTTAAACACACCAATAAAAGCTTCAGCTAGTGCTTGTGTACAGTTTCTTATTTAGAGTCTTTTTCCATTATATAGAAAATATTGTTTTAGATTACTTGAAGTATAATTTAAAAAAAGTATGATAATTGACTTAATAACATTCAGGATTTTCTATAACCAAATCAGAAAAGCATGATTTCTTTTGGAAAAGCATGGGTCAAAATTTGTTTATATGACTCTTATTATTTAAATTTTTTTCTCAATTATGTTATTTATGGGCTCACTTTTATATTTATTAACCCTTTGTTTCATGAAGCCTCCAATACATTGCAGAAAATAGCATCTGTACACACTTATACTGTCAGGAATTTTAACTACTTTCTAAAAAGTGGATGATAATCATAAAGTATATTGTTTCTATGAGACTTTGGAAAATATGTACCCATACCTTGAATTTTAAAAGTGTTATATAATCTTCCCTGCTTCCTGAACACAAACTAAACTGAAACTGTTTTCTTTAAGACAGACAAGTCAAGGAAGAGGTGTGTTTGGTAATTTGAGTAAGCTATAATGACATTTGTACTTGTTAAGAATTAAAATTGGAATGTTGGGAAATTTATGCCCTCCTTGTGATTGGTAAATGAATTTCAGAAATTTTGTTTGCCTAGCGATAAGCCCCACTTTTTCAAGGACAGAAAAAGATATAGATTCAAGGATTCAATGTAGGAATGTGTGTAGAAATTGCAGGCTCTTTCTGTTTGGGGCCTCCACAGAGCAGAGTTCCATGCATAGTTACTAACAATCTTCATTTGGTAAAGAATTTTGCTGGAGAACACATCTACCAAGAAGAAAGGCCTCCTCCAAAGTGAAAAATATTTAACTTGGAGCTAGTCTCTGGCCAAATTGGGATAAATCTGCTTTTTTAGAAATTTTAACTTGTCACATAGGATTACTTGAGATACATAGCAAGATTGTGATGGCCTTATGGCTCCAACTGATCTATGTTCATTCACTTATTTCACAAGAGGCCTATTTCTCTTTCATCATTACCCACCAATCTGCACATTGCTTCCTACACTCCAGCTACACTGGCCTGCTTTCCATTTCTTACATAAGAAGACACTATTTCAACCCCAGGACCCCTTCCCTTGCTAGTTCCTTTGCTTGAAATATTCACTGATAGACTTCCATATGTCTGGTTCCAAACATAATGTTATATAAATTCCACATCATCAACCAAGAGAGATCTTCCTTGACCACATGTTCTAATTTTAGCTTTATAGGCAATATCCCATTATCTTATTGTATCTTATTCATACTAGTTTGTTTTGTTTTGAGACAGAGTCTCACTCTGTCACCCAGGCTGGAGTGCAGTAGCACCATCCAGCTCACTATAACCTCCACCTCCTGCGTTCAAGCAATCATCCCATCTCAGCCTCCTGAGTAGCTGGGATTATAGGTGTGAGCCACCATGCCTGACTAATTTTTTGTGTTTTTAGTAGAGACGGGGTTTTGCCATGTTGGCCAGGATGCTCTCAAACTCCTGACCTCAAGTGATCCATCTTCCTGGGCCTCCCAAAGTTCTGGGATTACATATTACTTAGTGTTATGTGAAATACAACCAGACAAGAATGGAAGCATTACTAACTATGTTCTTGCCTATCCTCGGAATGTATAGTATTACTTTTCACACTCTATGCTATTAATAAAATCTAGCTTGTATGGAATTTATTTGATATTTAAAACAACACCCTCAAGTTATGTAACTCACTTTCTTCTTTCTAGAAATGAGGAACTGAGGCACAGAGAAAGTGTATCAGTTGTCTCAGATACAAAACTACAAACCTTGTCAAGGCAATTAGCACCCAAACTCGGTGGTCTTAAATGCTAACTACATTTCTTGATACTCAAAAGTGTTTGTTGAAGAATGAATGACATAGAGTGGATGAAAGACAGAGTATTACCTACATTTGCAACTCTCCTCTAAATATACAAGGAAGCGTAAATCTACATTATACATACGATTGACATGTAATTCTAACTAAACTCAAAACCATACAGTCACTAAACCTTTCCAATCCAGCATGTTCAGTTTTTCAGTTGTTTGGCTTAAAATTCTAAATTACAGATCAGATTCATGAAATTCTGATTTACATTTACCTTAAATTTTAACTTGAAACCCAAATGCATGCATCTGCACTGGGAATCCCAAGAGGGAGATGGTGGCTACATGAGGCAGGCACAGACAATTTATGTGCTCACTGCAGTGGGTTGAAACCATTGGCGGGTACTGGCTGAGGGAATCATACTTAATATTTAAATATTAATATTTATTAATGTAAAGCACTTAATACTATAGCTACAAGAGCTACTTTTTTCCGTGCAGTATGTGTAGAAAGTCAGAGGAAAAAAGTGTAAGTGGAAAAGCATGAGGTTATTTTCAGAAATTGCAAATGTCTTTGTTGCCTGTGGTAAACACTACTGATGAGAGGGATGCCCTGTTGAAGAGACTACATTCTGCCTAGAAAGTTACAGGTGACTGTGGAAGTGAAGCTCCTCCTTCTGGCCCTGGAAAAAATCATTTACACTGAGAAGGTGTTGGGATTGCGGGGAGCTATGATTTCACCTGAAATACTTAACTGAAGATCAGCAGTCTGGTAACAAGGGTTATGAACGTAAAACCCAGGGGAATTTAACCAGAAAGCATGGATTAAGAGAATTAATGAATAAAAAGACCCAATGTCAGCTGCAAAGTGAGAGAACATTCATAGCAAATTAATGGTTTGACAATGTTCCAAGCAAAAAGGCAATGTTTTAAGATTAGCATAAAGTTTAAAAATTTGTAAGGAGTCTATTCTGAAGCAGTGTGGAATATTTTCTCTGAAACTTCCAGTAATAGAGCCTCTGTGCCTTCATGTACATGAAGGATTAAATCAAGTGGACTTTCAGAGATGATTTCCTTATTCCGCAGGGAAAGAAACTTGGTCAGTGTGGGGTAAGGGAAGCAGTCACTCCAACAACTGCAAATGCCACAGGCAGAAATCTCTGCCAAGGCTCAGTCCTCCAAAGCAAATGAAAGCACTAAAGAGCAAGCAGAGGTGAAGGGGAATACAAAGAAAGAAAGGGAGAGAGGCAGATGAATGGAGGAAAAGAAAAGAAATAAACTAAAATTGGAAACTCGCAAATAAAATTCACTAAGTTAGTAGCCTGAAAAGCGCAAAAATTACAGGAGGTTGATTGTGAGGCTGAAGACCAGGAAGCCCCCAAGGGCAAGGAATGATAAAGTAAGGCAAACTAGAGGAGGAGCCAGGATGAGCCTGCCACAGGGGCTTGAGGAAGACACTAGTTGGGGAGAGGCAACAACAGCTGTCAGAAAATTGAGGCATTTTGAAGTTGAAACAGATACATACTAGGAAGAAAAATAGGAAATCCCAGGCCATTCCGAAGTTGGAGCAATGAAAAACCAGGAAGATCCTGCAAAAGTTACATCCAACTGGAAAATAACTTTTAAAGCAGTTTTGAAACAAGCATCAGACAATTAAATAGCAATCAAAGAGCTAAGAAACATATCCAGATTTTCTTTATCCAGTCACCAAAAATATGGAACACTTCACAAATTTGCATGTCATCCTTGTTCAGGGCCCATGTTCTGTGTCATTCCAATTTTGGTATATGTGCTGCTAAAGTGGGAAATGAAAGATTTTTAAAATCCTGTTTCAATTCTAACAGACATATCTGAACATGTATTTTTCATCAGTGTCAAGAATTACACAATATAAATAACTCCCCTGACTTCAAAAAAAAAAGAGCTAAGAAAATGGTTTTAGCTCAGTATTATGTAGTGACAAATGAATAACACACATCAGAGGAGAAAAGAAAATTGGCCAGGCAGGGTGGCTTATGCCTGTAATCCCAGCACTTCAAGAAGCCGAGGCAGGAGGATCACTTGAGCCCAGGAGTTCAAGACCAGCCTGGGCAACATAGTAAGACCGTGTCTCTACAAAAAATTTAAAAAAATATCCAGGCATAGTGGTGTATGCCTGTGGTCCTGGCTACTTGGGAGGCTGAAGTGAGAGGATTGCTTGAGCCTGGGAAGTCAAGGCTACAGTGAGCCATGACGGAGCCACTGCACTCCAGCCTGGGCAAAAGAACAAGATCCTGTCTCAAAAAGAGAAAGAAGAAGATTATTAAAAACCGAATCTTTAAGTTATGAAAGGACAAAGTCAAGCTTTTGAGCAAACGTTTTTATATTTCAAAAATAAATTCATTTTCTTGTTGACTTCTACCTTTCACTGTTCGTTACAAAACAAGTAATGAATTATAACAATTCATGAATATTGTAACTATTTATGGAAAATGTTTTCCCTAGCTGTACTTTTAATTAAAAGTAAATATTTTTTGCATAATTTTAATGAAAAACATATGCTTTTTCAAACAGAAGCATATGCACACCTGCACACACATACACACATACACACACAAACACATGCACATACATTGGGCTGTTTTTGACGTGGAGTCAAATTTTTGGTTTAAGTACCTGTCCATTTATCAGAAATCTCCATTAACTTGACTGCATAAACCACATCCCAAAATGAATACTATAGGATTTCACCATCACGTTCTTTAAAATAAAGACCGAAATTAAAGATGGTTCTAAAGTTATCTTAATGCAAATTATTTTTATGCCGTATTTCCAGTCTTTTTCAGCTTTCTAGCCCTCACTTAACACAATTTTAGTGACTTACCTTGCTTGTATTTGAAATCATTCAGCTTATTTTTATGAAAATAACTCTTTTTTGACAATCCTAATTGGATTGATGCAATATTTAATTAAACTATGTAAATATAATAATTGATATACCTGAAATGAATGGGCTGAAAAAGCAAAAATCAATTTTGAAAAGAATAATACTCAGCCTGTGGGAACAAACATTTATAAGCTTCTTAGAGAGTAAACAACCAGCTGCCTGCATTATCAAGCTTTGGGCAGCAGTTAGTAAGTTTCACAGCTGAATAGGAGTGTTAATTAATCCTGCAAAAAGCTAAGTGGGTTTTAAAAAGATAAGTTTCTTTGTCATAATGGTCAGTTGTAGGTATCTGACATTTGCTGATTATGTAGTTTGTAAATGTTTACAGCTCACATGTGAAGTAACTTCATCTGTTCTTCCCTCTTAGTTCTATTATACACAGTTGAAGTGGAAAACATTTTAAAGTAAAAAATAAAAATAGAAACAAACAATTCACATCCCAAATTTGCCACTTAAAAGCTATGTGATTTTGAGAAATTTCTTAACCTCTCTACATTTCAGATTCACATCTATAAAATGGAAATAAAAATGTAGAGCTCAGGTTGTTGCTCAGGTAAATGAGAAACTGTAAGCAATGCATTTAGCATAATGCCATATAAAAAGTAGGTTTAAAATAGGGTAACTCTAACTATACTCTCAATCTTCCCTATAATCTTTTCTTTTTTCAGAATAACTTTTGCTTCTATATTTTTTACATATCCATTGGATTTGCAAAGATCTAAGATGTGTTTTTTTAATTCTTCATGCTCCTTTTCCAGGGAATCTCTTTCTAGCAACGTTTTCTTGGTTTGTTAGCTTCTCCCTCTCTGTCCACCTACAACAAAGAGCTTGCTAGTCCAATTCTTCTCCATGTACTTTATCAAATCATGTCATCTCCCATCAGTTAATTGAGGAAATTAATCTGAATTCTTTTTCAGATATATATGTCACTGAAATGGGTTATCCAAAACCCCATCAACATACAGAATTGAGGAGCAATCTGATACCCTGTGTGTTGTAGGAAAATTCAACAGCTTAGTGGAGTGCAAGCGTAGGATACTATGTTTGAGATATTTAGAATGAGTGCAAAAGCAGAGTTGCGAGAGGGAGAGAGAGAAGGAAGTTTCTGTGCTCTTCAGATACATTGTTGAGTCATTACCATAGAAAAGAGAACTGATTATCTTAAAGGCACTTGCTTGCAGGAAGCATCACCTAAACAGTACTATTTAAGTTCTAACTTTACACAGTCTTCTGCTTTAAAAGGTGTATTAGACATGCTGATCACATCCTATACCTATAAAATGTAGCCTTATTTCTGCTGTAATATCATGGCCAGAGATCTAGAATAATTTTAAGTACAGTAAATATAGTAGACAAGTAACAAAGATGTCCTTCACTCTAGAAATAGTAAAACTAAAAGTGTTGTAATCCAGGTCTACAAAAATCAGAAAAGAAGTAGACAATTGGGAATACTGAATGTTTTTCCACATCCCAGAGCTCTCAAAATACAGCATTTTCACCATTAAAACCTTGAAAGAGGTTATTTCAAGGTAAATAAAACAATTCCACTGTACTTTGAAAGTAAATTTATGGAAAGTATTGTCTTGAGAAGTAATGAGTGGTACAAACTGAAAATATAAATTGCATTCTCGTGTCTATCGGCAGGACTACATGAATAAATATTTTTTTAGTGTGTTCTCTCCTCCTCCCCATCACACTTTCTCTCTCTCCTTTCCTTGTCTCTGCCTCCCTCTTACATTATATTTCTGTAGTCAATAACGTGTGATAAAAACCAATCATTAAATTTTTATTGAATCATAAATAACCTGGAACTTGAATGTAGAAAAACATAATAATCCTCAATAGAGAAAAAAAGACTTTGATGGAAAGGTGGAAAGACTGAACAACTTTTCAAATTTTGATATGTTCTCTCAATACGTAGGAACATCACGCTATAATTAAGAGACTTAAGTCAGTTGTGATACTTATTAGATGTATGATTTTATCAACCTTATTTTACTTATCTTTGAAATGGCAAAAAAAATCCTTCTTACCTTTCTCTTGTGTGAAAGAAAATGAGATAAGATCAACTCTGCAACATGTTTGCTACAATGCGTGGTACAGAGAAAGCCTTTCATAAATGGTAAGTGACGTGTGTGTATTTGTGTTTGTGTGTGTGGGGGTGTGTGTGTGTGTATGAAAAGCAAAATTAAGCTGAGTGCATGCTTGACAAGCCAACTGATTTGGGGTTTTCATAAATGACAGCAACTACATACTTTACCATAATTAGTAATCTCAAAACTGTTTATCATTTGTTCAGGGGGAAGCCACTGGACAATTACAGAGCACTTGATGAAACACCACAAAATATTTGTGTATGAAACAGATAACATATATATATATATTTATATATAAAATAAATCAAATACCTCTAGTCATTATATACTAGCATAAAAAGTAATAATAGCAAGACCCCAAGAGCTAAACCATATTTATGATACAAAACAGTAAATTTCCAATAATTCTCAATTTTATTACACTTCTAGAGTTTTTCCTGAAATAGAAAGTGGATATCATTTTCTGTAATATTTATGGTTATAGTTAAAAGTGCAGAGCCCTTTGTGAAGTTTTGTGGACAATAAAACAAAAGAAGTTTCATTAATGCCTTGGAAAGCTTACAATCTCTTTAGGAAGTAAGAGGTTAAGCCCTAGCAACAATCAATAAATAGATTCAGAAGAGTATATAATTAATCAGTATAAATTATTTAATAAACGTGACATGCCACTGATAAACTGCTATCTTGTCTGGGTTTTTTTAATGTGTTAATTCCCCCTAGTAAGTATGCTGGATTTGAATCAGATTTACTTTCCTTGCAGGTAACAGGACCAAAGCTGATGTATTGGCTGAATTGAATGATTGACCAAGCGTCAACACTATGATTTGTTCTAATTATACCCATTGGATCCAGAATACATATTTTACATAATTCTCAAGCATTATTGACAACACATTGAGTAAACACATGGGACGAAAACCCTTGTTTATTTGTAATGACTATCTTGTTACGGTACAAGGAACTCATGTTTATTAATTAGAAGTGCATGGCAAAATCACTAGGACCACTTTCTCAAAGGCTTAAACACCAAGGAGCCTGATTCAGCAACCCCACATGAAAAACACTGCTATTAAGAATACATAATCAGTACATAATCTGTCAGGTCAAGGGTTCCACAAAAATGTGTCCTGCAGAAAAATAATGCAATCTTTTCTCTCATTCTGAAATTCTAAGAAGCAGTGTAGTATAGGGTAAAGAAAATAATATTTGAGACAGAAAACCTGGGTTTTAATACCTGCTCTGCTTCTGGAGACTACTGGCTTCCTTGACCTTCAAATAACAATAATTTTTAGCTTGTAGGTTTCTCCTGAATATCTAATAAGTTAATATGTATTAAATTATACATGGTAAAACAACACACACATATGTATATAAACAATATTAATCTTAAATTGATATTTAATTTTTTCAGTGGTTCTAGCATAGAATGTGTATGGATAAGGGGTGAGAAGGGAGGTCAGACTTTCATTCAGAACCTTTGAATTATTCTAACTTGTGTCCAAAAGAGTGATTTATTTTATCTTAGTAAACAGTATCTATTCTCTCACACACACTCACAAGAAATACATGTAATTTGAAAAAAAAATGTGAGAGGACACACACATTAACTAGGTATGATCTACGCATATTTTCTTATTCTATTCTATCACCTTATTCTTAAAATAAACATTGTTATCCAACAAAATGATTCCGTGAGCTGTCAGTAGACTGAATCCTACAGTTTACAAAGCATGGCTCTGTGAGGTATTTATATGGACAGAAGACAGGGAAATTTGGGTAGAAGAGGATGGTTCCCTAGTAAGGCCCACCCTCAAACCTGGAAACCCAGAGCCCTAAATGAGAACAGGCATTCCTGTTTTCATGCCCAAATTAGCCTTTTGGTTCGCCATACCCCCTATCGTGTACCCATATAAACCCCAAACCCCAAGCTCCACAAGCAGACAAGGGAACAAACAGAAGAGCAAAAGAACAGCAGAATGGTGGAGCAGAGGGACGAGAAGGAACATCTGGGTGCCAAGAGGAGTTCGGCTGAGGACGTTCAGAGAGGAGATTGGCCACTGGATGTCCAAACTCCAGAGGCAGGTCATCTTTCCACTCCATGCCCCTTCCAGCTCCTCATCCATCCCACTCAGAGCCACCTCCACCACTCAGTAAAATCCTTGCATTCATCCTTCAAGTCTGTGTGTGAGCTGATTCTTCCTGGATGCCAGACAAGGACCTGGGTACCAAGAGAGCACTGAGCTGTTTAACACTTAAGCCATCCACGGATGGCAAGGCTAAAAGAGTGCACTGTAACACACGCCCAGTAAGGCTTCAGGAGTCTCAGACTCCCACCCCTGGACACTGCCATGGAGCCAGAGCCCAGGGGCACTCACCCCAGCTCCTGCATCTGCCCGTCTGCGTGCTCCCCTTCCCATAAGGGGTTTGAGTGTGCCTGGCAGAACAGAAGAGCCACACACATGTCCTGTGAGGGGGGTAAGGGAACTCTCCCGTTTCAGTATGATTTGATGGACAGTGAATTGAAAATGGCCTTGAAAACCAATTCTTCAAAGTCCTAACTTTCAGGCCTCTATGCATGTGTTTTGACATTGTCTTCCTTGGTAAAGAGATTACTGAGGAACTCATCAATACCTCTTCAATAAGATAATTGTTGTAAGTCATTTACATAGTCAGCATCAAGTGTTGGGAGTAAGCATAGCTCAATTGGCCTGTTCGTACAAGATAGAAAGGAAGAGGCGGAACGTTTAAGGTCTAGGGTGTTTTTGAGTGAATTCTTACTCTGAGAAGATCCTGATCAGCTAAGAAACAGCTCAGGAGAGAGTGTAATGAGATCATGAACAAAGTGCCAAAGAATAATGTGAAGGTAGTGATGACTTAATAAAACTAGACTTGAATTCAGAAAATCAGTGTTCTTGCCAAGTTCCTGCCATGAACCGCTGAGGTATTGGCTCCTCTGATTTTCCAATTGCTCAGAATTGTATTATATTATGGTTTCCTGGAGTTTTCAAATGGTGAAGGACCTTAGAAATCATCATCTCTGACACTGTGCCCATTGAAAAATGTGAAAGACCATGTGGTACTGCTTGCTATTAGTTTTATCTCTTTTTGCTTCAAATTGTAGTATAAATATTGCCTTATATTAGAAGTTTCCTTTCTCCCTGAGTCCTTTTTTTTCTCCATTATCAACAGCTTTTGATTAAGTGTAGACAATGGAAAGAAACATTGGCTTTGGAGGCCAAAATAACTCAGTTAACACCTTGAATTAACTGGTGCTGCTTCCATCAACTTTAGCAAGTTACTTAACTTTCTTAATCTTTGTGTCTTTTATAAGTAAAACGGGATAGTTTCTCATAGGACCTATGTAACTATCAATAAGCAAATATGTTTTAATTTCATAGTATTTCCTGGTATTATAGTGGGCTTACTATAAATAAAGATCCTTTCCCTTATTTATTAATTTATATATTACAATGAAGAATCTAAACACTTAGAGAATTCCCTACTTAATAAATATCGTTAAGAAGAAAAATCTGTATCTAGGATATGTAAACCAAAATGTATCTGAGACAGGTCTCAATCAATTTAATAGTTTACTTTACCAAGGTTAAGGACACGCCTAGGAGAAAAAAAATACACGGAATCACAGAAACAGTCTGTGGTCTGTGCCTTTCTCCAAAGATGACTTTGACGGTTTTAATATTTAAACAGGAAAAGTGGGCTAGAGGGGAAAGATGGAGGGTATGGCAATCCACATGTTGCAAGACAAAAGGAATGGGTAGGGGAATAATTAATTATATTTACATCTGGTGCTTAGTAAATCAGCACTTTACATAAGATAAGTGAACACAGAGTAACTATCTGTATAGATACTTTACCTTTTATCTGTAGCTATCTGCTTAGGAACAAAAGGAAAGGCAGTTTCTTGCATGACTCAGTTTCCAGCTTAATTTTTTCCTTTTGGCCTAGTGAATTGGGGACTGAAGTTTTCATTTCCCTTTCACAGATAAAAGTACAGATACTCAATTTTCCAACTTGACCTTCTTAAAAAGCCGATGTTTATATAGCCCAACAATCAATTATGGAGGAGTAGGGGAAATGGAGAATCATTTTGGGAGTGGCCATAATGGCAGCAATCCACTCCTGTCTCCACAGGAACAATGGCCCAAGTGCCAGTATTTGAGATCTAATACTGATAAAAAAGCAAATTTGAGGAAGGGGATCCAGGTGTGGGAGGGCCCCAGGTGGGGAGAACAATGAACAATTGTGAATTTCTCTTCAGGCCCTGCCTCTCTGCAGAAAGCCCTGTCTCTGCTGTGCTGCCCGCTGCATCCTTACAATGTGTTTTCAAACCTTCTCTGATAAATTTGCCTTTCTTTATCTATGACTGTCTTACTAAATACCTTTACCATCCGCAACACCATTGCTAGCTAGTTGCTATCCACCCCATTTTCGTGGTTCGCACGGGGGCTCTCTTTTTAAGGGCAACCCTCCCTCCTCTCTCTCTTTCCCAGCTTGGGACCCTCGGTGGGTTGTGTCTAAGCATGAAAATAACTGAAGGTCTCTGGCCAGGAGTGCACTCTGCTGAGACTGAAAGGTATCTATGTGGAAGTGTTTGACTGCTGCTGCCCAATCAGGTGAGAGTTCAGAGTTTGCTTTCCCTTTCAGTCTTTCAGTGGATGACCTCTTGTATCCCTGTAGTGATTGACAGCAACTGGCCAGGGCCGGTCCCTGGTGTAGCCTGAAGGCCATGAGGTGAAGAGGTTTGGCTCCCTTGCCTGGAAGGGAGAAAGGCTCGCTCCCATCCTTTCTGGTCCAAGGTCCCCAGTTCCTCTGGGTGTCTCAATTGGCACATGTGCTTTAGGGAACTCAGACCCCCTCTTTCTCATTCCAAAATCTCCTGTGAAGACAGCCAGGCCTCCTGCAGACATTCTCAAATCAGGTGATCTCAAGCAGCCTCAGCGGTGAGTCTCCCCATTCCCATCTCCTCACCTGGGCTGGCACTGGGCTGAGTTCTCCCTTTACTCTTTTTCTTCATAACTGGGCTGATCACCCATCATCAGGGCCCTGCACTGAGGGGTTCTTTCTAATATTTGGGCCACCCTGTTAGAAAGTGCACCCAAGTCCCTCAGCGGACATGAGTGGAACCGTAGTCCTCAGTGGGATGCCCTGAGAGAATCTGCAGCTGGTGTCCCCAGCAGACATTAGCCCCCAGTGGCTTGTCATTTTCCAGTCACATCATGGGACAAACCTGTTCTATTCCTTCAGACTCCCCTCTGGGTTGCATCCTAAAACACTCAAACAAATATAACCCTCAGACTCTCAAAAAGAAATGTCTAATTTTTCGTGTGTAATATAGCATGGCTCCTATACAGAAAATCCTCAAATTAGCCTCCTCACTCTTTTATAGCCAAGAGAAGAATAAGGAGGATTAGGGCTAAAGAGAAAGAAAAACTCAGGGACAAGAGGCAGACTCAACTGTTGGCTAATTTACAAGCCTCCAGCCCCATCTAGGTTGCCCTAAGACACTCCTCCAGGTAACTGCCATTAGTGCAAAAGGCCAGGCCACTGAAAGGCAAACTATGCCAACAAAATAAGAGGGAAAAATCACCACATGGCTTACCTCCTCTGCCACAAGCTCCATCGCTGGAAACAGGGCCACCCTGAGGGCTGAAAGGCCCCCGGGACAGAATCTCAGTCCCTGATGGCAATAAGCTGAAGAGTACTCACTGCTCCAGCTGGCTTCCAAATCAAATATCATAGTTAACAAACCAAAGCCAAGGGCAGTTCTGGAGGCAAGTAAAATTATACATGTTCCTTTTGAGTTCAGAAGCTGCCTGTTATGAAGATGCCTCCTCTACCCCTTTGTGGAAATACCTTTTGCTTATATGATAAAAACCTGGAAAACTGCTCTCTGGACTGCAACAGGCTTCTAGACTGAGTCACTGTTGGAATTGAGTACATTAAAAGAAATACATTAAATTAAAAGAAGGATGCATAATAATAACTTGGCTAGTCAGAAAATTCTCTTCATCAGTTAAAATTTTTTTTGCAAGCTTGAAAATGCTCTAAACTTTGACTGGACATAAGAAACAACCGTCACTTTGTGCTGTAGGTCAGTTGCTAAGGACTTGGCCTCTCACAATGACATCTGGGTTCAATTCCTGGCTTTGAAAGTGAGTCCTTTGTGGTTTAACAGTTGTGGTACTTTTGCCATGTATTAATTATTTTCTTCTCCATGGACAGCTTCCGATTTCCTGTCCTGAAATTCTCTTTTCTCTGAGTTACCTTTGGGGCAATTCTAGATCTTAAATTGCTTACCATCTCTTTAGAGACACCTTGCGTGTTTGTGTTTAAGTTATTCCCTTAGTTAAGGCTTATTCATTTCACGTAGGAGATTACTATTACTAAAATATTCAAAAGCCATAAATATTGGTCATTTGTATGGATTAAAATCTGGTAATAAAAGATTTTAAATGAATTTTTCTTTTGAGAGCTCTGTAGTGAGAATTCAACTTAATTAAAGCTGGTATTTGGATTGTATGTGTACAGATATTGTTTTTAAAGCCCCTTCTCTCCCTTTAGAAACTTCTTAGTTGATAGAATTTTGTCTAGATTCTCTTTCTGTCTTTCTGTGCATTTATATATGTTGTGTATAATGTTTTTATAAAATAGCTCTAATTAATTGGCTTCAAGAAAAATAAGCACTTAAACATATTGCCAGAAAAACAGAAACTTTAATGCCTTTTAGGTCATATGATTCTATTTAACCATCTTAAAAATTAACACAGTTTGAAGCTTATTGGTAAAGTAAAATAAAAATGACTTCAAAGGTCACACATTTGAACTGAATTAGACAGGTCAGATACTGTTTGCCAGATGCTTTAACGCCATAACTTGCTTCTATTACTTTTAATAATTGTTTGACTTATTTGTATTACAGTCATTAGATTATAGTTAAAGGCCTGGGGACATAATGGAGTTAGCCTGGTTCCCTGGCTGGGCTGGGAAGAATTAGACATTATCTGCAGCTCATCTTACACATGATTAAAATTACTCACCACGTTTTTCACCAAAAATAAACATTGCTGAGTTAACATTGTAACATACTTGGGACTACTGGAGAAACAGTTTACATACAAGGTGTAGAGGGAAAGTAGAATGTGTTTTTGCTAGGAGTTACAGAAGGTATGGTTTTCTTTTTAAGGGAATCTAATCTTGTCTAACTCAGAGGGTTTTAAGGATTGGCCTAACCTAAAAGAGTAATGGGATAAAACTAAAGGCTTAAGCAAGTTGAAAAGGGTTTGTGAAGCATTAATCTCATAAAATGTTCTGAGTATGAGCAAGCTGGCTAAGATTTAAAGGGGATTATTGAGTTTTCTGTAGGATGAACATTGAAATAAAAGCACACTAATGCAGGGCCAGAATCTAGGCTTATGTGTCTAAAGAACAGGGTTTTCTTAGAGAATTAGTCCCCTGTTTAACAGAAAACTGTAAATGGTTATAAGAGGTTTATGGAAATTTTACCATATAGTGAAGCTCATAAAGATTGGACAGATTGAATTAAATTTTAATAACAGGATGGAGGGGCCAAGATGGCTGATTAGAAGCAGCTGGCGTCATGGTTTTCACAGAGAGGAGTAAAAATTGCGAGTGAATTCAGCACTTTCAACTGAAATATCCGGGTTCTCCCACTGGGACTGACTAGGTGGACAGCTCGACCCATGGAGAATAAGGAAAAGCAGGGTGGGATGATGGCCAACCAGGCATCCGCATGGAGCCAAAGGAACACCCACTACAAGCCAAAGGAAGCGGTGACTGATTGTGTGACCCCCACCTGGGAAACTAGCTTCTCCGACAGATCTTTACAACCTGCGTATCAGGAGATCCCCTCATGAGCCCATGCCACCAGGGACCTGAGGCCAATACACAGAACTGTGGGGAGTCTCGCCAGCACAGCTGCAAAGGCACACAGAGAGACCCGGGAGTTTTACATACTCCAGCCCAGGGAATCCTGGCAAAGCAGGAGATCCATTTGTACTTTCCCCTAGGAAGGGGGTTGAATCTAGGAAGCCAAGTAGCGTCATTCTGCAGGCCCCATTTCTGGCACCTCACAAGTTAATACCCACTCACTTGGAATTCCAGCCAGCCAGCTGCAAAAGGCTGAAGATTGCCTGGGACAGGACTGAGTTCTAGGAGGTAGGGCAGCTGCCATCTCTGCGGTTCGGTCGACTCAGTTGTTCTAGCCTGCTTGCTCTGGAGAATCCAGGCAGTCCGGATAAAGAAGAGTCTCCCACAACACAGCACAGCTGCTGTACAAGATTGTGACTAGACTGCTTCTTTAATTGGGACCCTAATCCATTCCTCTTCACTAGATGGGGCCTTCCTGTGGGAATTTCAGCAACTCCAGTCAGGGTTATATGGACAGAACTCCGATCTCTCCGTGGGTTGAAGCCCCTGGCAGGGAGGAGCAGATGCCATCTCTGCAGTTCATTCGACTCAGCCATTCCAGCGTGTTGGCTCTGGAGAGTCCAGGCAGTTGGGACGAGGAGGGGTCCCCCCAAATGCAGAACAGCTTCTCTACCAAAAAGCAGCTAGACTGCTTCTTTCAGTGGGTCCCTGATCTCATTCCTCCTGACTGGGTGAGATCTCCCAACGGGGGTCTACAGACACCTGCCAGAGGATGTTTGGGCTGGCCACAGGTCATTACCCCCTTGGGATGGAGCTTCCAGAGGAAGAAGCAGGCTTCCATCTTTGCTGTTTTGCAGTCTTCACTGTTGATACCTCCAGTCATGGAAAAACCCAAGGCAAGTAGGGTCTGGAGCGGACCCCCAGCAAACTGCAGCCACCCTACAGAAGAGTGGCCTGACTGTTGAAAGAAGAACAAATAGAAACAAACAAAAACGTCAGCAAAAAGGCCCCACAAAAACACTATTTAAAGGTTAGCAGCCTCAAAGATCAAAGGTAAATAAGCTCACAAAGATGAGAAAGAATCAATGCAAAAATGCTGAAAACTCATAAGGCCAGAGTGCCTCTTCTCTTCCATATGACTGCAGCACCTCTCCAGCAAGGGCACAGAACTGGACTGAGGCCGAAATGGCTAAATTTATAGGACTATGCTTGAGAAGCTGGGTAATAATGAACTTCGCTGAGCTAAAGGATCATGTTGTAACCCAATGCAAAGAAGCTAAGAATTATGATATAACAATACAGGAGCTGATAGCCAGAATAGACAGTTTAGAGAGAAACAAAATTGACCTGATGGACCTAAAAAACACAACACAAGAACTTCACAATGCAATCACAAGTATCAATAGCAGAGTATGCCAAACAAAGGAAAGAATCTCACAGCTTGAAGACTATTTTTCTGAAATAAGACAGGCAGACAAGAATAGAGAAAAAAAAAAAGAAGTAATGAATAAAACCTCTAAGAAATATGAGATTATGTAAAAAGAGCAAACCTATGATTGACTGAGGTACCTGAAAGTGACAGGGAGAATGGAATAAAGTTGGAAAACATACTTCAGGATATGAGTCAGGAGAACTTCCCCAACCTAACAAGACAGGCCAACATTCAAATTCAGAAAAATCCAGAGAAACCCAGTAAGACTTTCTGTGAGCAGATCAACCCAAAATAACATAAGCATCAGATTCTCCAAGGATGAAATGATGGGAAAACTTTTAAGAGTAGCCAGAGAGAAAGGCCAGATCACCTACAAAAAGAAGCCCATCAGACTAACAGCAGACGTCTCAGTGGAAACCCTATGAGCCAGAAGAGATCCGGGGCCAATATTCAACATTCTTAAAGAAAATAATTTCAACCCATAATTTCATATCCAGCCAAACTAAGCTTCATAAGCAAAGGAGAAATATGATCCGTTTCAGACAAGCAAATGCTGAGGGAATTCATCACCCCCTTTCCCCAAATTTAGTGCTTCCCTGCAAGAGCTCCTGAAGGAAGCACTAAATATGGAAAGAAAAAAAAAGTTACCAGTCACTTCAAAGAGACATGGGACTACACAGAACTATGAAGTAACCACATAAACAAGTCTGCAAGATACCAGCTAGTATCATGATGACAGGATCAAATTCACACATAACAATACTAACCTTAAATGTAAATGGGCTAAATGCCCCAATTAGAATACACAGAATGGCAAGCTGGATAAAGAGCCAAGACCCATTGGTATACTGTCTTCAAGAGACCCATATCATGTGCAAAGACACACACAGGCTCAAAATTTAAAAAAAAAAAAATGGAGGAAACTTTACCAAGCAAATGGAAACCAGAAAAAAGCAGTGGTCACAATTCTAGTCTCTGACAAAACAGATTTTAAACCAACAAAGATAAAAAAATCCAATGAAGGGCATACATAATGATAAAGGGTTCAATTTGACAAGAAGAATTAAATATCTTAAATATTTATAATATACATTTATATTAATGATTTTAATTTATTATATAAATTAAATAATAATTAATATTTTATAATATTATAATATAAATATAATATTATATACCAATACAGGAGCACCCAGATTCATAAAGCAAGTTCTTAGAGAACTATAAAGAGACTTAGACTCCCACACAAGAATAGTGGATAGTGGGAAACTGTAACACTCTACTGACAATATTAGACAGATCATTGAGACAGAAAATTAACAAGGATATTCAGGATGTGAACTCAGTTGGGATCCAGCAGACTTGATAGATATATACAGAAGTTTTCACTCAAAAAATTAAAAAAGTATACGTTCTACTCATCACTACATGGAACTTACTCTAAAACTGATCACATAATTGGGAGTAAAACACTCCTCAGCAAATGCAAAAGAACTGAAATCGTAACAGTCTCTCAGATTACAGCACAATTAAATTAAAACTCAAGATTAAGAAATTCACTCAGAACCACAAAACTACATGGAAATTGAACAACCTGCTCCTGAATGACGCCTGGGTGAATAATGAAATTAAGGCAGAAATCAAGAAGTTCTTTGAAACTAATGAGAAGAGACAACATACCAGGATCTCTGGGATGCAGCTAAAGCAGTGTTAGAAGGGAAATTTATAGCACTAAATGTTCACATCAAAAAGCTGGAAAAATCTCAAATTAACAACCTAGCCTAACAACTAAAATAATTAGAGAACCAAGAACAAACAAACTCCAAAGCTAGCAGAAGACAAAATTAACCAAGATCAGAGCAGAACTGAAGAAAAAAGAGGCATAAAAACTCTTTCAAGAAAATCAATGAATCCAGGATCTGTTTTGTTTGAAAAAATTAATAAGATAGATAGACTGGAAGTTAGACTAATAAAGAATAAGAGAGAAAATTCAGATAAACACAAGCAGAAATGACAAGAGGGATATTACCACTGACCTCACAGGAATGCAACCATCAGAGAATATTAGAAACACCTTTGTGTACGTAAAGCAGAAGAAATGGATAAATTCTTGGACACACACACCCTCCAAAGACTGAACCAGGAAGAACTTGAACCCCTGAATAGACCAATAATGAGTTCTAAAATTTATGCAGTAATAAATAGCCTATCAACAACAACAACAAAAAGCCATGACCAGACAGATTCACAGCTGAGGTACAAAGAAGAGTTGGTACCATTCTAGTGAAACTATTCCAAATAACTGAAAGGGAGGGATTCATCTCTAACTCATTCTATGAGGCCAGAATCCTCCTGATACCAAAACCTGGCAGTGATAAAACCAAAACCTGGCAGTGATAAAACCAAAAACAAAATTTCAAGACAATATACCTGATCAACGTCAATGCAAAAATCTTCAATAAAATACTGGCAAACCAAATCTAGCAGCAAATCAAAAAGCTTATTTACCACAATCAAGCTGGCTTCATCCCTTGGATGCAAGGGTGGTTTAACAAACACAATTCAATAAATGTAATTCATCACATAAACAGAACTAAAGACAAAATCCATATGATTATCTCAATAGTCACATTAAAGGCCTTCAATAAAATTCAGCATTCCTCTATATTAAAAAACCTCTCAATAAACTATGCATTGACAGAACATATTTCAAAATAATAAGAGCCATATATGCCAAACCACAGCCAATATCATACTGAATGGGCAAAAGCTGTAAGCATTCCCCTTGAAAAGCAGCACAGGGCAAGGATTCCCTGTTTCACCACTCCTATTCAACATAATATTGGAAGTTCTAGCCAGGCAAGAGAAAAGAAATAAAAGTTATTCAAATAGAAAGAGAGGAAGTCAAAGTATCTTTGTTTGCTGATGACATGATCCTAGATCTTGAAAACTCATCCTCTGAACCCAAAAACTTTTCAAGCTGATAAGCAACTTCAGCAAAATCTCAGGATGTAAAATAATCGTGCAAAAATAGCTAGCATACCTATACACCCACAACAGGCAAGCAGAGAGCCAAATCATGAATAAACTCCCATTCACAATTACTACACAAAGCATAAAATACCTGGGAATATAGCAAGGTAAGTTAAGAACCTCTTCAAGGAGAGCTACAAACCACTGTTCAAGGATATCAGAGAGGACACAACAAATGGAAAAGCATTCCATGCTCATGGATAGGAAGAATCAATATTGTGAAAATGGCCACACTGCCCAAAGTAATTTATGGATTCAGTGTTATTCCCATTAAACTACCACTGATATTTTTCATATAATTAGAATAAAGTATTTTAAAATTCATATGGAATCACAAAAGAGCCCGTATAGTGAAAATCCTAAGCAAAAAGAACAAAGCTGGAGGCATCATGCTGCCTGACCTCAAGCCATACTACAAAGCTATGGTAACCAAAACAGCATGGTACTGGTAAAAACAAAACAAAACAAACAAACAAACAAAACACATAAACCAATCGACTAGAGTAGAAAACTCAGAAATAACAACATACACCTACAACCATCTGGTCTTTGACAAACTGGACAAAAGAAAGCAATGGGGAAAGGATTCCCTATTTAATAAATGGTGCTGGGAGAACTGGCTAGCCTTTTGCAGAAAATTGAAACTGGACCCCTTTCTTAGACCTTATAAAAATAAACTCAAGACAGATTAAAGACATAAATGTAAATACTTAACTTTAAAACCCTGGAAGAAAACCTAGGCAATACTATTCAGGACACAGTCATGAGCAAAGATTTTATGATGGAAACACCAAAAGCAATTGCAACAAAAACAAAAATTGACAAATGGGATTTAATTAAACCTAAGAGGTCTGCAAAGCAGAAGAAACTATAATCAGCATGAACAGACAACCTACAGAATGGGAGCAATCTATCCATCTGACAAAGGTCTAACATCTGAGTCCACAAGAAACTTAAACAAATTTAGAAGAAAAAATGAACAAAGAACCAGATTAAAAAGTGAGAAAAGGACATGAACAGACACTTTTCAAAAGAAGACATACATGGGGCCAACAAACATATGAAAAAAAGCTCAACATTACTGATGATTAAAAAACGCAAATCAAAACCACAATGAGATACCATCTCTCACCACTCAGAATAAAAGTCAAAAAACAGCAGATACTGGTGAGGTTCTGGGAAAAAAAACACTTTTACACTGTTGGTAGGAGTGTAAATTAGCTCAACCATTGTGGAAGACAGTGTGTTTATTCCTCAAAGACCTGGAGGCAGAAATACGATTAGACCCTGAAATCCCACTGGGTATGTACTCAAAGAAATATAAATTATTTTATTACGAAGATACATGCATGCATATGTTCACTGAAGTACTAATCACAATAGCACAATAGTAAAGACTTGGAATCAACCTAAATGTTCATCAGTGATAAACTGGATAAAGAAATATGGTACATATACTAAATGGAATACTATGCAGCCATTAAAAGGAACAAGATCATGTTCTTTGCAGGCACATGAATGGAGTTGGAAGCTGTTATCCTCAGGAAACTAATGCAGAAACACAAAACCAAACACTGAATGTTCTCACTTATAAGTAGGAGCCAAATGATGAGAACACATTGTCACATCTGGGAAAACAACACACACTATGGCCTGTGGAGGGGGTTAGGGTTGAGAGGGAGAGTATCAGGAAGAACAGCTAATAGATGATGATCTTAATACCTTTTGATAGGATGATCTGTATAGCAAACCACCATGGCACACGTTTACCTATGTAACCAACCTGCACACCCTGCTCATGTACCCTTGAATTTAAAATAAAGGTTGCAGAGTGGGGGGGAGGGGGGGAAGATTGGATATATTTGTTTATTAGGTTTTATTAAGAATTTGATTTAACATTAATAATACTCTAATATAAAGGTGAAATTCAGTTGTTTCTTTTAAATAAGATTTTCGTGTAATATTAAAAAATAATAATTTTTTTTTTTTTACTTTTTGGTAAATAACAGAAAAAGGAGAGGAGAGGAGACAGATTCAGTTAGCCTCATGCTGTCTTTATTGCATCTTGTTTGGAAAGCTTGGTCTCCCCTCTATTAGCTAGTAAAGATTTTTGTATTTTAAAAATTTTGGAGTTATTATTTTGGCTAAACAAATGACTTATAGTGATTCTGTACTAATCTCCTTTTCTGAGCAACTCTCTTCCAAATCCTGTTGAATAAACGGAACACATGGCACATCCTCCCTCCAAAAGAAAAATTAATACTCCTTTGTATTACTTAAGGGACCAAATACCATTCTCCCAAAAGTCCCTGATTAAGTTGGTTATAATTGAAAGGGAATTATTTGGGACAGTCTTTCTAACATTGGTCTCCTATTTTAAAAAATGTTTTATTAGGGTATTAATGTGATCTTAATAAAATTGCAAGAAGTTTTACTTTTAATGATTCTTTTAAAAAACTTCTCAGAGGCCAGGCATGGTGGCTCACGCCTGTCATCCCAGCTCTTGGGAGGTCGAGGTGGGCACATGACATGAGGCCAGGAGTTCAAGACCAACATGGATAACATGGTGAAACCCTATAACTACTAAAAATACAAAAATTAGATGAGTGGTTGCATACCTCCATAATCCCAGCTACTCAGAAGGCTGAGGCAGGAGAATCACTTGAATCTGGGAGGTGGAGGTTGCAGGGAGCTGAGTTTGCATCATTGTAATCCAGCTTGGGCAACAGAGCAAAACTCTGTCTCAAAAACAAATAACAACAGCAACAAACTTCTCAGTATCATATCTCAGAAATTTAACTATTTGCAGTGTCTCACTGCTTCCTGCTTTTTCTTCCCTGTAGCAGGCCTGAGATAACAACTCTCCCTTTCAGTTTTTGTCAGCTCCTATAACTTTTTCTTCTGGTTCTAATTGTTACTATGGCACAATGCTAAAATATTTCATCTTGAAGGTCAAAAAATTAAGCAATGTTTTCCTCTAACATAACTTAATTTTGTGTCCTTGACTTTTCTTAATATGTCTAAATTCTCATTGTAAAACAAACAGAAAACTAACAAAAAAACCTTCTCATGCTGTTCTTAAGAGTCATGTATTCCCCTCCTATACTCATAACCCCAAATGCAATCTTACAATATTTTATCTTCCAGAATTCAGCATTTTCACCTTCAAATGATGCTATTAACACAATATCAGTCTCTCCCTAATGACGTCTACTACATTTACAAGTCTCCCCTGGATTCAGCTGGATATCAGTTTCACTTGATATGCACCACCTCTCTAATGAGTCCCTTTCTCCAGCAAGATCCAATATCCTAGGCCCCACAGTGTGAGACAATGACTACAGGGTCTCCTGACAGACCAACAAGCACAGGTAGGGTCAATTCTATGCCACAGACCAGCAGGAAGTAGTTGGAAGATGAGACCTGTGCCCCAATACCAAAGATTTGCCATTGTTCTATATTAGGGTACTGCAGAGTCCTTACGAGAAAGCAACAATGAGGAAGGGGCTCCAGGATGAGGAAGATCCCAAGTGGGGAGAAAAATGAACAATTGTTCTGAGAGACAGCTAATCACAAACAACCTGGGGGCACAATGACCTCATTCCATGGTGGCTCCAGCAGCAAGACCTTGTTCTTCATGTAGTTCCCTCCAGCATGAGACTATAAAATTTCGCTCCAGCCCCTGCCTCTTTGTAGACAGGCCTGTCTCTGCTGTTCTGTCCATTGATCTTTGCAACATATTTTCATACCATCTCTAATAAATTCACCTTTCTTTACTAATGACTATCTTGGTAAATACATTTACCACCCATGACACCAACCTCAGTTGCTACCTGTGACAACTTGCAGTTATGGTATGTTTCTTGTAAACACATGCTTTTCTAAAATGTTCAAGAGTTCTTAAAATGTATTGAACTCATTTATCTAAAGCTTATCCATGTCAATCTTGCTCATTCATGCACTCAATGAATGAAGAAAGTGAGAAGAAAAATTAGCAGATGTCCTATACCTAATAGTCTTTTAGTTATACTCTATAGCTCATAACATATTAGTATAAATATACAGTTTTTTAACAAGCACTAAATTGGGAGTCAAATGAGTTGATTCTAGCCTCAGGTCTATGACTAACTAGCTGAAGAACTTGAACGTGTACATTCAGTTATGCTCTCAAGTTTCATTTATTTTGTTTGTTAAAAAATGTCAAGCAAACACAAAGCATGGACATTTCTAAAAGTGCACCGCAGGGACTTTCTGCATAAGAATGACTTGGAGTTTTTACTTGTTAATAAACAAGATTCCCGCATGCACTCCAACCCAGGTATAATGTCCTAGCTGATAGTGACAAATCACAGATTTCAGTCATAGTAAGAAACTATGGAGTGTCTGCTTTCACAGGTGATTAAATATTGAGAGGTCATTTTAAGAGACTTGATATGCCAAATATATTAAATGTTACTGTAAATTGAATATTCAATTTTGCTGCTTTACCCAGTGTAAGAATGGACAGTCATACACACACACTACACACACACACATATATAAATCTATAAGTCTATATATAATATATAAGATTTTTATATTTTATATAAATATATTTATATTTTATATATAAAATATATGATTATATATAAAATATGTTTTAAATATAAAATCTTATATATATTATAAATATATCTTTATATACTGTGTGTAAAAGTCAGTCACCAGAAGAAAAGTTGATAATTTGTTGGTATGGGTCTCCATTCTAGCACGAAAAATGCCTGTATCTTGGGGGCTAAGGAAAACAAAACAATAATTCTTCATTGTTGTATGAAGCCTTCTAAAAGAATCCAAGTTCTTAAATAATCTCAGTAATCCTCTACTTGTGCAGTCCTCTCTCCTTGAGTGTGAGCCAGACCTAGTGATTTGCTTCTAACAAATAGAATGTGGCAAAAACAATAGAATGTCTCTTTCAAGATTAGATCTATGACTTCCTCCTTTTTTGAACTCCTTCCTTTGCCATCTTACACTATCTTGTTCTCTCTTCCTCCTCTCTCTCCCCACATCCCCTTCACTCTCTCCATCTCTCATCTTCATGCTTGCTTGCTTTGATGAAGCAAGCTGCCATGTTTTAGCTACCCAATGGGGAGGCCACATGTGACAAGAAACTGAGGACAGCCTGAGACTCTAATTCTGACAGCCCACAAGGAAAGCAAACATGTCAAATACCTTGTGAATTAAGTTGGAGGTGGATCTTCGCCCACTGGAACTTGCAGAATGACTGCAGCCCCAGCTGACACCTTGATTGCAACCTTATGGGAGACACAGAGTCAGACAACCCAAAGAAGACAAGCCAGGATCCCTAACCCAGAAAATCTGTAAGATAATTAATGTTGTTTTGAGAAGATACATATGTTAGAATTTAGAATGCAGCAATTTATTCCTTTTGCTGTATTGACTTTTGATGGTTAAGACTATATTGCTTTTTGAATTCTATATTATGACTTTTCTTCTTTATCTTAAAGGTCTGCAAATTTAGACCAGTTATGACTTGAATTTTCATTTTTACGTATATTTTACTATCTTATGCAGCCATTGTACCCAAACCCTTAAATATTTGCTGAATCAAAGTTTAAATTGCAATTTTCAGTTTGAAGACCTAAATGTGTATGAAATATAACAGAGGAAATTGTACTTCTCAGTTCTAAGAGAAAATAAAAGACAACGCACCTATCAGGTTAACAATTGCATTAATCATATTCAAATTATCATGTCAAATGATAAGAAAAGCTTTAAAATTTTGCCTTAGGCTCTTTATAGTCCTGCCTCAGATCGGGCTTTTGACAGGTTATTTTTATATACCCTATGTTTAATTTACTTTTTCTAATTTTTTTATTGTCTGTAAAAGTTGCAGGTCTCTGGAGGTATTATAATTGAATTATCCATTAAAATCTGCTTGAAATAATTACTATTGATTAGGAAAGAAGCCCGATAAGGTTTTAATGCTTTAATCCAATTGATAAATGTAATATGACCAAGGGATCAGGCTAAGTGGAAGTGACTGTATTATGTGTCTTAATACTGATAAATGCTTCCGTCTATTATTTAAAGATGCTAAATAGGAGGTTCCTGAGAAGGAAGGGAACCCTTCCAATTAGCTCATTCTGAAAAGATCAGCCCTGGAACTTAAGAGTCAGCATGTTTATCTTTTAGGCCTGAATGACAATTAGCCAAATGTCACAATATAATTGTAGCCCTGGCTAATCTACTAACTGACAGTTGCCTCAGGATGTAATTTTGATATGTAGAATTGCAACTTATCAACAGCTGAGTAACATTTCCTGTCAAGGGCTAACAACTATATTAAAAAAAGAAATAGAGAAACAAATATGTAAGATAAAGATCTGAGCTTTCCAGTATGAGGAAATATTGGAGTTATCCTAGGCTTGTGATATCTTCTCACTCAATAAGGAATCTGCCTCTTACTGCATATACAAAAAAGAACAGCTGATATTAAGCAACCAGCTTGTGTAAAAGACTACTGGAAATACCAAACTATTAATGTATTCCTTAGAAGCTGATGGCTAAATCAAAAGCAGTTTAATCTTCAAGGAAGAAGCAAGTCCAAAGTGGAATTGCAAACTAGGAACACGCTATTGTCAACTGGAAGCAAACCAGGAGCATGTATGTTTTGCAAAGTAATAGCATAAAATTGCCTGGGGGGAGAAAGAAATTTCAATCAAGTTGCATTTAGAATGCCATTTGCAATTAGTATGGAGAATCTTTCATATGGAGTTCATAATAATATGTATAGAACATATTTCAGTCTCTGAAGAATTGAGAAATATGTTTTATTATTTGACCCCTGATAATAACACTGTGAGCAAAGTAAGAGAGAACCTAGAAAGTGTATCATTATTTAAGAACGAAAGAAAAAATAGAAGTTATGAGATTTATTAAAAAGGACACAAGAAAATGTGAGCACCACTGGTTATAACTAACCTAACTCTAATCTTTTCTGTAAATTTAAAATTTGCTTTAATTCATTGTGTTGGAAACATACACTGTGTATGTCAGTGTATGAGTATACAGACATATTTGCGTCCAGTAATTTTGAAACAAGGAGGGAGGTAAAGATAGGTGCCTATGTTGATGGCATAGGCATCCTTTTTGGAGAGAGGTAAAGATAGTTGCCTACCTTGATGGCATTTCCTTAAGCAGACATGAATTTCTATCTGGGGAATGATGCAAGTCGGTATAGCTTTTCCCCCTGCAACCTTCGTACTCTTTATTTGAAATCATTGCGAAAAAGAGTTACTTTAAGCCAGCTATAAAACTCTTTATCTCACCCATAAAAAATGCTTTTTTTATTTTAACTCCAAGAAATTTCATAAGTACTAACATCCTAAAGCAACCCTTTTATAGAAATTTATGAAATCATTTTGAGTTTATAATTCAAAAATGGATCTGAAATGATTATATTTTGTAGCTTCTTATTGGAGGTAATTTTACCAATCTAAAAATCTCTTCAGACAGGCTGACAATAGGACTGAAATCTTAGCTGACTTCCTTGCTTTGAAAAAATTTAAACTGTTCCATATTCCTACAACTAATAACAAGCTAACAGCAATCCCTAGTGAAAGTGTCCAATGATATTATTGGGTTAGAAATAATGCATGTTTGGATTTCTAAATATATATATATATATATATATATGAAACTGTTTGAGTCAGTTCTAGGCCATCAGTGCCAAAAGCTTTGGTGAAACTTAGCCCATGACCCGGGTTTTGGGCAGTGGAGGGAAAACCTAGAGCATATTTCCAGTGGCAAGAAGCTGATCATCGAATTTGGCAAATTTGAAGTGGTGCTAATGGGATTCATGACAAGACAGAAATCTTGTTTTTTTTCTTTTATTATTATACTTTAAGTTCTAGGGTACATGTGCACAATGTGCAGGTTTGTTACATATGTATACATGTGCCACATTGGTGTGCTGCACCCATTAACTTGTCATTTATATTAGGTATATCTGCTAATGTTATCCCTTCCCCCTCTTCCCACCCCACGACAGGCCCCGGTGTGTGATGTTCCCCACCCTGTGTCCAAGTGTTCTCATTGTTCAATTTCCACCTATGAGAGAGAACACGTGGTGTTTGGTTTTCTGTCCTTGTGATAGTTTGCTGAGAATGATGGTTTCCAGCTTCATCCATGTCCCTACAAAGGACATGAACTCATCATTTTTATGGCTGCATAGTATTCCATGGTGTATAAGTGCCACATTTTTTTAATCCAGTCTATCAATGATGGACATTTAGGTTGGTTCCACGTCTTTGCTATTGTGAATAGTACCGCAAATAAACATACGTGTGCATGTGTCTTTATAGCAGCATGATTTATAATCCTTTGGGTATACACCCAGTAATGGGATGGCTGGGTCAAATGGTATTTCTAGTTCTAGATCCCTCAGGAATCGCCACACTGTCTTCCACAATGGTTGAACTAGTTTACAGTCCCACCAACAGTGTAAAAGTGTTCCTATTTCTCCACATCCTCTCCAGCACCTGTTGTTTCCTGACTTTTTAATGATTGCCATTCTAACTGGTGTGAGATGGTATCTCATTGTGGTTTTGATTTGCATTTCTCTAATGGCCAGTGATGATGAGCATTTTCTTATGTGTCTGTTGGCTGCATAAATGTCTTCTTTTGAAAAGTGTCTGTGCATATCCTTCGCCCAGTTTTGATGAGGTTGTTTGATTTTTTCTTGTAAATTTGTTTAAGTTCTTTGTAGATTCTGTATATTAGCCCTTTGTCAGATGGGTAGATTGTAAAAATTTTCTCTCATTCTGTAGGTTGCATGTTCACTCTGATGGTGGTTTCTTTTGCAGTGCAGAAGCTCTTTTGTTTAATTAGATCCCATTTGTCTATTTTGGCTTCTGTTGCCATTGCTTTTGGTGTTTTAGACATGAAGTTCCCGCCCATGCCTATGGCCTGAATGGTATTGCCTAGGTTTTCTTCTAACATGGTTTAGAAGAAACCATGGTTTTAGGTCTAACATGTAAGTCTTTAATCCATCTTGAATTAATTTTTGTATAAGGTGTAAGGAAGGGATCCAGTTTCAGCTTTCTACATACAGCTAGCCAGTTTTCCCAGTACCATTTATTAAATAGGGAATCCTTTCCTCATTTCTTGTTTTTGTCAGGTTTGCCAAAGATCAGTTGGTTGTAGATGTGTGGTATTATTTCCGAGGGCTCTATTCTGTTCCATTGGTCTATATCTCTGTTTTGGTACCAGTACCATGCTGTTTTGGTTACTGTAGCCTTGTAGTATAGTGTGAAGTCAGGTAGCATGATGCCTCCAGCTTTGTTCTTTTGACTTAGGATTGTCTTGGCAATGCGGGCTCTTTTTTGGTTCCATATGAACTTTAAAGTAGTTTTTTCCAACTTCTGGGAAGAAAGTCTTTGGTAGCTTGATGGGGATGGCATTGAATCTATAAATTACCTTGGGCAGTATGGCCATTTTCACTATATCGATTCTTCCTATCCATGAGCATGGAATATTCTTCCATTTGTTTGTGTCCTCTTTTATTTCATTGAGCAGTGGTTTGTAGTTCTCCTTGAAGAGGTCCTTCACATCCCCTGTAAGTTGGATTCCTAGGTATTTTATTCTCTTTGAAGCAATTGTGAATGGGAGTTCACTCATGATTTGGCTCTCTGTTTGTCTGTTATTGGTGTATAGGAATGCTTGTGATTTTTGCACATTGATTTTGTATCCTGAGACTGCTGAAGTTGCTTATCAGCTTAAGGAGATTTGGGGCTGAGATGATGGAGTTGTCTAGATATACAATCATGTCATCTGCAAACAGGGACAATTTGACTTCCTCTTTTTCTGAGTGAATAGCCTTTATTTATTTCTCCTCCCTGATTGCCTTGGCCAGAACTTCCAACACTTTGTTGAATAGGAGTGGTGAGAGGGGGCATCCCTGTCTTGTGCCAGTTTTCAAAGGGAATGCTTCCAGTTTTTGTCCATTCAGTATGATATTGGCTGTGGATTTGTCATAAATGGCTCTTATTATTTTGAGATACATCCCATCAATACCTAGTTTATTGAGAGTTTTTAGAATGAAGCGCTGTTGAATTTTGTCAAAGGCCTTTTCTGCATCTCTTGAGATAATCATGTGTTTTTTGTCTTTGGTTCTGTTTAAATGATGGATTACGTTTATTGATTTGCATACGTTGAACCAGCCTTGCATCCCAGGGATGAAGCCAACTTGATTGTAGTGGATAAACTTTTTGATGTGCTGCTGGATTCAGTTTGTCAGTATTTTACTGAGGATTTTTGCATTGATGTTCATCAGGGATATTGGTCTAAAATTCTCTTTTTTTGTTGTGTCTCTGCCAGGCTTTGGTATCAGGATGATGCGGGCCTCTTAAAATGAGTTAGGGAGGATTCCCTCTTTTTCTGTTGATTGGAATAGTTTCAGAAGGAATGGTACCAGCTCCTCTTTGTATCTCTGGTAGAATTCAGTTGTGATTCTGTCTGGTCCTGGACTTTTTTTGGTTGGTAGGCTATTAATTATTGCCTCAATTTCAGAGCCTGTTATTGATCTTTTCAGGGATTCAACTTCTTCCTGGTTTAGTCTTGGGAGGGTGTATGTGTCCAGGAATTTATCCATTTCTTCTAGATTTTTTAGTTTATTTGCATAGAGTTGTTTATAATATTCTCTCATTGTAGTTTGTATTTCTGTGGGATTGTTGGTGATATACCATTTATCATTTTTTATTGCATCCATCTGATTCTTCTCTCTTTTCTTCTTTATTAGTCTTGCTAGTGGACTATCAATTTTGTTGATCTTTTCAAAAAACCAGCTTCTGGATTCATTGATTTTTTAAAGGGTTTTTTTGTGTCTCTATCTCCTTCAGTTCTGCTCTGATCTTAGTTATTTCTTGCCTTCTGCTAGCTTTTGAATGTATTTGCTTTTGCTTCTCTAATTCTTTAATTGTGATGTTAGGGTGTCAATTTTAGATATTTCCTGCTTTCTCTTGTGGTCATTTAGTGCTAAAATTTCCCTCTATACACTGCTTTAAATGTGTCCCAGAGATTCTGGTATGTTGTGTCTTTGTTCTCATTGGTTTCAAAGAACATCTTTATTACTGCCTTCATTTCGTTATGTGCCCAGTAGTCATTCATTAGCAGGTTGTTAAGTTTCCATGTAGTTGAGTGGTTTTGAGTGAGTTTCTTAATCCTGAGTTCTAATTTGATTGCACTGTGGTCTGAGAGACAGTTTGTTATAATTTCTGTTCTTTTACATTTGCTGAGGAGTGCTTTACTTCCAACTATGTGGTCAATTTTGGAATAAGTGTGATGTGGTGCTGAGAAGAATGTATATTCTGTTCATTTGGGGTGGAGAGTTCTGTAGATGTCTATTAGGTCCACTTGGTGCAGAGCTGAGTTCAAATCCTGTATATCCTTGTTAATTTTCTGTCTCATTGATCTGTCTAATGTTGACAGTCGGGTGTTAAAGTCTCCCGTTATTATTGTGTGGGACTAGCCACTGCAAAAACATGCCAAATTGTAAAGACCATCGATGCTAGGAAGAAACTGCATCAACTAACGAGCAAAATAACCACCTAACATCATAATGACAGGATCAAATTCACACACACAATATTAACATTAAATGTAAATGGGCTAAATGCTCCAGTTAAAAGACACAGACTGGCAAATTGGATAAAGAGTCAAGACCCATCAGTGTGCTGTATTCAGGAGACCCACCTCACGTGCAGAGACACACATAGGCACAAAATAAAGGGATGGAGGAAGATCTACCAAGAAAATGGAAAACAAAGCAGGAATTGCAATCCTATTCTCTGATAAAACAGACTTTAAACCAACAAAGATCAAAGGAGACAAAGAAAGCCATTACATAATGGTAAAGGGATCAATTCAGCAAGAAGAGCTAACTATCCTAAATATATACGCACCCAATACAGGAGCACCCAGATTCATAAAGCAAGTCTTTAGAGACCTACAAAGAGGCTTTTTCTTTTTATGCATGGGTTCAATTTCCCCATTGATAGGAAAAGGAAGAGTACTGTATTTTTGTGTATGTGTATCATTGTTTATTTGTTTTGCTTTGTTTTGATTGGATGCAATGATCGGGAAAACAATAGTAGATTCTACATTTAGCCTAGCTTTCTCAAGTTAAATTTCATAATGGACTAGGAACACTTTAGAGATCATATTATCTCATTTCACCTTTGCTATTTTTTTAAATACAACCAGACCATGATATCTGTTTTACCTTACTCTCAGGTTAATATTTTCAGGAATTTCAACATTTTTTAACCTAAAAGAAACATTGGATTATTTTGACATATCTTCTGAGGAATCAGTGCTCTAAGTAAGTGTGTGAATTGACTTTGAGGTTAAACGAGCCCACTTCCCCAAGAACTTAATATACTTTAAAGACCACTTCCTAAATTTAGACAACCACAGTAAGAGATCAATTTGAATATGAAATATTATGTTTATAATAATACTATAATAAAAACATAAAATTGTAGTGGTTTTTAAATGTTTTAAACACATGTATATTTATGATATTTATTACAACCACACTGATATGTAGGCTGAGGTTGCTTTCCTGTATAATATTTGAGGAAACTGAATCCTGAAGGTTTCAATCATTTCCTGAGATTTAGAGGGAGACAATGACAACACATGCTTACCATCAACATTTTAAGACTCCAAGTTTCATGCATTCTCCTCTGCAAGAAGTCCACACTGATTTGCAAAATAGTTAGCCAATGCTCTGTGATCCTGACAACTGTTCCAATTATAATAGCTAAAGTGAGAATAGGTTACATTCCCATTAAACTTTCTAGGAGATAATGTGAGATTAAAGTTGTATGGTGTGTCCTTATAATCATCTCAGCTAAGTAAAGGTATTGGTCCATGACATGACTCCTAACTCCGTGTAGGTGATTGTACTAAAAAGGTATAGGAGAAGAAATCAAGTATCTGTAGCTTCTGGGAGCCAGAACTACAGTGGTGTTTGCACCCACACAGTTGCAGACAAGAGCAAGTACACGGGCCTATCTGCAGATCACTTATTCACAAATACCCCCTTGGAAAATTAAACCAGTCTGTCCAATCATCTGAGGTCATTCTATTTATAGAATGTGATCTTAAACAGTCCTTTTGCTTCCCTCTTCCAAATAAGCCACCCAGGTTTTGTCATCTCAGTTGTCTCTCACCTTATGATTACAGTGATCATTTAGATCTACTGATGAATTAAACAAAAATGATGTCTACTCCTCTAGACGTTCACTGGAAATGCACACATGGACTTTGGAATCAGCCGTCTTGTTTTCATCTATAATCTGATCAGTTAATGTCCACTCAGGCATATTATACAACTTCATGGAATTACTTGCCATTTCTTAACACTTCATTTAATTTTCTCCTTCATTTCTATTGAGAACATTTGCCCTGTTACCTGGAATCTCATTCTCCTTTCTCCAGCTACTCTTTAAGATTAAGCTAAAATGTAATCCTCTTTTTATAGTGTTTCCTGGGACCGTCCAGGAAATGTATGTAGGCCTCTGTGGTTTTCTCTGTCATTGCAATCTTATCTTATGTTTTAGCCTCTCTTTTTTCACATGAAACACTTTATCATGTGGTAATCGTTTGCAAAGCACTGTGTGAAACACTTTTCAAGAATTACCATATGTATTTTAAGTTTCATAACAACACTACAGAATAAAGTTGTATTATGCTTATTTCACAGACAAAAGCACTGAGTTTTGTCAAGTTTAAACAACTTTTCAGATAAAACAATTAGTAAATGACAAAGCCAGACTGAAATACAATTTAAGCTGAATACCACTTTGTGTTATTTAAGGACTCACACATTTTTTTTTCAGTAGATTTTGACCTTTTTATGATAGGATTTATGTTGTATTGATCTCTGTGTTTTTATTGTCTGGATTAATTTTAGACTTTTGAAAGATAAATATTTAGGAAATCAGTAAATTTACTTTGGTGATGGCATGCACCTTGGAGAAAATGTTAAAATGTGTTTCATGAAGAAACATGGGAAGAATAAAATTTGAGGTGGTGTTGGTGATGGTAATGAAGTATATTTATATGGTCATGTTGGGACTCAGGGGTAAAGAGAGCTTTGCTGCTCAAGACTGTACAAGGTAGGGCTAGGTTCCTGAGTTGTCCAATATAAATATTTGCTAAATAGTGATGTAAAGCACCAAGAAATATCCTACACTATAACACATTTACTTAAAATTGTCACTTAGAATCCAAGCTGTCTTTTTCACTGAAACATACAGGGACACTTTGGATGCCTTCTTTCCTGAAAATAATTTCTTTTCTTTTTCATCACTCCCCAGATGGGGGCAGATCAGAATTTTTTTTTTCTGATAAAAAACAGCTGTCTCTAAGATAAGAGGTACTCTCCAAATTACTGTGAAGAAATGCTAATAATCATTCCCCTAGGAAAGAGGACATTTGTTTCTACATGTGAGCCAAGTAAGCATTATGCCAGTTCATCTGAAGGAAAGAGAGAAGGTCTGGCAGCTACAAAGATTGATGCTCAGCTAAACAAGTCATTAGGTGGCTGGGTCATGTTTTGAAAAATAGATTTTTGCACCACCACCCCCCTGCTCCTTATTTTAATGCATAAGTCAAGGTAGAAATGTTTTATTCTTAAGTCATTTAAAAGACATAGTGTTCACATAAATAATGCTTTTATTGAGAGGAAAGACATTTGTGCAACCATATAATTATATCCTTTTTATTGGACTATTGTTAAAGAATTATACCTTGTACAGTATTGCAAATCATTCCCATAAGCATTGTGATTAGGGTGAAATATTGTTTGGCCATAGATGAGCTCTCCAACAATATTAATATGAAATTTATTTAATGTATTGTGTTCTATCCTCTGTGGATTGCAAAAAGATATTTTGCTAAGTTAAAAACATTAAAGAGACACAAACATAATAATGAGGCAGGGTTATAGTATAGTGCTAAGAAAGACCATGAAGGAATACATTTTTTAAGTAAATTAAATTAAGCCTAGACAAATTATGAATATTTTTGGAATAGAAACATTCTTTCCCTATTCAGGCAAGATAAAAAAATTTTTTTTGAGAGACACGGTTTAAGAGAAAAAGAGATAGCAGTTAAGAAAAAAATATTAATCTAGCTAATGACTATCTTGAAAAATTAGAAGTTGCAACAAGAACCTTGAATTTGATATTGTCCTCAATTTATAGTCCCTGAAGCAAAGGAATCATAGAACTAATGTGGCCTCACAGATACTTAGGATTCTGCCAGGCTGCATTCAATACTAATTAAAGTTCTTAAAATGACAGGGTCACAGGACTAAAACAGACCTTGGTTTTCAAAGAAGACAAGGAGCTGGCATTTCCAGATAAGCATTCAGAGACTGGGCTCCTGAAAATCTGCAGACACTTCTTTTTTTAGTTGTATAGAGAAGATAGATACATCTTTCCTGCTTTGCTTTATTTCTGCTCTCAGTGGTTCCCTGTTGTTAGCTGTAAGTTAGGCCAGATGGTTGGGAGGGTTACAGCCTGTGAATCAAGAAAAAGTCTAATTCAAAAAGTCAAATTATATTTGTAAATATAATTTCTTGGGAATAAATAGAGTAGACACAAATCCCGAAATGCTGGCTGAGGACAGGTTCTTCAGCTCAGCACTATGACCTTGATAAGAATTTTGGCCTCTAGTTCCTAGTGGGCCTTTTAAGTTGCTTAGGTAGCCCTAAAAATGATAGAGGAAAAGAGACTGAATATGAAACAAAATAATATATATTTTTCCCTTTCTTGTGCTCAGTAGAAGGTAATATCAACTGGTAGTAGTCATTTGAATTGTAATTGTCTGGAGGTTAGAATAGATAATTTCAAATTTTAGAAAGACAAAAGATTCTGTCAATCAATTAACCAAGATCGGGCACTGGGTCTAAATTTTAATTGTAATTATTCTTTTGGCACAAAATTTAAATGATTAAAAGTTGCATTTTGAAGATACACATATAAATATAGAAGTGATCATATATTAACCAATGACTCAATAACATATTGGCATTCTTGAGTTAATCAGACTTGCTAAGTTATTTAGATTCCAGAATATGTACAAGGAACGTAAAAAGGATATGCATAAGTCACCTAAGATCTGATTCCAGTAGTTGGGGAGACTGAAGAGAAAATGTCCAGGATGCTTGAGAATCAGAAACATGTCAAATCAAAGAACAAGTATTGGGTAAAATACTAATAAAGCACAATATGACCTTGATCAATTCAACAACTTTCCTAATGTTTCATTTATTTTCATCTGTACTAAATAACCATAATTTATATCTTTCTAGAATATCAGGCAACAATAAAACCTTCAATTACATGGTCTTGAATTGCTGCTTCATTAAAAAAATGAAGGAAGAGTAACAGATGAAGGTTATTTGTTGTTTGTTTCTAGAATGTTCTGGATCATATTATTATGGTTCATCGGTAAATCCTGAAAATGTAGGATCAAGAAAAAAGAGAATTAGAACACTCCCCAGTATTCACATCCCTATACACATTTCCCTAAAATAGAATATCTTTACTCTGATTGAAATCTCAAGAAAAATCCTGGTATCTAAAGGTGCTCTAGTTTTTATCTGGAATATTTGATTATTAGAAATGTCTTTGTTATAGCAAACTGACATTTATCTTTAAGCCATCAGTTCAAAAAGTCTAGGGCCATCTAGATGAAGTGTAATCTTTCTTCTAAATAACATAAGTTAGATTATGTAGAAATAAATTTCCCCACAAATCTTTTTTGATCAATGAAAACTTTTTTCATAAGTATGATATTGATTTCTTTTCTATGCTTATTACTCTCCCTGGACACATTCCAGTCTGTCAATGTCACCATTTGAAATGTGATGTCTGGAACTAAATTCAATAACAGGGGTACAGAATAACAGAAAAATACAATTTTTTTATTTTTATCCTTACTTGAGATACAATATTTCCCTTCAGGTAGCCTGCGATTTTATTAGGCTCTGGAATTGCCATATTATATTGTTTACTCAAATTGTATTTCCAGACATCTAAAACTTCATATGTATTTTTGACACATGGTGGCATTAAGTAATATTATACAATTTCTTATTTAATAAATACAGAGCTGATTATTTTTGCCCATTAAGACTTTGATGATCTAGCTGATTTATCCAAGCTGCCCAGCCTTTGAGATCCAACTTCTTTACCTGTAAAATGGGTAAAGAATCACTTGACTCATGGAATTCTTGTGAGAATTAAAATTAATTATGTAAAGTACTTAACACAATTTCTGACGTAATGACAAACGTTTCAGAGCCTTCGTTATCGTAACTATTATTGTTTTCATCCAAATCATTGGTAAAAATAACAAATCCACATCGTACTCTTGGAGTCCATCAATCCATTTATATAAAAACCAAGCGGGGCCAGGTGCGGTGGCTCACACCTGTAATCCCAGCACTTTGGAAGGCGGAGGCGGGTGGATCACGAGGTTAGGAGATGGAGACTATCCTGGCTAACACGGTGAAACCCCGTCTCTACTAAAAATACAAAAAATTAGCCAGGCATGGTGGTGGGCACCTGTAGTCCCAGCTACTCGGGAGGCTAAGGCAGGAGAATGGGGTGAACCCGGGAGGCGGAGCTTGCAGTGAGCCGAGATGGCGCCACAGCACTCCAGCCTGGGTTACAGAGCGAGACTCCGTCTCAAAACAAAACAAAAGCTGTTTTATCGAAATTCAGTTTCTTAGTTACTCATAAATACCCGCACCACCTAATTACTCTACTTACAATGTAAATGTCATTTCACATCAAGTTGTGCCACCTAAAGACAAATTGCTTAGAGATTAATATACCCAGAAACCATTTAATCAAAATTTAAACAACGTTCTAAGTATTTCTAATTGTGTCTATGGATCATAATTTTACCCCACTCATTTTTGAAACATTTTATTAACTCTTTTGGCATATCCATCCTGGATTGCAGTCCCATTGAAAAGCTCACAATTCTATTTCTCTGGGAAAAATAATTGACATTTAATACAGTTAAAATTTTGACAAATTTGGTACAACGACCTCTTAGAGAAAAGGGTCTCATGACTCCTTGCCTTTCTGCTCATGAAGAAAGATATTTTATTTCTTTCTAAGACTAACAAGGCGAAAGATGTAACAATCAATCATCAGATATGAGAGGTCAACATTTACCAGATTTGTCACAGGCACTCGGAGATATGACTAAGCTTTCTGTGGTGTGAACATCAGTAGGTAATCTATTTTCCCATCTTTCAGTAACAAGACACTGCTTTTTCTGTAGGAACCACTCCTCCTGTATTCTAAAGGTGTAGAAGGATCAGAAACTACTCATGTTTCACGAGATGGGCATGATAACCTCTAATTGGCCAATTGGAGTGCTGCTACTTAGGACTTGAAATTGGAAATCGAGGCACCTGGGGTAAAATTAAAGGAGGTGCTCCCTCTGCAGGCTGACCCCGTGCTTACGTGACTGTGAGTGAGTTTCTCTTTAAATTTTGTGCATTAGGACTCATTTGTTTCAATCTGGTTCAGGTTCTAATTTGCTCTAACTACAAAATGACCCAATTTAGATAAATGAAAATCAGGTGTTGAACTTTTTCTTTAAGAGTTGCATAAGAAACTCGGGCTTTTCTGCTGGACTATCCGTATCAGCAGGACAGAAGCCGAGACATAATGACCCCGTGTCTGCCGAAACAGAGTTGGCTTGAGAATTAAGCCAGCACAGTGGAAAAAGAGCATGGAGAAGAATGGACCCCTAGAAATATTTTCAGGTCTCTCAATCCAGGTGTGTAAAAAGTGAGTTTTTCAAGATAAATTCTGTTTATAGTTTTAGCTAATTTGAGTTAGATCTCTTTCACTAGACACCAAAATATTCCTTTGTGTGCTTCATGACTCATTCCATCCACTGAACTGTCAGAAAGTATTCTCTCTCTCTCACAGTATACAGCTTTCTCTTTATACACATTATTTTTTAGTTTAAGAAATATAGATTCAGAATATATATGCATATATGTATGCATATATACATATGCACAGATTAAAAATAATAATACATATGTTTCTATGGAAACCAGATGAAGATTAAGAAATAGAACCTTACCAGTTCCTTTGCAGAAACCTCTGTAACAATATCTGCCTCATTCCTTTTATTAAATAAACATTTTATCATAATCTAACAAGGTGCGTTTTCCCTAAGCAATATATCCTTTACTTTTATGGTTCAGAGATTTTTGAAAATTGAATAATTTGTACATAAACCTTCTAGTTTTTTTAGATAAAATTTACATATAGTAAAATTCACCCTAACTAAAGCACGTTCTGTGGGTTTAGGCAAATAAATCTAATTAGGTAGCAACCACCAAAATCAAGATTTAGAACAATTCTACTACCTTCAAATATTCCCTTATGCCCTTGAGAGTGTGGTTTCTTTGACACAGAATAAAGCATATGAAGTTCATTTGTGTTGAATACTATAGTTTTACAATGAGCTTGAAATCAGGAAGTGTGAGCCCTTCTGCTTTATTCTTCTTTACCAAAATTGTTTTGTAATTTTAGTTCCTTGATAATTTCAGACATATTGTATCATGTTTATTTTAATCCAATTCAAAATACCATCTAATATTCTTTCTGACTTGTACTTTTATCTATGGGCTATTTAAAAATATTGTTAATTTTCAACTATACAAGCTTTTTCATATATAATTTGGTAATGATGTCTATTTTAGTCAGTTTTTGGAAGACAACACATTTTATAGTCTTTCAAACCTTTTATAGTTTATTAATATTTGATTATGACCTATTTTGATCATATCTTGTTAATATGGTCTATCTTGTTAACTATTCCCTGAACACTTGAAAAGAATATGTATTCACATACTGTTGGGTAGAATGTTTTAAAATGTCCATTTTGTCAATTTAATTGATATACTTGTTTAGATATTCTATGTCCTTAGACATTTTCCATGTATTTTTTCTATTATTTATTAAAAATGGGATGCAGGATTTCAATATAACTTCAGATTTGCTTATTTTTCCTTTTATTTTTAATTTTTTGCTTCATGCATTGTAAAACTCTGTTTATAAATATACAAATAAAAGACATTCATGTTATCTTAGAAAATTTATTTTTTATTATTAATATTTATCTTTATTCCTGTTGTTATACCTTGTTCTGAATTTTCCTTTGCTTGACATCAATATAGACATTTCAAATTACTTCCTTTTGAATAGTATTTGGGAAGGTCTTTTTAGCTGGACATATCCTTACTTTGTTCTTTCTTTACTTAGATTTTTTGAAAATGATATTCTACTTGCCCTAATTTGTACGTTGTTTTTAAGAAGTCTAATAACAATCCAATTCTTGTGTCTTTTTAAGTTATTTAAACTTCTTGCTTGAAAGCACTGATGAATTGTTTGTTTCGTAGTTACACTGCAATAGATTTACCTGAATAAGCCTCTGAGTTTACCATAGAAGTGGATTTTCCCTAATACCTGGTAGGCCCTCACAATGAAAGGATTCAGGTCTTCCGTTAGCTACAGAATATTATTACATTCCAGTTTTAAATTTTAGTTTTTCTTTCAGGTATTTTGAAATTATCTTAAAGGACTTACATTTCCAAAATTTCCTCTCTTTTTACTTCTTTTCTTAGTAGTTTTAAATTTCTTTGGTTCTATAAATTTGATTACAAATATAGTATGTATATGTATATACATATACATACTATATGTAACCTAACAATCCACTTCGTTTCTGTTGGCATGTAACCAACAGAAATGCATACAAGATTGTTTATACCAAAGATATTCTTATTAGAAAAAAAGAAAATTACTCAAAATATTCATGTATGATGGAACAAGTAAACATATTATATATAGCCACACAAAGGAATGCTGTACGGAAATCAGAACGCATTAACTAAATCTACATGTAACAGCATGAGTGAATCTCTCAAACATAATATTGAACAAAAGAAGCCAAACACAATCAAGTGCATAAATTTTGATCTTATTTATATAATGTTTACAGGCAGGCAAACCTAACCTAAATCAAACCTAACCTAACCAGAATAATGATCAGTCTTACAGGAGTAACAGTCATTAGGAGAAAGAATAAGAAAGCATCTGCTGTTCTTGTAATATTTTCTGTTTTGTTCACAGTGCTCATTAAATGGATGTATTTATTTTATGAAATGATTTTCCAGCAGATACTTATGACTTTGTGTATTTTTCTATATGTATTTTATTCTTCATCACAGTATTTAAATGACATTCATCTTTTTAATACATGTCATTTAGAACATGATGAATTATTCTTTACATTTATTTATGTATTTTTTTCTAATATGTGTTTGGATTTCACATTCTTTTTTGACCTATATGCACATGTAATTATTCTTGGCTTCTTCTTTTCCAATGTAATATTAAGTTTATGATATCTTCTTAACATGAACTGCTGAGTTTTTCCTCACACACTATGCTTTGGAATAGAATAAATAAGTATGGAATTTTTGTACCTTGAAAATGTAGTAACACTTGCTAAAGGAAGACATCTAAGTTTGAAGTTTTCTTAGAAGATTTTGACTATTCAGAGTCTATATTAATTATCAAGCAATTAAGATTTTTTAATGTTTTTCTCACATCATTTTCAAAGCCCAATTTTTGACTTGAGTTGTCTCTAAAATTTTGGAGCTGTTCTTTAATATCTTTAGTTTATATAACTAGAAACTTTCTCACTTCTGATGTGTGAGGGCAGACACTTCCTCTTCCCTATCCTCCATCTGTTTTGAGTCTTGCCAGAGACATTTTAATTTTATTAGTCTCTCAAAAATCCAAATTTAATCTGCTTGATCTTCTCCTCCATATTCTATATTAATTTTTATTTAGTAAATATTAAGTTCTTCTATTGTGTATTATGAGCCCTAGCCATTACAAAATACACACTTGATTTATCAATCTGCAAGTGTAATCAATACATTTTACTTTGTCTTCCAAATTGCAAAGATTGTAAAACACTTTAATTCCATTCTTCCACATCAAAAATTACATACTAATTGCTATATATATTAATTATTTTCTTTTAAAATTTAAACTCTACAATCCATTATTATTTTCTGCAAGTAATCTATTTGGTTACCTAAATATTTAACAGATTGTGTACATTTACTTCTTTTTTTGAAATGCAAATCTTCCATCAACACAACATTTAAAATTTTCTCTAGAAAGTATCTGCAGGTGACATGTCCTGTCAATTTTTGTCAAAAAATATCTTTATATTACTTTCATTTTGAAATACTACTTCATTGTTACAATGATGGAAGCTGACAGTGATTGGTCTCCCAGCATATTAACATTGTCATATTTCTGTCTTCTAGCATCCACTGTGAGAGAAGTCATCTGTCAATTGTTATCTTTTGAAGGTAAATTTTTTTCTGGAATTATATAAAAATCTGTGCCTTGCCTTTGGTGTTCTTCATTATCACCACGATGTAGATTCATGGAATGCACAAACACATTGTTTATAGCCACACAAAGCAATGCTGTACAGAAACGAGAATGCATTAGCTAAATCTACAGATAACAGCATGGGTGAATCTCAAAAACATAATATTGTGCATAAGAAGCCAAACACAATAAAAAAACTAAGATAAAGTTTGATCTTAGTTATATAATGTTTACATTTACAATTATTTATATAATGTTAATAGTGTTTCACTTATCCTGCCTATAATTCTTGTGCATACTGGGTTTCTTAAATCTCTTTCATCAGTTCTTTCATTAATATCTCATCCTTATATATTGCCTCATAATTCTTCCTTCAAATATTTTCTTTGGTATACTTTCCCATTCCTTCTGGAATCCAATCAGTGGAAAGCATTGATCTAAGTAAGTAGTCAAAAATATTAGTAAAAATGCAAGCCTTCTTCATCACTTTCATTGGTGCACTATTGTCATTTGATTGCATGTTTAAAGAAACCCATTAAAATGTAAGTGGCTTGAGGGGAGAGATCACTTATTACTTATCTCTGTGTTTCCTATAGTACCTAGCTGAATACAAAGATAACATTGGGTATTTATTTTTAACAATTTATAAATACAACTATAAAGCCTTTAAAAGTACTTTATACTATTTTTTCCAGATATTGTATCCTTTCTATTCACAGGTCAATCTAATAAAGTTAATATATCTTCTAAAAGACTGAAATTATTCAATATTGTAGGAGTATCTGCTTCACTGCATTATTTAGAAAAGTGGGGAGTTTGATCAAAAGATAATATAACTTTTCCTAAGCAGAAATGACAGTTGGAACCAGTATCAAAACCTACCAATAGCCATGCAAGTAATTTACAGGATATTGAAACAGGGTTTTGAAGTATTGTGATGCTTTTTTTCTTCTGGTTTATTAAGACATTTTATAGTGTCGATAATTATTGAGATGAGTTATTGTATAGAGACATTAAATACAAGAACTGTGAAATACTTGAAAGTGATGGCCTGTTTGTGGAGGAACAAAGTGAGACATGAAACAAATGCCCGAGGGCAATATACTCTTCTGTCTACAGTTTGTCTTAACTATTGTGAATATTTCAAATAAATGAATTGTGGGGGGAAAAAAGGTTAAAAAAGCCTCTGAGATGAAAAAATAGTTGGCGCATAATTGATATGAATTTAGAGACTCCAAAAAGAACATATTTTCTTTCATATATTACCTAAGTCCTATCTGTTCTTTGTTAGATTTTTTAAATTTTTTTAAAGGGCAATCAAGAAACCTTTATTTTATTCTTGAGTCTTTCTCTGTTTGACATTGAGGAAACCAGTTTAACTGTCTGGGCCTGTGTTTACTCATCTAAAAATTGAGTGGAATTACCTTTGTAGTAGAACCCAGAGGGAAATAAATTGTGCATCATAATAAAGATGGTGACTAGTGTTTATTGAAATATTTACTAAGGTGATAAAGAATGCACTTGTAATAATTTGCATAGTTCGTTCACCAGAGGGTATGTCTGCTTTTCACTCAACTTCTATGGACAGGCACATAACTGCAGTACCTGGTGATAGAAGTTTACATGTAGTGAATGTATCCATACTGGGTGAGCGAACAAAGACATACAACTTGCTTTTTTGAATAGATTGATTTGTCTAGAGTTGTGTGACATGTGAACAACAAGGATGATTGTTTAATGTGGGCCCAAACTTGCAAAGGAGGATCACGAGGTCAGAAGTTCAAGACTAGCCTGGCCAAAATGGTAAAACTCCCTCTCTCCTAAAAATACAAAAATTAGCTTGGCATGGTGGCGGGCGCCTGCAATCCCAGCTACTCAGGAGGCTGAGGCAGAGAATTGCATGAACCCAGGAGGCAGAGGCTGCAGTCAGTCGAGATCACGCCACTGCACTCCAGCCTTGGGGACAGAGTGAGACTCCGTGTCAAGAAAAAAAAAATTATTAACAATAAGGTTATTTTCATATCAGTTGTCTTTTGTTTATAAAAAATAAATTAGAGCTAAAATAATGTTTATAATTAAAGGCTTTGGGTTACTTTAAGTTCTAGCTAAACATATTTTAACATTTTAAGCTATAAGAATTTTATTTTATAAAATTAACAATTCAATGAAAAATTAGACATAAAATGTTGAATGACATTTTATTCATTTTAATTTTCATCTATACCATATACTTTACAATAATTTTTAAAGCCAGACTGAAACCACTATTTTCCTAGGATAATGCCTTTGTAATTTAGAAAAAAGACTTGAAATTTGGAACAAGGCTGGATTTCTTTAGTTAAGGTATTTTAGGAGTTTCAAACTAATCAGGGAATATATTTTGCCAAGTTACTTTTTTTAAAAAACAAGCAAATTCTTTTAGGTTTAATTTACTCCTAATGAATGCACATCATGATACTTTTTTTCTGATTTTTTGAATCCATAAAGTCAATCTTCACATTTTATAAAACAGAGCTTTTTAATTTTATTCAAATTAATGATTTTTGTGATACAAATTTTACCTTCTTGTTGGTAAAAAGGAAAAATTGGGAAAGTATGGAATTATCTTTGTAATTACCTTCCCCCACCCAAGTTATTAAAAATACTATGGCCAAAGGCAAATATTTTTAATGTTTTAACTTATGCTTTTCATTTGTTATTTATTTGTTTATTTATTTTTGAGAGACATTGTCACTCAGTTGCTCAGGCTGGAGTGTAGTGGCGCGATCTTGGCTCACTGCAACCTCCGCCTCCCATGTTCAAGAGATTCTCCTGCCTCAGCTTTCAAAGTATCTGAGAATACAGGTGCATGCTACTACGCCCGGCTAATTTCTTATATTTTTAGTAGAGACGGGGTTTCACCGTGTTAGCCAGGATGGTCTCAATCTCCTGACCTTGTGATCCGCCCGCCTTGGCCTCCCAAAGTGTCACCGCGCCTGGCCTCTTTTCATTTATTTTAGTTGCAATCACACACTTGCATTTGCGATGTCTGTACGACGATAATCTGTATGAGCGGATGATATGCTTTATTTGACATTTCTCCATACAAAAGTACTTGTAAATATATTAAAATAAGCATTTTGATCACCAAGTATAGTATTTGCATAGATATGTTGAAATAATCAAGATTTCCATTTTTTCAACCTTTTGTGTGCATATCATTTAAAAATGGGTATTTTAGCTGGGCATGGTGGCTGTAATCCTGTAATCCCAGTACTTCGGAAGGCTGAGGCAGGGGGATTGTTTGAGCCCAGGAATTTGAGACCAGCCTGGGCAAAATAGTGAGATACCGTTACTATAAAACTTTTTAAAAAATTAGCTGAGCAAGGTGGTATGAGCCTGTAGTCCTAGGTATTCGAGAGGCTGAGGTGGGAGGATTGCTTGAGCACAGGAAGTGGAGGTTGCAGTCAGCTGAGATTGCGTTACTACACTCCAGCCTGGGTGACAGAGTGAGGACCTATCTCAAAAAACAATAATAATAAAATAAACAGTTACTTTTAACATTAGTATTTCTCAACCTTAGCTGAATGTTAGAATCACTGGGGGAGTTTTTAAAATTGTCAACTAACTCCTATGTTGTTTACTGGAATAATTAATTAATCAGAATCCTTTGGAGTGGGACATAGATCACAGTGTTTTATAAACTTCCTAGGTGGTTTTAATGTGTAACTAAGGTACAGCAGTACTGCAAATCAAAAGAGTAATAGTTGAAATTAATAGGCCTTACTTGGATAAATCTTAATGAGGCATTACTATTGCTCTTCCCAACAATTAAGAACGTGAGCTTCTTAGCACTGAGAGACAAATCATTTTGCATGTGTGATATATTTCTTTCGGAAAAGCTCAAGTTTCCTACTCAAGTTTTCTACTTAAGTTTTCAGCTAGTTATTTATCATCCAAAATTATGTTTAATGACCTGTGCAATACTCATCACATGTCCTGGAAGAAGTTCAAATATCAGTGCTTTCCTGTTACAAAACTTCTTCTACTTATTCCTGTAAACAAGGTTTTTCTGTAGGAAATCACATTCATTAAAGGAATCAAATCGATGTTAAACCTTGTCTCATTCTAACATGACAAAATTTTCATCTGAGAATACATCATTAAGACAGACATTTAAATAAAATCTAACATTTTACAGTTTTAAATGTTTTCAACCTGTTGCTTTAAATTATAATAATATATTTTCTAACAGTCAATGAGATCTTAATTTCTAATGGCCTTCTTGTTCTGAATGAATGGTAATCTTATCACATTGTTTTACTACTACTATTTAAAATTGTGGGACGTAAATTGAAAGTGAAGTTGTTCTGAATACATTCTTCTGCACTGTGCATCAGATTTTAATTTCAGCTAATAAAATGAGGTAGCAAACCAATCTTTCATTTCCTCCTAAATTCAGGAAAAGCTTAAATGCTTAGGAATTATTATTTTCCGCATGGTTTGAAGGAACTGAAGTAAAATAGCTATATCTAGGTCTCCTGTAGAGAAGCAAGTAGTTTAATAGCTTTTCCAATTATCTTTCTCTTAGATATTTTTTTATCAACATTTTTAAAGAGAGTGTTTTGGGTATATTTGTTAATTATTATTTTTTCCAACTTACATAATACATTACATTTTTGCTGCTAATATAATAATTCCTACATTTTGACTTACTTTTAGTTTTCTATATTGTACAATATTTAGTAGATTTTTGTATTTGTTGCATACATTTTGTTAGTTAGTAAAATCACCCTATGCATTTCCCTGTGACTCAAGATTTGGCTACATTCCATCATTTTTTATTTTTCAATTTAACTTCAAAATTAAAACAAATAGAAATAATAATGAGATGTACCTTGTGATAAAATGAGAAGCATCTCTGTAAATTTGAAGATTTCTTCTTCTAGCAGTAAATATATGGTGCTTGTGTGACAGGAACAGCCACACATTTGGGTGAACAGTTAAAATTATTGATTTTTTTTTCTTTTTTCCCATGTGCTTCTGTAACTGATTTGGTATTTCTTATTAGCCTTTCAGCGTTATCATTTTCATGATTTCTCTTTTAAAATCATTTAAAGTGATTTTTCTATTTAATTTACTTGAAGTTTGCAGAAAAAGCTTAGGAAAGCTAATATTCTAATATTATCTCCAATTCATACCAACTCTACTGAGTTTTATACTAGTGTATTCAGTTTTCATAATATTTTTGAAGGATAGCTCTTCGTAGCCAATTTTACAGATGAGGAACTAGGTATATGAGAGAAAAGAAAAAAAGTAGAGTTTAAATCCACAAGTGTGTAGCTCAAAATTCTAGGCCATTTATATATAGCATCCCACAAGCTAGTCAAACATTTACATTGACGCAAACTCAGCCAAAAGAGCAACTTCTAAATAATTAGTAGAATATTGAACTTTAGCCAAGGATTCTAGGTAAATTAGGGGAAAAATGAAAGACAATAGAGAATAGGTAATGCATCAAAAGTCACATACTCTTCAGTTATAAGTGGGACCAATTATGATCATGACTGAAGATTAGGTAAGATATTGTATCAATGACTGATAATAGTTCAATTTAATGTTTTAGAAAATAGACCTCTAGAAACAATTTGTTTTCTCTTTGTAAATTCTGGTTCCAAAAAAATATGTTAACTAAACAGCAAAAAGCTGCAGTCACGTAATAGGAGACTGATTTGATTTTTTGCCCAAGCACAAGTTGCCAGCATTTAGCAAATAGAAGCATGTATTCTAGGATATTTGAAAATCCTGGCAATGATGCCTGAATCCTCTGGCTTTGGATTGTTTACTTCTGAGCTCTCTCGCTATATGAAAGAGAGAAAAACAAGCCATAAACCCACTCAACATAATTTATTGACAGCAAAGCGTATTTATGCTTCTATTTTGATAAACAGATGAAGTGGCAACTTTTGAAACTCTTTCCATGCTTTAAAAAGAAGGGGAAATGCATGTGGCAAAACACATTTGGAAATTTAGCAAACCTCAGATGTTTATTGTGAGATGTTTGATGAACCTAAACACAGCTGTGTAAACTTCTACCATGAGTATGGCGTTTTCCCTCAAAAATAGCCAACACCTCTTCATGCTAGCAGCGTACTGATAATACCATCCCATTAAGAAGTAGCTTTGTTCATGAATAGCATATTTTTAAATGAGAAAAACTTGCTGTCAGCCCATGCACAAGCTAATATGCAGTAATGAAAACACATTTCTAGAATAATTTAATATCTCAAAAATGCCCTAAGAGTTGTTACAAAAGTCCTACTTTAATTTGAATGTGTGTATTAGCCTGTGAGTTATAGATGGAAAGTCTACTAGTATGAATTTCTGGCAGGATAAGATCAAAACAACAATATATTATTTTAAATAATTCCATGTTTTTAATTGACACAATGTAATTATTGTAGGGTAAAATTAGCAAAAATAATCGAAGGGGTTTGTGGGTGATATGTGTAAAAACCACCTGAAAATGCAGAAAAATTAAAAGTCCTTGAAATAGTCCTTGTCCCATGATAAGATTGCTTATGTCCGCTCTCCTGGAAATGCATTAAAAAATGGCAGACGTTTTCACAACAACACAACAACAAACTAAAAATAAATACAAGAGCAAATATTGTTGATAATACAGACATTCCACAATATTCACTTATTTCATTCTTATTCGTATAATAGTTGTATCCATCTTTAGCTTCATGTATTTGAGTTTCTTCTTTGCTAAATTGGTGTCCATGGAAGTTGAGAAGTTATTGGGAAAAAAATCAGAGTCTTAGCAATTTGTGCAATAATGTTCAAAGGCATAGCGGGTGTTTAATTGGAGTCCCAACAGGAAAGGAGGGAGAGAATAGGGCATATTTGAAGAAATAATGTGTGAAATCTCTCAAATTTGGTGAATACAAAAATATATAGATTTAAGCATCTCTACAAATCAAAGTAGAATAAAATTTCACTCATGCACATTATAGTAAAACTACTGAAAACTAAAGATTGAAAAGAAGATCTTTAAAGCAATTAAAATGAAACAAAGTTTATGTGGGGAATAATGCTTCAGATCACCACTGACTTCTCATCTGAAAGTGTTGAAACTAGAAGATAGTGCATAAATTAAATGCAATGAGGAAAATAAGTTGCCGAATCAAACTTTGAAATTCAGTGTAAATATTATCTGAGAAGAAAAAAATGCCTTTTAAAACAAAGAAAAATGATATAACTGTTATCGAATAAACCTGCCCTATAAGATATGCCAAAGAAAAATTTTCCAAAATGAAAACATGATACTTAGTCACAAAAGGATAATGAGCTTTAAAATAAATAATTTAGTAAATAAGAAAGCTAACTCTAAATATTCAATTTCTTTATTTAGATTCAAAGTTGATGGAGTACTGCCAATGCAATAAGACAAGAAAAAAAGAACAGAAAAATAATTCTATTTGAATATGATATGACTGGGTTGTAGAAATCCAAGAAATATACAGAAAACCTAAAATTAAATTTATTAAGGCCACAGTACTTAAGGTTTATTTTATTAAAAATTGTATTTCAGATACTAGTAACAAAAAAATGGAAGCAATAAAAATCAGTTCCATTTACTGTAGTGTTAGGTAGTGTTAAAAATATACTTAGGAATAAATTTACCAAAACTTCTCCAAGACCTCTACATTGGAAATTATATAATATAACTAAATGAAATTATGAAAGACCAAATAAAGGTCAAAATATACTATATTTATATAGTCTGCCCAATGCTGTTAAGATCCCAATAGTCCCATTTGATCTTTAGATTCTATATAATCGTGATTATAATCAAAACAAACTTTTCCTTTGTAGAAATTGGCAAGCTGAATCTAAAATTTACATGAAAATGCAAGGACATAGAATATCCAAAGCAATCTTGAATAATAAAAATAAAATTGTGAGAACTACTTTACCTAATTTTAAGACTGTATGTTACTGGCATAAGCATCAACGCATAAATAAAAGAAAGTTCAAAAATAGACCCACATTTTGTGATCGCTTTTCTTTAATTACAAATGTGCTAACACAATCTAATAGACAAAGTAAAATATTTTCCCAAAATGTTGATAGAAGCTACATATCAAAATGAAACCTGGATTTCTACCTTACATCATGTGGACTTATTAATTCAGATTTATAATAGTTCTAAACATACAATACAAAATAGGAAATATTTTAGTGAAAAACTATAAGAAAATCTTCATGATACAGTGGTGGGCATATAAAGCACATAACTCTTAGACTGCATCAAGCAGTAATTTTTTAATGCTAAAAAATTAGACTTCATCAAAATGTAAATGTCTTATCATCAAAAGAAATAGTCAGTGAATGGTGAAACTGCAGATGAGGAAAAATATTCACAAGGCAATTTCTCTTTTTTTTTTTTGTTTGAGATGGAGTCTCGTTCTGTCACCCAAGTTGGAGTGCAGTGGCAGGATCTCAGGTCACTGCAACTTTCTTTTCCTGGTTTCAAGCAATTCACCTGCCTCAGCCTCCTGAGTAGCTGGGATTACAGGCACACACCACCAAGCCTGGCTGATTTTTGTATTTTTAGTAGAGATGGGGGTTTTATCATGTTGGTCAGGCTGATCTCAAACTCCTGACCTCAAGTGATCCACCTGCCTCAGCCTCCCAAAGTGCAGGATTATAAGGATGAGCCACCATGCCTAGCACAAAGCACATATTTAAAAAAAAAATGGTATTCACTGTATGTAATTTCTATACTCAATATAATAAAGTTTTCTAAATGGCTAATAGAAACCCATAGTCCTTAACATAATTAAGAATTAGAGAAATGTGAATTAAAATAATATGAGATACCACTGTGTTCACCAAAATGGCTAATACAAGTTTGAGAGAGATGGAAATACAGATAGCACCAAATATTGGTAAGTATCTGGGTCTAGAAAATTCACTGTTAGTGGCAAGGTAAAATGGTACAATTACTTTAAAAAAAACCTGGCAATTCATTATAAAATTCAATATATTCCTACCTTATGACCCAGCCATACTTCTCCTATGCCTTTACCCACGATAAATAAAAATATATTTTTTAAAGTTGTACAAGAATGTTCATGGAAACTTTATTTATCATAACCCAAAACTAGATAAAGCCTATGTGTTTATTAGTAGGAGAGTAGATAAACTGTAGCACGTTTATACAAGAAAATACCAAAGTATTTATTTATTTAATTTTGAGACGGAGTTTCGTTCATGCTGCCCAGGTTGGAGTGAAATGGCATGATCTCGGCTCACCGCAACCTCCGCCTCCCAGGTTCAAGCGATTCTCCTGCTTCAGCCTCCAGAGTAGCTGGGATTACAGGGATGCACCACCATACCCAGCTAATTTTTGTATTTTTAGTAGAGATGGGTTTTCTCCATGTTGGTCTGGCTGGTTTCAAACTCCCGACCTCAGGTAATCCGCCTGCTTCGGCCTCCCAAAGTGCTGGGATTACAGGCGTGTAATCCACACCTGGACTAAAGTGTTTTAAAAATGAATACATTGATAATAAATAACATTTATGAATCTCAAAAATATTATTCATATTAAGAAAAAAGTTCCAAAAATACATAATATAGGCTTGTATTTATGTGACACTCGAGAATGAGGAAAATTATTCTACAGTAGAAAAAATTAGCACAGAATGATTGCTTCCTGGTGATAGAGCAGGAAATGACTGGCATGGGGCATAAGGAGATTTCTGACTGATGGTAAAGTACTATTACTGGCTGGGGTTTCAGGTTACATAGGGTTATGCATTTTTCTAGACTCAATGCACATTTATGTACATTTCATCATATGTAAATTTTACGTTAAAAAGAAACTGCTAATTTATTAATGATATGCATGCTGTGGTAGTTATAAAAATTACCTTAAAGTATATCAAAAGTAAGATGAGTTAATGGTTATGTAGAGGAATAGAGATATGATGGAACAAGTTAATAAAATATTATTTTAGATGGCAGCTTTCTAGGTGTTCTCTGTAAAGTTCTTTTTAAATAAAAAGTTGGGTAAAACTAAAATTGTCTTATGTAATTTAATATTTTGCTTTTAAAACTCTGTTATCCCCACCAATAATTCCATATCTGTCATGCTCATTATTCAGAAACAATGGGAATCTAAATGTGAAAGTAATGGTATTAAATCTTGGCTAAATACTCTTTAGCCAACTAATTAGTGAATGATTCATATTTCTAACAGAATGTTAGATAGTTGATCATGGCCTATTCCCTCCCATGTTCCACACCTCAGGTCAACTGTCTAACAATTGTCTCTGAGTTTTATCTCAGCTCACATGTTTTAGGATTAAGAGTCCGAGTCTATAGTCTCATACTTAAAAGCAATATAAGAACATTTGGTGTGTGTAAAAACTACTTGAAATTGTATAGGCTTTTGAATTATGTAGACTAGGATTCAAATCCCAGCTCAGCCTCTTACTAGCTGTATCCAATAATTGTGTTAGGATGACATGAAATAGCGCATGTAAAGCCTGTCTCTTTCTCTCTTTGTCTCATACACACAAGATAGGATATTAGCCAGAGGCTCAAACCTGCACAGTTCATCTAGAGTTTCAGAGTTACAACTGAAAAAGGTTTGTTTACCATTGTCTAGATATTTGAAAAAACTTGAACCATAGTATGATTTAGATGAGAACCACTGGCCATTCAACAATAATCACCTCAGGCACCTACAACCTCTTAAGAAAAAAAAAAAACAGTTGGATGTAATCTGTATTGTCATTTCTAATCCATTTTCATGTAGCTTTTAAATAAGATATTTGAATAAAATATTCAATCTATTAGACAAATAATATTGTTGTAAAATAGCAAGGCTATGTGCATATATTAAAGCACAAAATGTCAGTACAGAAACATACTAAGGTCATTCTACTGCACTGAGTAAGATGAATTAGCACCATCTATCCCAGAGGCACTGAGTACAATGATCTAGTTCTAGGTCTCCCTCAGAAATTGCAGAGTGGCGTTGTCTAAATCATGGAAAAATCCTAGGCTAAGGTTTTCATTTGTGGGTTGGGAGGACTGCACTATATATGTTTTTATGTTTTTCCCCCCTTTTATTCCTTTTATTAAGAGATTCTCCCACATCCAGTACAATGAACCACATAAGATAAATAATATAATATTTCTCCAAGTGTGGTCCTTGAACTATGTAACATAAGAATCACTTGAAATGTTAACCAGACTTACACATCTTGAAAACCATTTTATACAATGAAACCAAATGGGGAAAGAATTAAACATGTAGAAAATAACCTCCCTCTTGAGTGTAGTTAATAACATTGGTTGAACCTTGGAATCACATGGGAATTTAACTAGTAAGGATACCCGAGTCACTTCAGAGAATTTGATTCAGTGGATTTTGGGTGTTACCTGAGTATTGGAATTGATAAAAATCTTTCCAGGTGATTCTAATAGTGGGAATAATGACTGCCCTTGTTCTAAACCAGAGTTTTTCCACTTAATGTGTATCTAAATAATCAGAGGATCCTGTTAAACTATAGATTCTGATTTAGTACATCTGAGGTTGAACCAGAGACTTTGCATTTCCAACAAGCTCCCAGATGATGCTGATGCCGCTTATCTCAGACTATCCTAGGTAGTCAAGTTAAAAAAAATCTTTTTCAAACAGACACAATTATATTATATATTATTGCTTTTGTATAATTCTGGGAATCCTGCATAGTCAACCTTTTGGTTTTCTGTCTGTGAAACATTCCCTGAAAACAGCACCAACATATTTACAGAGCTCTCTTCAAAACAGAAAAACATTTCTAAACAGGTTATATCTAAAATAATAAAAAGAAAAACAAAAGGAATCAAACAAAAATAACTAGACAGAAAAATTAATAATAATGATGATTTGATGAATCTATGTGGAAGAGAATCTAAATGCCTCAGAATTCTATGAAAAGAGGCAAGTTTTAAACTGAAATGTGATTCAAGAGGTTGAGACACCCATTTTGACTATGAAACAGAGTAACTAACAATTTTCTGCTTCTCTTCCTCCATGGCCATTCTCTGTCCACAGTTGAAGGGTTGTTAAAGACTTCTTTCAGCATCACTTAGGCTTTTGAAAAAGTGATGGGAACACCTATCCTTGGAAGAATTAGGTAAGGGGAATCAGCATCAGTACTGGCAGTCCTAGTCTATTCTTGGCAGCTCAGCACAAGGCTATTGACAGGATTGAAGAAGCTAAAATTGTTCCCACTCTTGCACCCACCTTGTACTGTAATTTCAGCAGGAGTCAGAATTTGGCAGATAAGTCAAAGGACTTGAATATTTTCATTTATCTTCATGTCAATTATTTACAGAGTACCTCTCATTTTTTCTCTTCTGTCAGAGGGCTGACAATATTTTGCCAAAAATAGGTAGCATTGATGTAGAGGAAAAGTGACAAAATTAATTATTGAAATTGAGTATTAGAGATTCAATAAGTGGTTGAAGCTGCTACAATTTTGTTATCAGTACAGTGGACACTGATCACATTTGTGTATTGAGCACTTGAAACATAGGTGGTTTGAACTGAAATACAAGATAAGTGTAAAACACATACCAAATTTCAAAGATTTAGCATGATCAAAATGGAATGAAATTAGAAGTCAATTTGATGAAATGTCCCAAACTAATAACTATCTACCTTGAAAAAGTAGAAAACTTTTTAAAAGTATAAATTTAACCCAAGCCATGTGGAAGGAAGAAAATGATAATGGTTGAGCATAAAAACAATTTAAATAGGAAATATAAAATAATAGAAAACCATGTTTGCTATTTGAAAGATTAACAAAACTTATAAAATCTCTAGTAAGAATAACCAGAAAAGAGAAAAAAGTCTCAAATTACTAAAATTAGAAATTAAATAACATATATTACTATTGACATAGACATAAAGATGATTATAAGTACTATAAAGAATTGTCAACAAATTAGATTTAAAATAAAATTGAGACATTTCTAAAAAGCTACAATTTACTAAAACTGACTCAAGAAATATAAATTGTAAATACTTTTATAAAAAGTAAATAAACTAAATCTATACTATTAAAAAAATCTCAATCTCAGAAGATTTTAACACTGATTCTGTCAAACATTGGGAGAATGAATACCAATTCTTTATAAACTCAAAAATTGGAAGAGAAGGGTACAGTTTTCTCTTCTTCTTCTTCTTTTTGTTTTTTTAGATGGAGTCTTTCTCTGTCACCCAGGCTTGAATGCAGTGGTGAAATCTCGGCTCACTGCAACCTCCGCCTCCTGGGTTCAAGTGATTCTCCTGCCTCAGCCTCCTGAGTAGCTGGAACTACAGGCACATGCCACCATGCCCGGCTAATTTTTTGTATTTTTAGTAGAGATGGGGTTTCACCATGTTAGCCAGGACGGTCTCGATCTCCTGACTTCGTGATCTGCCCGCCTCGGCCTACCAAAATGCTGGGATTACAGGCGTGAGCCACCACGCCCGGCCAAGGAGGGTAAATTTTCTGACGCATCCTATAATGTAAATATAACCCTGTTAGCATAACTAAATGAAAACGTCACCATAAAGAAAAAAAACCGTAGACCAATATATCCTATGAAAATAATGCAAAAAGTCAACCAATTACTAACAGAACTGTGCACTGTACAAAAGGATTTTATATACCATGGCCAAATGGAGTTCATCCTAGAAATTCAAGGTTGGTTCAACAGACAAAATAATCAATGTAATATACCATATTAATACAGTCAAGTGCCATATAAGGACATTTCAGACTGCATAGACAATGGTGGTCCCAGAAGATTATAATGAAGCTGAAAAATTTCTATTGAGTAGTGACATCATAGTTATCATAACTTTGTAGTGCAATGCATTATTTATGTATTTGTGGTGATGCTGTTTGAACAAACCTACAATGCTGCAAATCATATGAAAGTATAGTACATAAACTATACATAGTACATAGTGCTTAATAGTAAATGACTGTTACTGATTTATGTGTTTATTAGACTATACTTTTTTGTATTTTAGAATGTACATCTACTTATTAAAAAATGATTAACCATAAGACAGCCTTAGGCAGGTTCTTCAAGAGGTATTCCAGATGAAGGCATTGTTATCGTAGGAGATGACAGCTGCATGCATGGTATTTCCCTGAAGACCTTCTAGTGGGGCAAGATAAGGATGTGGAAGACAGTGATATTGATTATCCTGATCCTGTGTAGGCCTAAGCTAATGTGTGCATTTGTCTTAGTTTTTAACAAAAAAAGTTAAAAAAATTAAAAATAGAAAAAAGCATATAGAATAAGGACATAAAGTATTTTTGTACAACTGCATACTATGTTTGTGTTTTAAGCTATGTGTTATGAAAAAGGAACAAATACTTTAAAATATTAAAAATTTTACAAAGTAAAATAGTTACAGTAAGTCAAGATTAATTTATTATTGAAGAAAAATTTTTTATAAACTTAGTTTCCCCTAAGTGTACAGTGTTTATAAAGTCTATGGTGGTGTACAGTAATGTCTTAGGCCTTCACATTCACTCACCACTCACTCACTGACAATTCCAGTGCAACTTCTAGTCCCACAAGCTCCATCCAAAATACGTGCCCTATATAAGTCTACCTTTTTAACATCTTTTATGCTGTATTTTTACTCTATCTTTTCTATGTTTAGATACACAAATATTTCCTGTTGTGTTCCAGTTGTCAAAAGCATTCAGTACAGCATCATTGTGTACAGGTTTGTAGCCTAGGAAAAATAGGCTGTATCATACAGCCTGGGTGTCTAATAGGCTGTGCTATTTAGGTTTGTGTACACTCTGTGATGTTTGGAAAATGATGAAATCGCCATATGTTGCATCTCTCAGAATGTATTCCTGTTGCTAAGCTACACTTGAATGAAGAATGGACAAAACCACGTGAAAACCCACAAAGCCATGAAGGAGCAGGCGGCTGGGAGGCAGTTGTGCCACCCAGAACCTGGCCATCAGTGCTCCTCCAGACTCCTGGTAGGAGAAGCCACCACAGGTGCTGGGCCCGCTTGGGTCTGGGCCTTAAGTTGGCCCTGCTGCCAGCATTCAGCCCAGACTCCAAGCACAGAGCATGGGCTGACTCCTCATCTGCCTTCCAGATAACACTCCTGGGGCAGCTAAGGGAACACAGGGCCAAGCTCCCTCCTACTTCCTGGTTGTTGCAGAGCAAAGAAGATGAGGGAGAACTAATTATATTCTTTAGGTCTAAATATAGTTGAAAAATGTGTAGGAGGAGATTAAGGTAGCAGATAGGACACAGGACTAGCTTGCAGCTCCTGCTCAGATGGACAGAGCAGCATGTAGACACTCACATCGTGAATTTTTGATCGAAAAACTACCATAGCAACATACCAGAAAAGCCAAAAGAATTCACAGACTCTTTGAAGGAACTGGATCACCACTGCAGACTCCCTGAGATGCCAAAAAACTGTGATTCTGCTTGCTTTCTCAACTGGGAGGGTCATGGGCTGGGGCAAGTTCTCAGCCCTGGTCACCAGCTGCCTGGAAATAGACTGGGTGCTACTTGCGGGGGGATGGTAGGTGCCTGATCAGCCTTTACAACTTTGGGCTGCATAGGAGTGGGATGAGGCCTGTGACTGCCAGCTTTCCCCGCCTTCCCTGGAAACCTTTATAACTCAGAGGAGGCAGCCATAATCCCCGTGGGAACATAACTCCATTGGACTGGGAACCACAGCCTCATCCCCCATAGCAGCCAAAGCAAGCCCCACCCAAGGAGAGGCTGAGGTTAGACCTGCCTATTCCTGCCCCCACCTGGTAGTCTTTCTCTACCTGGCCTGGTAGCCAGACAAAGGTCACAATCTCTTGGGAGCTCTGTGGCCCTGCTCACTGCCTGAAAACCTGAATACTTAACCAAGCATACCTAGGGCAAGTTTGCATCCTCTCTATAGGACCACAGCTGATGAACACTTGAAAGTGCCACCTCCTGGCTGGAGGCCAACCAATACAACACCAGTGCACTTAATAAAAACAAAACCAAAAACCCTCACAGAGCTCACTTCACTCCCATGCTACTTCCACCAGAGCAGGTGTTGGTATCCATGCCTGCAAGACCTGAAGGCAGATTACATCACAGGACTCTTTGTAGGCACTTTCCAGTACCAGCCCAAAGCCTGGTAGTTCTGCTGGGTGTCTAGAACCACAAGAGCAAAAACAATCACTATAGTTTGGTTCTCATGAAGCCCCATTCCTAGGGGAAGGGGGAGAACACCACATCAAGGGAACACCCTGTGGGACAAAATAATCTGAACAGCAACCCCTGAATCCTAGATCTTCCCTCTGACATAGTCCACCCAAATGAGAAGGAAGCAGAAAACTCTCGCAACATGACAAAACAAGGCTCTTTAACACCCCCGAAGATCATACCAGCTCACGAGCAATGGAACCAAACCAAGAAAAAATCTCTGAATTGACAGAAAAAACAATTCAGAAGGTCAATTATTAAGCTAATCAAGGAGGCAGCAGAGAAAGGTGAAGTCTAACTTAAAGAAATAAAAAACATGATACAGGACATAAAAGAATAATTATTCAGTGAAATAGATAGCATAAACAAAAAACAAGCACAAGAATAAAACAAGCAAAAGAACAAACTTCAGAGCTCAGAGACAAAACTTTCAATCCATCAAAGACAAACAAAAAAGAATAACAAAGAAATGAACAAAACCTCCAAAAAGTTTGGGACAATGTTAAACATCCAAAGCTAAGAATGATTGGTGTTCCTGAGGAAGAAGAGAAACCTAAAAGTTTGGAAAACATATTTGAAGGAATAACTGAGGAGAACTTTCCCAGCCTTGCTAGAGATCTAGACATTCAACTACAAGAAGTTCAAAGAACACCTGAGAAATTCATTGTAAAAATATTATTGCATAGACATATAATCATCAGGTTATCTAGAGTCAAGACAAAGGACAGAATCTTATCAGTGGTGAGGCAGAAGCATCAGGTAACCTATGAAGGAAAATCTATCAGAGTAACAGCAATTTCTCAGCAGAAACCCTACAAGCTAGAAGGGATTGGGGTCCTATTTTTAGCTTCCTCAAACAAAACAATTGTCAACCAAGAATTTTGCATCCAGTCAAACTAAGCTTCATAAATGAAGGAAAGATACAGACTTTTCCAGACAAACAAATGCTGAGACAATTTGCCACTACCAAGCCAGCAATACAAGAACCCCTAAAAGAAGTTCTAATCTCAAAACAAATCTTTGAAATACACCAAAATAGAACCTACTTAAATGATAAATTTCAGAGGACCTACATACTAGCAACACAATGAAAAAAATAAAACAAAAACAAAGTATTCAGGCAACAAATAGCATGATGAATAGAATAGTACCACACATCTCAATACTAACATTGAATGTAAATGGCCTAAATGCTCCACTTAAAAGGTATAGAATGGCAGAAGGGATAAGAATTCACCAAGTTTCTACTATCTTCAGGAGACTCCTGTAACATATAAGGAATCACATAAACTTAAGGTTAAGAGGTAGAAAAAGACATTCCATGCAAATGGACACCAGAAGCCAGCAAGAGTAGCTATTCTTACATCAGCAAAACAAATGTTGAAGCAACAGCAGTTAAAAAAGACAAAGGGGGCATTATATAATGATAAAAGGACTAGACCAACAGGAAAATATCACAATTCTAAATATATATGCACCTAATACTAGAGGTCCCACATTTATAAAACAATTACTACTAGACCTAAGAAATGAGATAGATGGCAGCGCAATCATAGTGGAGGACTTTAATACTCCACTGACAGCACTAGACAGATCTTCAAGACAGAAAGTCAACAAAGAAACAATAGGCTTAATCTATACCCTAGAACAAATGGACTTAACAGATATTTGTAGAACATTCTATCCAGCAACTACAGAATATACATTCTATTCATCAACACATGGAACCTTCTCCAAGATAGACCAAATTATAGACCAAAAAACAATTCTCAGTAAATTTAAGAAATTTGAAATTATATCAGGTATGTTCTTAGACCACAGTGGAATAAAATTGAAAATCAGCTCTAAAAGGAACCCTCAAAACCATGTAAATCCATGGAAATTAAATAACCTGCTCCTGAATGATCATTGGGTCAACAATGAAATAAAGATGGAAATTAAAAATTTCTTTGAACTGAAAAATAGGAGTGGCACAACCAATCAAAACATCTGGGATACAACAAAAGTAGTGCTAAGAGTAAAGTTCATAGCATTAAATGCCTACATCAAAAAGCCTAAAAGAGCACAAATAGACAATCTAAGGTCACACCTCATGGAACCAGAAAAACAAGAACAATCCAAACTCAAACCCAGCAGAGGAAATTAAACAATGAAAATCAGAGCAGAATTAAATGACATTGAAACAAACAAATAAAAACAGTAAAAAACATAAATGAAACAAAAACCGGTTCTTTGTAAAGATACAATTGATAGACTATTAGCAATATTACCCAAGAAAAAAAGAAGATTCAAATGAGCTCAATTAGAAAATAAATGAGAGATATTACAACTGATACCACAGAAATACAAAAGGTTATTCAAAGCTACTATGAACACCTTTACACACAAAAACTAGAAAACCTAGAGGAGATGGATACATTCCTGGAAATATACAACCTTCCTAGATTAAACCAGGAAGATAATAGAAACTCTGAACAGACCAATACTAAGCAGCAAGATTGAAATGGTAATTTAAAAACAGAAAACAACAACAACAAAAAAGTTCAGGACCAGATGAATTCACAGCTGAATTCTATCAGAAATTCAAAAAAGAATTGGTACCAATCCCATTGACAGTATTCCAAAAGATAAAGAGGGAATTCTCCCTAAATCAGTCTATGAAGACAGTATCACCCTAATACCAAAACCAGAGAAAGACATAACAAAAAAAAAAAGAAAACTAAAACCAATATCCATGATGAACATAGATGCAAAAATCCCCAACAAAATACTAGAAAACCAAATCCATCAGGATATCAAAAAGATAATCCACCATGATCAAGTGGGTTTCATACCAGGGATGCAGGGATGGTTTAACACACACACAAATCAATATATGTTATACAGTATATAAACAGAATTTAAAACAAAAATCACATGACTATCTCAGTAGATGCAGAAAAAGGTACAGATAAAATCCAGCATCCTTTTATGATTAAAACCCTCAGCAAAACTGGCATAGAAGGGGCATACCTTAAGGTGATAAATACCATCTACAACAAATCCACAGCTAACATTATAGTGAATGGGGAAAAGTTGAAAACATTCCCCCTGAGAATGGAACAAGACAAGGATGTCCACTTCATCACTTCTATTCAACATAGTACTGAAGTCCTAGCCAAATCAGACAAGAGAAAGAAATGAAGTACATCCAAATTGGTAAAGAGAAAGTCAAACTATCAGTGCTGATGATACGAACATATACCTAGAAAACACTAAAGATTCATCCCGAGAGCTCCTTGAACCGGTAAATGAATTCAGCAAAGTTTCAGGATACAAAAGTAATATACACAAATTAGTAGTTCTGCTACACACCAACAGCAACCAAGGTGAGAATCAAATCAAGAACCCAACTCCTTCACAATAGCTGCCAAAAATATATATTATAAAATACTTAGTAATAGACCTAACCAAAGAGATGAAAGATCTCTGCAACGAAAATGAAAAAAACACTGCTTAAAGAAATCATAGATGACACAAACAAATAAATACACATCCCATGCTCATGGATAGGTAGAATCAATATTACGAAAAAGACCAGACTGCCAAAAGCGATCTACAAATTCAATGCAATCCCCATCAAAAATACCACCATCATTCTTTACAGAACTAGAAAAAAATTATAAAATTCATATAGAACCAAAAAAGAGACCACATAGCCAAAGTAAGATTAAGCAAAAAGCACAAATCTGGTGGGATCACATTACCTGACTTCAAACTATACTACAGGGCCATAGTCACCAAAACAGCATAGTATTGGTATAAAAATTGGTACACAGACCAATGGAACAGAATAGAAAACCCAAAAATAAAGTCAAATACTTACAGCTGACAGAACTTCAACAAAGCAAACAAAAACATAAAGTGGGGAAAGGACAACCTACTCAAGAAATGGTACTGGGATAATTGGCAATTCACATGTGGAAGAATGAAACTTGATCTTTATCTCTCACTTTATACAAAAATCAACCAAGATGGATCAAAGACTTAAATCTATGACCTGAAACCACAAAAATTCTAGAAGATAACATCAGAAAAACATTTTAGACATTGACTGAGGCAGACTTCATGACCAGGAACCCAAAAGCAAATGCAGCAAAGACAAAGATAAGTTGATGGGACTTAATTAAACTAAAACACTTTTGCACAGCAAAAGAGATAATCAGCAGAGTTAACAGACAACACAGAGAATAGGAGAACATCTTTGAAAACTATGCATCCAACAAAGGACTAATAAATATTTAGAAACTACACAGAACTCAAATCAGCAAGAACAAAACCAATAATCCCATCAAAAACTGGGCTGAGGACATGAATACACGATTCTCAAAAGAAGATATACAAATAACCAACAAGAAAACGAAAAAATGCTCAACATCACTAATGATCAGGGAAATGCAAACCAAAACCACAGTGTGATATCACCTTACTCCTGCAAGAATAACCATAATCAAAAAATAATTTTAAAAAAAGATATTGGCATGGATGTGGTGAGAAAGTAACACTCTTACACTGATGGTGGGAAAGTAAACTACTAGAACCACTATGGAAATTAGTGTGGAGATTTCCTGAAGAACTATAAGTAGATCTATCTTTTGATCCAGCAATACACTCCTTGGTATCTATCTAGAGGAAGTCATTATATCTAAAAGGTAGTGATACTTGCGCATGCATATTCATAACAGCACAGTTTGCAATTGCCAAAATGTGGAACCAGTCCAACTGCCCATCCATCAACGAGCGTAAAAAGAAAATGTTATATGTGTATACACACACACACACATATATAAACACACACACACACACACACACACACACATACCGTGGAATACTATTCAGCCATAAAAAAGGAATGAAATAAAGGTATTTGCAGCAAGCTGGATGGAATTGGAGACTATTATTGTAAGTGAAGTAACTCAGGAAGTGAAAACCAAACATTGTACGTTTTCACTCATATGTGGGAGCTAGGCTATAAGCACGCAAAGGCAGAAGAAAGGGAAAGGGTTATGGGTGGTGAGGGATAAAAGACTACACATTGTGTACAGTGTATACTGCTTAGATGATGGGTGCAACAAAATCTCAGAAATCACCACTGAATAACTTATTCATCTAACCAAATGCCATCTGTTCCCCCAAAAACCTATTGAAATAAAAAAAAATTTAAAAACCCACATGACCATTTCAATGGATATGTGAAAAACACTTAACAAAATCTGACACCCTTTTATGACAAAAGGTAAATCAACAAGTAGAAATACAAAAGAACTTCAATCCAATAAAAAGCCACATCTAACATTATACTTAATGGTCAAAGATTTCCTTCTAATATTGAACCAAGGATGTCTGTCCTCCTTCTACTCAGCATTGTACTAGAGGTACTATTCAGGGAAATGAGACAAACAAAAAAAAACAGAAATAAAAGTTATTCAGGTTGGAAAGAAACAAGTTAAAGTCTCTTATTTACTTATCGCATTATCCTGCATATAATTATACAGAATTTCCAATGAAACAATTACAGCTAATAAATTAGTTCAGCAAGGTTTCAGAACACAAGATCAATATAGAAAAATCAACCGTATTTTTGCACACTGTCAGTGCATAATCCAAGGATAAAATTGTTTAAAAATTCCATTTATCATAACATCAAACACAACAAAGCACTTAGGTGTAAGTATATGTACAAAGGTACAAGACTTGTATTGTAAAACAATATAATATAAAAGAAATTAAGACAAGTAAATAGAAAGCATCACATGTTCACTGATCAGAAGATTTAATATGTTAATATATCAATCCTCCTAAAATTGATATAAACATTTAATGAACTCCCTATAAGATTTGCAGCTTCTTTTGTTTGCTTGTTTTTTGTTTGTTTGTTTGTTTTTGTTTTTGGTTGCTTTTTTGTTTGTTTTTTTTGGAAGAAATTGACAAGCTGATCTAAAAATATATATGTTAAACCAAAAAACCCATATTAGGTAAGATAACTTTTTGAAAAAATACATTAAAAGATTCTCACTTTTCAATTTCAGAACTTACAACAAGAAAGCTCCAGTAATCAAGGCAGTGCAGTACTTGCATAATAATAAATATAAATATATTAAATAGAAATGAGAATACTGAAATACATTTATAGTCAGTTATTTTTTTTGATGACAGTTTCAAGACAATTTATTTTGGAAAAAACAGTATTTTCTACAGTGTTGCTAGGACAATTGGATATCCACATGCAAATAATAATAATCATTTGAACTTTTACCTTCTATCATGTATAAAAATTAACTGTAAAGCCATAATAGATTTAAATAAATAAATTTGACAATAGAAATTAAAACCATTTGTGCTTCAAAGTACACTATTGAGAATGTAAAAGACAACACGCAGAATGGGAAAAAATATTTGCAATCTATATATCCGATAAGCTGCAGTATTCATAATATATAAAAAATTAACTACTATAAATCAACAATGAAAAGACAAATACCCCATTTTTTTAATCGATCAAGGATTTGACTAAACATTTTTTCCAAGATGACATACAAATGGCCAATTACCACATGAAAACCTTATTAGTTAATCTCATTAAGAATATGCAGAGGCCGGGCGCGGTGTCTCATGCCTGTAATCCCAGCACTTTGGGAGGCCGAGACAGGCGGATCACGAGGTCAGGAGATCGAGACCATCCAGGCTAACATGGTGAAACCCCGTCTCTACTAAAAAAATACAAAAAATTAGCCGGGCGTGGTGGCGGGCACCTGTAGTCCCAGCTACTCGGGAGGCTGAGGCCGGAGAATGGCGTGAACCTGGGAGCTTGCAGTGAGCCAAGATCGCGCTACTGCACTACAGACTGGGTGACAGAGACTCCATCTCAAAAAAAAAAAAAAAAAGAATATGCAAACCGTAGAGTGAGGTGGCTCACGCCTGTAATCCCAGCACTTTGGGAGGCTGAGGCAGGTGGATCACGAGGTCAAGAGTTCGAGACCAACCTGGCAACATGGTGAAAACTCATCTCTAAAAAAAAAAAATACAAAAATTAGCTGGGTGCAGTGGTGTGCACCTGTAGTCCCAGCTACTCAAGAGGCTGAGGCAGGAGAATCACTTGAACCTGGGAAGTGGAGGTTGCAGTGAGCTGAGATTATGCCACTGCACTCCAGCCTGGGCAACAAAGTGAGGCTCTATCTCAAAAAAAAAAAAAAACAAAAAACAAAAAACAAACCAAGAACACAATGAGATAACAGTTTACACCTACTAGGATGGCTTTTAGAATAAGAAGAAAGAAACTTGCAAGCATCAGTGATGATGAAGAGAAATTAGGGGCCTCACACTTTGCTAAGAACAATGCAAAATGGTACAGCTTTCTTGTAAACATATTTTGGCAGTTTCCATATTTTGACAGTTTCCATATGACTCACAAATCCTACTCCTAGTTATATAACAAAAAAAAAAATGAAAATCTATGTTCACACAAAAACTTATATACCATGTTCATAGTAGCATTATTCATAGTAGCCAAAATTAGAAACAACTCAAATGTCCATCAATTCATGAATTAATTTAAAAAGGTATAATTCATGAAATATTATTCAGCCATAAAAAATAGGTTATTGCTTTCTGGTCCAACATTGATGGATCTTGATAACATTATGTAAATAAAACCCAGACATAGAAGACCACATATAATGGGTTTCCATTTATATGAAATAGCAAGAATGAACAAATGTACACAAGACTAATGGTTTCGGTTACCTTGGTGAGTCTACAGGAATTATTCCTAATGGGTATCAGGAAGTATTCTTAATGGGTACCTGGGATTTGTGTGTGTGTGTGTGGGATGATAAACAAGTTCTGGAATTAGTCAAATGATAGCACAGCTTTTTGAATATGGTTAAAATCTGCCAAGTTGTACACTTTAAATTGCATATTTTTTGGTATGTAAAATATTTATCTCGATTATTTTTTAAAAAGCTACTTCTGAAGGGATCATAAAGCTTGAAAATAATTTAAGTGTTTCAGATTACTACCTCAGAATATTTATAGGAATTCAGAGATACTCAGCATCCATCAAGTAAAATTTACAATGTCTAGCATTTATTCAATTAATTATGTATGCAAATAAGCAAGAAAACACAACGGTAATGAGAAAACCTAAACAATCAAAACTGACCTACAATTAACAAAGCATTGAGAATTATCAGACAAGAGTATTAAAACAATTATGTAACTGTATTTCTTACCTTTAAAAACTAAATTGTCTAAATAATATATAGAGAATTGACCCAAATCAATAGAGAAGGAAGCACCAATCCCTAAAATGTATAGAAGAAAGCTCCCATCCCTAAAATGACAACTATAAGAGATTATTAGCAGATTAGAAATTACACAATGAAAGATTTGTAAACTAGAAAATTTAGCAACAGAGACTGTCAAAACTGAAACAGAAAAAAAAATGATTTGAGTCTTCCTATCTATGAGCATGGAATATCTCTCCATTTATTTACTTCCTTAATTTCTTTAATCAATTTTCAGTCTTTCTCATAAAGGTCTTGTACATATTTTGTGAGATTTATACCTATGTATTTTATTTTGGGGCAATGCTAATGTAAATGGTAATGCCTTTTTAATTTCAAATTCCACTTGTTTATTTCTAGTATAGCAATTGACTTTTGTATGTTAACCTTTTATCCTCCAATCTTGTTATAATGACATATAAGTTACAGGATTTTTTTCTATCAATTCTTTCTTTTTTTTTTCTTTCTTTCTTTCTTTTTTTTTTTTTAAGAAACAATGTCTCGATGTCTCACTCCACCTCTCAGGCTTGTGTGCAGTGGCACGATCATAGTTCGCTGCAGCCTCAAATGCCGATGCTCAAATGTCCCTCCTGCTTCAACCTCCTGAATATCTGGGAATACAGGTGTATGCCACCATGACTGGCTAAATTATTAATTAATTAATTAATTTATAGATGTTTAGAAACTACATTTTACCATATTGACGGCTGGTCATGAACTCCTTGCCTCAAGCAATACCTCAGTCTCGGCCTCCCAAGTAGCTGGGATTATGGGAATAAGCTACCACACTGAGATTTTTTTGTCAATACTTTCAGATTTTTTTGCATGCATAATCATGTCCTCTGTGAACAGTTTTATTTCTTCCTTCTCAGTCTGTATATGTTTTATTTCCTTTTCTTGTCTTGCATTATCTAGGACTTCCATATGATGTTGAAAAGAAGTGGTAAGACAGGGTATCCTTGGCCAGGCGCGGTGGCTCACGCCTGTAATCCCAGCACTTTGGTAGGCCAAGACGGGCGGATCGTGAGGTCAGGAGATCGGGACCATCCTGGCTAACACGGTGAAACCCCGTCCCTACTAAAGATACGAAAAATTAGCCAGACGTGGTGGCGGGCACCTGTAGTCCCCGCTACTCGGGGGGCTGAGGCAAGAGAATGACGTGAACCTGGGAGGCAGAGCTTGCAGTGAGCCGAGATCATGCCACTGCACTCTAGCCTGGGTGACAGAGCGAGACTCCGTCTCAAAAAAAAAAAAAAAAAGACAGGGTATCCTTGCCTTGCTTCTGATCTTAGTGGAGAAGTGTGTAGTTTCTCAAAATTAAGTATGCTGCTAGATGCAGGTTTTTCACAGAAGTCCTTTTCCAGTTGAGAAATTTTTCTTCTATTTCTGGTTTGCTGAGAGTGTTTATCATGAATGTGTCCTTGATTTTGTCAATCAATTTTTCTGTATCTATCAATATGATTATGTATTTTTTCTATAGTCTATTGATGTGATAAGATTACATTAATTGATTTTAAAACATTCATCCAGGCTTGCATGCTTAGGATAAGTTTCACTTATGATGTATCTTTTCACACGTTATTGTATTTGATTTACTATTTTGTTGAGGATTTTTGCATTTATGTTCATGAGAGATATTGGTCTCTAATTTTCTTATAGTGTCTTGGTCTGATTTTGATATTAGGGTAATTCCGGCCTCATAGAATTAGTTAGAAAGTAAACCCTCTGTTTCTAACATATGAAAGAGATTATAGAGAATTGGTATCATTTCTTCTTTAATTGATTGGTAGCATTCACCCTTGAACCCATCTGAGCCTGGTGCTTTCATTTTGGAAGGTTATTAATTAACACAACTCCCTTAATACAAGTAAGCCTATTTAAAAGATGGACTATTTTTTTTTCTGCTGTGAGTTTTGTTAGCTTGTGTCTTTAAAGGAATTGGTCCATTTCATCCTGGTTATAAAATTTGTTACTCTTGTTATTTGATGGCTGATGTTTCAATATATATTCCCAATATTTTCAGTAATCTTTTCTTACCTACTTCATTAAATATATGTCTTGTCTTCCCCCATGTAGTAATGGTTTTCTTCTTTAAAGACTAGATCTTACCATGTTGACTGCTGGTCATGAACTCCTTGCCTCAAGCAATACTTCAGTCTCGGCCTCCCAAGTAGCTGGGATTATGGGAATAAACTATCACACCGAGATTTTTTTGTCAATACTTTCAGATTTTTTTTTTGCATGCATAATCATGTTCTCTGTGAACAGTTTTATTTCTTCCTTCTCAGTCTGTATATGTTTTATTTCCTTTTCTTGTCTTATTGCATGATCTAGGACTTCCATATAATGTTGAAAAGCAGTGATAAGACAGGGTGTCCTTGCCTTGCTTCTAATCATAGTGGAGAAGCATCTTTTTAAAATGCCAGCTAATACTACTACCATTAATATTATTGTCATTACATATATTTGTTTGTCTCCAATGAAGTTTACATAAAAGATTTAAACCAGACTGTCTAGATTTAAACCTCCAAATTCCTTGCCCTTGGGTAAGAAAATTAATCTTTCTAGTCCACTTTTCTGTTGAGTTAAATAAAGGTCAGACTCAAAAAGTTGCTTTGAGGATTAAATTACTTAGTAGAGAAAAGCACTTATAAAATTATCTAACCCATTGTAAGCACTTCACAAATGCTAGCCCTATGTTTGCTATTATAAAGTTATAGAATCTCGTAGAATACCTGTAACTTGTTCATCTTCTCATTTCCCAGGACATATCACAGTAGCTGGTGCAATAGACTCCTTGAGTTAAGTGGCATGAGGGATTAAGAAATGGAAGTTGGCTCTTTCCCCTTCCTTTGTAGAATCAAATATTATGACAAAATAATAATTTATAAAAACAGAGTCAAGAGATCTGCCAAGTTAGCCCATATTAGTTAAATGGTAGAGATGGTATTCTCAAGTGTCTTCCTAATACTTTTAAGAAAGAAAAATATTTTACTTTCTGTAATACAAAAGTATGTCACATCAGGATTGTGTAGACACAATTTGATAATAGAAAAAGCATTAGGTTTCTTAAGATTACATTTGCTATAAGTTATACTGCATGATGATATGGGTAGCTCCCATTAAGTTAATCTTTTTCTATAAATGTGACCACAAATGACCAACTTAAGAAAACTTTAAATGAGTGGAGCTTATTGTGTTGGAATAATTCTAAAGTTCATAAATTGATAATATTTGTAAACTTTAAACTGTGTATATGTTCTATTCAATAGCACAATTCAAAATTAATGAAAGCAAAAAGTAGCTATAGATTGATGTACCAGAGTGTGTACTGCTTGCCAAGTGGTAAAAAAATATATATACCCTTGAAGTTGATTTATGCTTTTTTACCTGTAAGATGTTTTGCAAATATGTAATAGTTTATTTTCTTTAAGGTATCAAATTTTTTTGTTATACATGTAGATTCTAAGTTTTGCAAAACTACTAGAAACAAAATTTTGATTTAGCATTTGAGAGCAAGAAATATAAAACTTTAAATTTATTTAATACTGTATTTCTTATGCATAATACAGTGTAGATAATAAATACCATTATACCCAGTTGCTCAAAAAGAAAAAAAAAACTATTTTATCAAATGTAAATACCATGAATATTAGGTCTATCCTAAATTACATATGCATTTTTAAGTTGTATTACATAATATTTAGTATATGACAAAAAAGGTATATAATTTATATGTGAGGTATAAACCATAAACTAGACTTCCATGAACACAACTGATTGTTACCAACACTGCTGCCTGCACCTGGTGCTGTTTCACCATCCATTCTCCTGCCTTTCTCACTAAACTTATGATAAATGGATTTTGTATCATCCCTTTGCTTTGTTTTTAATAATTTTATTATATACTATTTCTAAAAATGTATTGTTTAGTGTCATTTTCCTTCAAAGAGAGTATGCATTCCACCAGCATTCACAACAATATTTGTATTGAGCAAGAAGATTCAATGTTATCTCACTATGATGATGGTTACCTGTCACTGAAAAAGTAAGAAAAGGTGATATTACTATTTTGGCTGATATACTTGATTTTGATTATCAATGAAAAATAGAATTGCTATTTTAATAATGGGGGGCAAAGATGGGAGAATATATATTGGCTGCCTCCCAATAAATTCTATATCCAGTAAAGTTCAAAAAAAAAAAAAAGAGAGAAAAAAAGAAAGAAAGAAAGCCTATGGCAGCCAAATAGTAGCAGAACTACCAAAGAACCAGAGGCCTTACTAGTAAAAGTTTTGGTCTTCCTAGCAGGTAAAGAGCCCAATGTGATTACTTGCTTACTGAAAAATAGGGAGCATTAAATACGTATAAGAGGAGATTAGACATGACAACTACACATTATGTAGAGTTGCAGATATGAATTTTAGTAGCTACCTATATTTACTTTCTTAAATGTATATCAAGTTTCATTCATCTATTTACTATACACTTACTATTTTCTTTACTAGTTCATAGTCATAGTCAACTATAATTTTTTTTTTCACTCTGTTAAGGTAGAATTAGAAATAAGCAGAGGAATGGCATCATCTAGAGATGAATGTCATGCCCATTGAAGGACTACCATTCGTGGAAAAGGTAAGCATGTTTTTGCTTGTGTGGCAGAGTTATGTTGCACGGAAGCATGTTGTTTGGAAGTTTAAATATATGTAGAAGGTTAGTAAGGAAGCTTTAAGATAAAAGCAAGGGAAATGGATAACTGTCAATTGGTACACAGCCATTCCAAACTCTTGCTAAAAGATGTCTCTCTTCTACAGAATTTACATGATTAAAAATCACCATTTCTCAGATACCCAGATATGAAAGTTCTACATCAAAGTTAACTTTCTTAATTTGTGTAGTATATGAGAGACAGAAGGAAAGTAGAAATTCCTTCTTCTTGATGCTGTAGATATACCAATGTTGAAAATTTTCAGGATCAACATTCCAGGTTGTTATTAAGTTTTTCTAAAGAAAAATCTGCACTTAGTTTAGATAACTGTACTTAGATATTTAGCAACTGAGTACAGATTTTGAAAGTCCTTTAATTATTTTCATGGTTATCCAGAGAATGTTGAGGTAGAAGCAACAGTGGCTTTTTGGTGCTCTGATCTCTTTGTGACTTTTGAACCCATGTAGACCACATGCCTGTCTCCATGTTTTCCACTTTCTTGACTATGGAAGTGGAAGGTGTGATCCTGGTGGACCTGTCTGATAATCTTTTTCTGGGACCCATTCCTTAAGGTCCTTCTGATAACCATTGCCCTAGCCATTTAATTTCTAAGCACTCCAGTTTTTAGATGAAATTTCTGAATGCTAAGAGCAGAATGCTGTCTATTCTCTAAAACCGAAAACTACATGTTTAATAAAGCATATTTGTACCTACATGTAGTAAAATAACAGTTTTACACATAATTGCTGTAAAAACTTTTCTTCAGTTGGAGGAAAAAAAAAAGCATGCAGGACTTAACTACTTGTTGAATCTTTCTTTACAAATCTGAATGATTTACCCAAATCAGAGAGTTACAAATAGAAGAGCTTTTCTCTCCAAGTTGATCTGAAAGCTTTAAGAATTTTATGAGTATAATTTTTTGATACTGTTACTGTTTATACAGAATGAGTTGAAATTGAAACAAGAACTGAAATATGTGCACATTATATTACAATGTATAAAAGGAGCTTTTAATAGTAGAAATAAAAATCCAAAGTCCTTTAATTGAACCAACTAATATGAGAAGCAGAAGAAAGAAATATACTCAGCAGGTAATAAAAATGGCAAACAAGATATTTTAAATTCACAGATTTGGGCACATATAGAAAGTGTAAACTACCATGGTCTGTGACATAGCCTCAGGAAGTCCTGAGAACATGTGCCCAAGGTAGCTGGGTTACAACTTGATTTTATACATTTTAGGGAGACAACAGTTACAGGCAAAGACATAAATCAATGCATGTAAGGTATACATTGGCTTGGCCCAGAAAGGCAGAACATCTTGAAGTGGGGGCTTCCAGGTCATAGATGGATTCAAAGATTTCCTAATTGGCAATAAGTTGAAAAAGTTAAGCTCTGATTGAAAAGTTGAAGTCAGCTTGAGTTAAGATCATGGGGGTCTTGGAAGCCAACGTTCTTGTCATGTAGCTGAAGCCTCCAGGTTGCAGGCTTCAGAGAGATTAGATAGTGAATGTCTCTTACGAAACCTTAAAAGGTGTCAGACTCTCCAGAAGAAACCTAGTAGCGGAAGGAGATTCTTTACAGAATGCAAATTTCTCACAAGAGACAGCTTAGCAGGGCCATTTCAAAATATATCAAAAAAATATATTTTGGGGTAAAATACACTTTGATTTCTTTTAGGGCCTGCTATTTGACATGTGATACTATACCTGAGTCAGGTTGGAAATTGATATCTTATTGCTACTGTTTTGTCCATCTTAATGTCTCTGTTTTTATGTTAATGCTGGTCAGTTGTGTTTAAATTCCAAAGGGAGGAGGGTATGATGAGGCATGCTCAACCTTCACTTCCCATCATGGTCCAAACTTGTTTTTCAGGTTTCTTTGGGATCCCCTTGGTCAAGAGTGGGTCCATTTAGTCAGTTGGTGGCTTAGAATTGTATTTTTGGTTTACAAAAGCAAAATCACAGATAGAAGCTCACCTTTTATTGTTTTTTCAAATAACAGGCTGTTGATTTTATCAATAGAAAATATAATATAAATAAATACTTGCTTCCACACTTAGATATTTTAAAAAATCTAATAGGATGAAGTGGTCAATAAATGCCATTTTTCAGAGTCGGGGGTTTAACTGAGAACGACTGAATAATCTTTGATAGTGTGACGTCACTGCCAACACTAATGTGATTTAAGACTGAAAAAGAGAGGAACATATTTGGCATGTACATTGTAATGATCCTCTGATTTCTTTCTTGAATTAATAAAACCTATTCTAAGAGATGAGATGGATTATTTGGACTGGGTGCAACTGTGTAGACAGCACATGTGACAGAGAGTTTGAGAGTCTCATCCAGGCAAGACAGAGGCCACTTACGACTTAAGCCACGATATGCACGTGCTTTAAATAATATTTATTCACTTATGCCTTTCAATGCTATGTCTTCAGTCCTGATCTCTCAACTAAGCTCACCATTCATTAATAGGCAGCCCAAATAAGATACATCCAAAACTAAAACCTCGATTTATTTCTTCAGATTTACTCTTCCCTGAATATTCTTCCAATATGACACATGAAAATTACATTATAAAATCTGTTTGTTCTAAAAATATTGTAATTGTAGTTGATTCCTTCTTTCTTTTACACCCTGTGTCCAATTACTGGCAAATTTGAATCTTATTTATTCTACATTCAAAATATATTGAGAATCTGAATTTTCTAGATATTTTCACCCTTAGCTCTCTGGGTTGTGGCATTTATCTCTCCCCTGGACTATCACAACGCCCTCTATTCTTGTGCCCATTAGTTTCTTTACATACAACTCAGAGTTATTCCAAAAATAATTAAAATCAAATCAATTATCTGCTCAAAGATTCTCAATGGCTTCCTATACAATTAATAAAATGCAAATCCACCATGACCTATAAAATATCACAGACATTGCCTATCCAGTAACTCAGTGACCTCATACTCTACTCCTCTGTCTCTTTCTCATTCAGCTCTAGCTTCGTGAGTGTTTTTTTTTTCTTAATTTCAATACATGTGCAGATTTTTTATGTAGATATATTGTATAATGCCCAGGTTTGGGGTATGGATCTAGTCACCCAGGTAGTGGGTTTAGTACCCAAAGGGTAGTTTTTTACCCACGTCTCCCTCCTTCCCTTCCCCATCTAGTAGTCTGCAGTATCTATTTTTCTCACGTTTATGTCTATGTGTGCTCTCATGGTTCTTAATGGTCTTCAATCACACAAACATGTTATCTCTAGTTTGGGGCCTTTGGCCATCCTATTGCCATTAATTAGAACAGTCTTCCCAAAAAAAGACTTCATTGATTTCTCTTGCTCCAGACATCTTCTCAAATACCATCTTATCAGAGAGGGCTTTCCAAACTACTCTATGTAAATTCGCTCTCCCATCCTTGTCAATGTTCACCACGTGTTACAACCTGACTTTTTATGTGTTTATTTTTTTACTGCGTCTACCCCTCTACTACGTGTCCCTGAGATGTGGGACTTCAACTCTGTTTAAATGACCTACACATGATAGCCACTCAAAAAATATTTGTGAAATGAATGAATATAAGAAGAGAAAGTAATCAGTAATTAGGATAATTATTTAGCATGCAACTAGGATGTGTGAGTAGATTAAATCATGTGAGAAGATAAAACTAGGAAGTAATGCTCAAATAAGCACGATGATTAGTGACCAGAATATGGTACAAGAATCCTTATATTTAATTCAGGAAGCCTATTTCACAAACAGCAGGCCTACTTTGGTATATGTTTCTAGAACAGAAAAACAAAAACAAACCACTGGTTTTCTTCTTTCTGGTTTCCTTTTCCTGATGATTTGGAGTTCAACAAGACTTGGGGCACAGGAGACTTCAGTATCTGTTACAGAATCAGATGCTGAGAATATAATGGTGAAGAAGACATAATCCTTGCCTCCAAAGAGCTCACAGATTCAATATGGGTGGTGGTGGCAGAGGAAAATGAAATGCATCAGGCCTTATTGGAGTGGTGATTGCATGCTTCTAAGAATGGCTTTGCTACACTAGAGGACAGCTATTTCCTCTTGTGCCTTCCTTAGTGGTAATGACAGGGCAATATGCCCATGAATTTTGAGGATGAACTTTTCTCACTAAAAGCCAGAGAATAAAGACAAATTCCACATGATATTGCTTATATGTAGAATCTAAAAAAGTTGGAGTTATAGAAAAATTTTGGAAAGTAAAATAGTGGATACCAGAGGCTGGGTCTGTGGAGGGTGAGTGGAAAGTTGTTGGCCAAAGAATACAAAATTTCAGTTAGAAAGAATTAGTTTCAGAGCTATACTGTACAACTTGGTGACCATATTTAATCACAATGTATTATATTCATGAAAATCCCTGAGAGAGTAGATTTTGCGTTCTTACTACAAAAAAAAGTGAGTTAATGCATATGTTAATTAGCTCAAGTGAGACATTTCACAACGTGTACATATTTCAAAATATCATGTTATACACCATAAACATATACATTTTTATCTGTCAATATAAAAATTAGTTTAAAAGTAAAAAATAAAATTGTTACAGGGCATTGAAGTTAGACTAGTTTTGCCATACAGTGTAACAAGTAAGATGAGAAATCAGGCAACTAGAGAGAAAGATTTTTTTTTTTTATTAAAGCAACCTCAACCATTAGAAAGAAATAAAATAAAAATAAATAAATATATACTCACAAACTATATAAGAATTTCTTACTTTGGGTGATTCAAATATATGTATTTTTTGAATTGTGCCCAAAGCGTCTACAATGATTAAGTCAAAGAAGCAAATCAGAATATGGTCTAATTAGATAATTATTGGCAAATCTAAACATTTGAAGGAAATGGTTCATGAGGCTCTAAGTAGGACCAAATCCTAGGGCTAAATAAGAGGATGGTTAGTTCTAAATTAGAATGATGGTTTACATTTGTATGGGCTTTTATAGTTTGATAACTGTTTTTCCTATGTATTATCTTGTCTAATTGTCACAATGACTCTTTGCAGATAAAAGCAACAGTTTTATAATTAATGGCCAGCCCTTATAGCTTTTTTGTGTGTGTGTGAAAAAAACCATTTTTTATGAAACTCCATTTTTCTTATGAAAAACCCATTTTCTTATGAAACCCCATTTTTTTCTTATGAAAAGCTATCCACATGTATAGGCTAGATTGATTAAATCCTTTACAGTGCGCCCTGAAGAGCATTAAAAACCTGTCCAGGGTAAGGAGTCTCTACAACTACTGGTTCAATTCCACTAGCTTTGAATATTATTGGTCTTCTTAATTATCTTAATATTATTTTAATATAGTTGACAAATGATGCTCTCAAAGAATGCAAAATATCTGTCCTCCACGTTACCATATATAAGTAGTTGTAAACTTGTGGTTTCAGCAAGTGTATGTTGGCATCTTAGGTATGTAAAGAAAACTAGATTGTTGACTAGCAAGTGACCTAAGAAACTTTCCATTTTGCTGTTTGACCTAGTGTTGATCATATGAAGAACAGGAGACAATTATATAATTGTATTCTGAATCTATAATGGCAGAATTATGCTGATTTTCGTTAACATCAAGAAATATGTTCAAAAGAAATGCAGAAATTCATTTACAATGCATCTAAAAATTTTGTTTCCAAATGATCCCACTGTGTCAGTTTTCTAAAATGTATACATACTCATTTTTATGATCCTTTTATATCTTCGACATGCTGAGTGTTTGATACAGCCGTATCTTAAGTTCTGCTAAAGAAAACATTTACAGAGCTGATTTGCCACATGTATTTTTTTTAAACTGACCTAGGTATTGGTGTGCTTATTTCCAAAAGGTCTCAATTGGATGGTTGTTACCTTTTTTATTGTGATAAGAAATGTATAACAAATTGACTGTTTGATCATTTTGAAGCATATAGTTATAAAGTGTTGGGTACATTTACATTGTTGTGCAACAGATGTCTAGAACTTTTTCATCTTATAAATCTGAAACTCTATACCCATAAACACTAATTTCCCTCTCCTTCCTCTAGTCCTTGATGGCTACCTATTTCTACTTTCTGTTTCTGTGATTCTGAGTATTTTAGATACTTTATATGAGTGAAATCATACAGCATTTGTCATTTCATAACTGGTTTATTTCAATTAGCATAATGTCCTATAGATTCATCCATGTTGTTGTGTGTGTCAGGATGTCCTTGTTAAGGATGCATAATATTCCACTGTATGTATTACCGTATTTTCTTTATCCATTCATCTATGTATGAGCATTTGGATTGCTTCCACTGCATAGAAAAGGTTAATAATCCTGCAATTAATAAGGGTGCGCAAATATATCTTCAAGATTCTGCTTGAATTATTTCGTATATATACCCAGAAGTGAGACTGTTACATTACATCGTAATTTTATTTTTAATTTTTTAGTAACCTTCCTACTGTTTTTCATAATAGCCGCACCAATTTTTATTTTCATTAGCAATGCACAAAGCCTCCAATTTCTCTGCACCATTGTCAGCACTTTTTATTTTCTCTTCTTTTGATAGTGGCCACCCTAATTGGTGTAAGGTAATACCTCATTTTGGTTTTGATTTGGATTTATCTTATGATTAGTGATGTTCAACATTGTTATATATTCTTGTTGGCCATTGGTATATCTTCTTTGGAGAATTGCTACTGAAGTCCTCTGCCCATTTTTTAAAAATTGGTTTTGTTGTTTTTGTTATAGAGTTCCCTTATATATTATGAATAGTGACCCCTTATCAGATATATGAGTTGCAAATATTTTCTTGCATTCTATAAGTTGCTTTTTTACTTTGCTGATTATTTCTTTTGATACACAGTTTTTGAGTTTGATGTCCCGTTTGTTTATGTTTTCTTTTGTTGCCTGTTTTTGGTGCCATATTAAAGAAATCATTGGCAAATCCAGTGTCTTGAATTATTTCTTCTAGGATTTTATCTAGAAGTTTTATAGTTTAGTTCTTAGGTTTAAGTCTACAATTCATTTTATATTACTTTTATATAATGTAGGGTAGGAGTCCAAGTTCATTCTATTATACATGGATATCCAGTTTTCCCAGTACCATTTGCTGAAGACACTGTTCTTTCCCCATGATGTAGCCTTTAACACCCTTGTTGAAAACCATTTGGCCACATATGCAAGGTTTTATATCTGACTTCTCTCTTCTGTTCCATTGGTCTATATGTCTGTCTTTATGCCAACATCATACTGTCTTGATTACTATTACTTTAAAGTATGTTTTGAAATCAGAAAGTGTGAGGCTTTCAAATTTTCTCTTCTTTTTCAAGATTATTTTTGCATTTGAGTTATTTTTAAATTATATTATAAATTTTAGAACTTTTTCCTATTTCTAGAAAAACCATCTCTGGAATTTTGATAGGAATTGCATTGAATCTGTGGGTTGCTTTGGGTAGTATAGACATTTTAACAATTCTAAGTCCTCTAATTTTTAAGCATGAGGCTGCATGAATTTTTAGACTCTCCTTTTACATGAATGTGCCCTACAAATGTTGAGGTTCACCTGTAGGCTGTGATATAGGGAGCCTTTCCAAAGCAAAATGTATCTTGATTATGGAACCAAAGACTTATGAGATCAGGGCACTTCAGAGACGGGAAGGATCTCAGCCATACTTCTCATTTGGCCCAAGAGTGAAAACTGCTGATAGTCTTCTATGTTAAAAAAAGAAACTACCACAAATGTAGTGCCTTCAGATGGCACCCATTTATTGTTTCACAGACTTTCTAGGTCAGAATTCAAGGCACAGTTTAACTGGATCCTCTACTTATAATCTCATTAACCTGAAATAAATGTGCTTGCTGGGCTATAATTTTACCTAATATTCTTCCAGGCCCATGTGACTGTGGTAAGTTTTGGGATCTTAAAGTTGTAGGACAGATGACCTCAGCTCTCAGACGCTACTTCCTTGCTACATAGTCCTCTTCCTAGCCTCTGATGTCTGTCATTCTGTCATTCTACTCTCTACCTACCTCCGTGAGATAAACGATTTTGGCTACCACATGTGAAGGTGTACATGCAATATATTTGTCTTCCTTTGGTTTATTTTACTTAACATAATGACCTCCAGTTTCATCCACATTGCTACAAATGACATTATTTCATTCTTTTCTAGGACTGAATAGTATTGCATTGTGTATACACTATATTTTCTTTATTCATTCATCTGTTAATGGATGGTTAGGTTGATTCCATGTTTTTGCTATTGTAAATAATGCTGCAGTTAAACACGGGGCCGCATGTATTGCTTTGATATACTGATTTCCTTTCCTTTGTTCCTTTTCTTTTTTTTTTGATAACTACCCAGTAGTGGGATCATTGGATCATATGGTAGTTTTATTTCTAGTTTTTCAGGAACTCTTCATACTGTTTTTCATAATGGAATTTACATTCCCACCAATAGTGTATGACAGTTCTCTTTTCTCTGCATCCTCACTAACATCTGTCATTTTTTGTCTTTTTGATAACAGCCATTGTAACTGGGGAAGATTATATCTCATTGTGGTTTTGATTTGCATTTCCCTGATGATTAGTGATGTTGAGCATTTTTGATATACTTTTTGGCCTGAGAAATATCTATTTAGATATTTTGTCCACTTTTTATGAGATTGCCTGTTTTTTTGTTTTTGTTTTTATTTTTGCTGTTAAGATGTTTGAGTTCCTTTTATACATCTAAGTAATTTTAAATTAGTTTGTAATTCTTTGAACTATGAGTTTGCGTGTTTTTTAAATTAACGTATCTAAATGATTATAACTGCTGCTTGCAGTTTTGCTATTGATTTGAGCACTACATACATAGTGTGTTTAGAGATTATAACATACATTGCTAAAATTTTCATTCATGACTGAACCCAATTGCAGTTTTGCAAAAAGTTGCAAAGTATTAAAACAGTGTTAAACACTTATTTAGGGGAAAGGGAGCAATAGCAAAAAATATACCCATCTTCCACCTTCATGCTACATTTAAATTTATTTACCTTATAATCTTTATAGATGAAAATGATGTAAAAATTCCTGTGAAAATATATAAAACAGATCATTCATTAATTTAGTGTTAAAGTTTTACTGAATCTATGTAATTTTAATCAAGAGACTACTTCAAGTATCAGAATGTAGAACAGGAAAAAGACAAAATGTCCTTTTGAGATATCCATTGTTGGTAGGGGATTTGCAGTGAAGCTGCATGTTTCTGCTTGATGGTGATTTGGCTTTTTATTCTCATCTGTGATTTTGTTCAGGTTAATTCTAACATTTTAAAGGGGAGATTTAGACTCAGCAAGTCTTGAAATGAGACTGAGATTGTGCATTTTTAACACATGCTCAGGTAATGCAACAACAGCATCAATTTGTAGCTTGTTACCCAGTGGTTCTCAACTCAGCTGAATGCTTGCAATAACTGGAGATCTTCAAAAAACACAGTTGGAATCTAAGGCAGGTGCCAAGCTTTAGTATATTTTAAAAACTCCTGAGGAGATGCTAATCAACTGCCAGGGTTGGAAATCACTAGCATCCACATTTCAATAATTCCTCAAAAACCCCGGCCAGTTTTTATCTTCTATAAGCCTCTCCTTAATAAACTTCCTGTCAATTCCAATCCTCTCCCTCCTCCCACTTTCCTGATAATCTGTAGCACCTTCAAGTCAAAGTCATAAGATGTATTTTTACCTTTATAAATTCACTACATATTTCAATGTGTTAGCCTTGTATCCTTAATAATACAGTCTTTCTGTGAATGCAAGGACTCAGTTACCTTTAGAGTAAATATAGTGTTTAAACATACAGATTGAGTTTAAATTTTCAAAAAATGAAATACTTTGTGGTCAATTAATAGTAAATAATATTTGAAAAACAGTTTAGAAAGTACTTTCACACATTTTCATTTTTGTTTTACAGGAACCTTCTACATTATGTGGTTTTCAATACGTATATCAGTTAAGAGAAAGAAGAGGTAATTTTTTTGAACAAGGATAATACGTGCTAGAGCCAAGATCAGACATTAGTTCTTTGATTCTAAACACTGTGTGTATGTTTGTCACAAGACTTCATAGTTTTTATATCATACAAGAAAACAATACTGGGTATGCTTTCTGTTTTCTTAGCAACCAGATTACTTTCACATGCATTGACTCACTTAAAATTGGCAACAATCTATAATTAACTTGATAACCAACTTCAGCCAAATAATAGATTTGAATTAATCAGTCTAGACATATAATAGACAAGTAGTTATGCCAGGAACTCCAAAGACAAGGTTTGGAACAATATGATATTTATAATGTTGGCATGGATGTCAGATAAAATATAGAGTCATCCAAAATTCTAACTCTCCTTTAACTCTGCATCACCCAATAGCAATAATATACCCTTGTAGAGGAATATGTGCCAGAACTGAAATAACTACTTTATCTGTTTAAGTCATTTTAATGCTCACAACAGACCTAATAGTTATATTCCTTTCTTCCCTCCCTCCCTCCTTTCTTTCTTCTTTCTTTCTCTTTCTTTCTTTCTTTTTTCTTTCTCCTTCCTTCCTTCCTTCCGTCCTTCCTTCCTTCTTTCCTTCTTTCTCTTTCTTTCTTTCTTCTTTCTTTCTTTCTTTCTTTCTTTCTTTCTTTCTTTCTTTCTTTCTTTCTTTCTTTCTTTCTTTCTTTCTTTCTTTCCCTTCCTTCCTTCCTTCCTTCCTTCCTTCCTTCCTTCCTTCCTTCCTTCCTTCCTTCCTTCCTTCTTTCTTTTTTGGAAGAAAAAGTGCAGGCACAGACTGGTAACTTTCCCAAGCTCATCTGTTAATTAAATGGCAAAGCTAGGATTAAAAAAAAATTCAGTCAATCCTCAGAGTTCATCCTTTAAACCAGGGGTAGGCATACTTTTTTAAAGTACACAGCTGTACCCATTTGGTTAAATACTGTATGGGACTCCTTTCCTTACTACAATGGTTAAGTGCATTGTATGTGGGCAAAGTCAGAAATACTTATTATCTAGCTCTGTATAGAATTTTTTTTCTTTTTGAGATGAAGTCTCACTCTGTCACCCAAGCTGGAGTGCAGTGGGGTGATCTCAGCTCACTGCAGCCTCTGCCTCCCAGGGTCAAGTGATTCTCCTGCCTCAGCCTCCCGAGTAGCTGGGATTACAGGCGCGTGCCACCATGCTTGGCTAATTTTCGTATTTTTAGTAGAGATGGGGTTTCACCATGTTGGCCAGGATGGTCTCGAACTCCTGACCTCGTGATTTGCCCTCCTCGGCCTCCCAAAGTGCTGGGATTACAGGCATGAGCCATCGCGCCCAGCCTGAAAAATGTTTGTTAATGGTTGCGTTAAACTAATTTGCTGCATTTTCTGTGCAATTAGTCCATCTAAACATCTGAAGCATTTATTCATATGTCAATGTGTTCTACACAGAGTACTTACCTAATTTTCCAAATATTATATTGAAAAGCATGTTTGTATAGTGCTTTTATTTTTTATTTAAAACTCTTTCACAACCTTTATCTCAAGTTCCATAACCACCGTATGAAATAAGGTCAATGATGAGTCTCTTCATTACACCGATCAGAAAAGCCAAGCCAGTAAATGTCACAAGTATCATCATGCAGACCTCCAAATTTTGAGTCTACATCACCATGACATCATGAGACTAACACTACATGAGTATATTACTGACCTTCATAATGGCTTAAAAAACATTTCTATTCAATAAATACTTATTGAAAGCTTGCCATGTGCCAAGCCTTGTATAAATGTTAATTCACGCTGTGGGAGGCCAAAGCAGGCGGATCATGAGGTCAAGAGATCAAGATCATCCTGGCCAACATGGTGAAACCCCGTCTTTACTAAAAATACAAAAAAATTAGCTTGGCATGGTGGCATGCACCTGTAGTCCCAGCTACTCAGGAGGCTGAGGCAGGAGAATCTCTTGAACCCGGGAGGGGGAAGTTGCAGTGAGCCGAGATCATGTCACTGCACTCCAACCTGGCGACAGAGTGAGACTCCGTCTCAAAGAAAAAAAAATGTTAATTCACTTTGTACTCATAACAAATCTCTGAGGTAAGAACAATAATATCATTTACATAAATAATAACATAAACTACAAAACATAGGCACAGGTTTTAATAGTTTAAGGAGCTAACCCAAGGTAATACTGCTACTGAGTGATGGTATTCAGCTTTAAACTGAGGGGTCTAAAGTCCTTGCTTATAATGATTTCACCACATTGACTCCTGTGGAGCTCATGCATCAAGGCTGTGTATTTTAAAATGTGAATCTAGTTGAGATTTGAGAATTCATCATAAATGCTTTTAGAAAACATATTAATTACTCTCATTTTGATGACTCACAAATAAAAATAGAAGTAAAAATAATTTCAACTCAAAGACATATTTAGTGTAACTACTTAACTGGCTAAAATACAAACATGGGGGTGCATGTATCACTTTGATATACTGATTTCCTTTCTTTTGTTCCTTTTTTTTTTTCGTTCATGACTGAACCCAATCACAGTTTTGTAAAAAGTTGCAAAGTATTAAAACAGTGTTAATGCATTCACATAAAATTTCTTTCATTTGCCTTTTTCAGACTTTAACATAGTTAATTTTCTAATTATTTTACAAATAAGCTTAACACATGTTAATTATGTTTGATTATTTTGCTCTAAAATCATATAATTATAAATACATTAAAAATGAAATGAAAAATTAAAATCCATCTAAAAAGGTACACATTGTAGAATAACACTTTCCTGAACACTTTGGCCAATGAATTGTGAACAGCTGTTTACATGTGTCATTTTCAAATAGAAGCTTTAAGATCGATTCCATGTTCCAACACATCTTCTGATCCGTTTGCAGTGGTGACTTCAACATAGTTCCAATGACATGGGGTAATTACATGAAACAAAGCCTGAAGCTAATCCAAAGTGAATGTGTAATTAGAGTGGGAGATAAACATTTTACTATTTTATCTACAAAAATTTTGAATCTTTTGCTACTGATCCTCATTACCATAATTGTTGGTTGAACTTTATGTATATATGTATACATATTATATATATACTTTATATATGTATATATGTATACATATTATATATATACTTTATATATGTATATATGTATACATATTATATATACTTTATATATGTATATATGTATACATATTATATATACTTTATATATGTATATATGTATATATATTATATATACTTTATATATGTATATATGTATATATATTATATATACTTTATATATGTATATATGTATATATATTATATATACTTTATATATGTATATATGTATATATATTATATATACTTTATATATGTATATATGTATATATATTATATATACTTTATATATGTATATATGTATATATATTATATATACTTTATATATGTATATATATTATATATACTTTATATATGTATATATGTATATATATTATATATACTTTATATATGTATATATATATTATATATACTTTATATATGTATATATGTATATATTATATATACTTTATATATGTATATGTTATATATTATATATACTTTATATATGTATATGTTATATATTATATATACTTTATATATGTATATGTTATATATTATATATACTTTATATATGTATATATGTATATGTTATACTTTATATATGTATATATGTATATGTTATATATACTTTATATATGTATATATGTATATATGTTATATATACTTCATGTATATATGTATATATGTTATATATACTTCATGTATATATGTATATATGTTATATATACTTCATGTATATATGTATATATGTTATATATACTTCATGTATATATGTATATATGTTATATATACTGTATATATGTATATATGTTATATATACTGTATATATGTATATATGTTATATATACTGTATATATGTATATATGTTATATATACTGTATATATGTATATATGTTATATATACTTTATATATGTATATATGTATATATTATATATATACTTTATATATGTATATATGTTATATATACTTTATATATGTATATATGTTATATATACTTTATATATGTATATATGTATATATTATATATATACTTTATATATGTATATATGATATATATACTTTATATATGTATATATTATATATACTTTATATATGTATATATTATATATACTTTATATATGTATATATTATATATATACTTTATATATGTATATATTATATATATACTTTATATATGTATATATGTATATACATTATATATACACTTTATATATGTATACATGTATATATATTATATATATACTTTATATATGTGTACATATATATTTGTAAACTTTGGAATAATCTCAAACTTACAGAAAATTTGCAAGAAATTTCTGTCTCTGTGTGTATGTGTGTTTGGGTGGGTGGGTGTGTCTGTAATATAATTCCTTCCATATCGTATGAAACTAGGTTGCAGGAATTATGGCCTTTAATTGATAAATTTTTCAGTGCTTTATTTCCTAAGAATAAGAACATTCTCTTGGAGAACCATCATAAAAGTTAACATGTTTATATTACCTAATCTACAGTCCATAATTTAAATTTCATCATTAGCTTTTTAAATTTTTTATTTTTCTTTAGCTTTTTCTTCATACTGGTCCAGAGTCCAGGCCAGGGTCATGCATTACATTTAGATTTTATGGTTTAAGCCTGTAAGAGTTCCTCAGCTTTTCTTTGTATTTTACTATATTTTTGAAGGGCATCGGACAGTTATTTTGTAGAATACCACTTAGTTTTTATTTGCCTGATGATTCCCCATGATTATATTTAAGGTATGCATTTGTGTCAGGAATGCCACAAACATGGCTCCCTGTATCTGAAGTCATGAATTAATTTGTCCCATTATATTAATTTGTCCCATTATAGGGAATGTTAACTCTGATTACAGGATTAAGGTAATGCTCTTCATATTTCTCCACTATAAAATTACTCTCTCTTTTGTAATTGATAAGTAATTCACAGGAGATGCTTTGAAACACTTACTAAACCTCCAACCACTGATATTAGTATTCATCAGTGACCCTTGCCTAAATCCATTTACTATGATAATAGCAAAATGATTTTTTGAACTTCATAATTTCTTCTATTCTAAGGATGTTGTCTTTCTTCCCTCACTTCCTCCCTCCCTCCCTCCCTTCCTTCCTTCCGTCCTTCCTTCCTTCGGTCCTTCCTTCCTTCCGTCCTTCCTTCCTTCCTCCCTTCCTTTTTTCTTTCTGCCTTCCTTCCTTCTTTCCTCTTCCTTCCTTCATATATTTATATATATATGTGTATATATATGTATGTGTATATATATGTGTGTATATATATATATAAAAGGGAGAGAAATAAATGGGAATAAATGCACATATATTTAAATATGCATCCATATAAATAAATAAATGCATATATATGCACACTTTCTCATTTATAAATAAATACATATATATGTATTTATAGACAGAGAGAGAGAAAGAGAGAAAGAGAGAGTGCATTCCTTACTTTCTGGAACACAATGCTGTTCTAGACTACTTTGCTTTCTCTGCCCCCAGATCCGGAATCAGTCATTTCTCCAAGGAGCACTGGTTCATTTTAGTAGAGAAGCCATTTTGAAACCAAAATCTGAGAACAGGAAGGGGTTATTGCTGATGATAAGTATCATCTTCTAACTAAATTCAAAGCAAAATTACTTTTACTTTCTTATCCAAATTGCTATTGGTAAAGTAAAGAGAAGGTATACGAGTACATTACTTTGAAAGAATTATACTCTGTCTTTCCTCCAGCACAAATAAAGATAAATAATAATGATGATCTACAAAGTACTGAGCAAGAAAAACATCAATCAAATTCTAAAAATTATATTTGTCTTTGATAGGTTTTAATGCTGTTGATCCTCATATAGACTTGAGAATTTCCTGGATGTTAAAATATACGTAATATATATTTTTATATCTTATTTTATTATTATTATTTGAGATGGAGTTTTGCTCTTTTTGCCCAGCCTCCCCAAGTAGCTGGGATTACAGGCGCCTGCCACCACGCCCGGTTAATTTTTTGTATTTTTAGTAGAGACGGGGTTTCATCATGTTGGCCAGGATGGACTCCATCTCTTGACCTCATGATCCGCCCATCTCAGCCTCCCAAAGTGCTGGGATTATAGGCGTGAGTCACCGCGTCCAGCCTTTTTATATCTTATTTTAAGGGAATCAAGAAAATTGCTTTATTTCCTTTGGGAGAAAACACAGCTTTCTAATATTCCAACATCTAAAAATTGCTTAATAGAAAACATATGACTTTCCTTAATTGCCTTCATCATTCATTTTCTATTTGGAAATGTAAGTGTGTCTCCAATATTCATATCCTTCAAGTGCTCAGTTCAATTCTCACCCAATCACTTTGTACCATTTTCTCCTAGTAAGTCCTTTTCTGAAGAAATCGTGCTAAAAAATATTAGTAGATTGTTGTGTTGCATGAAAAGGTTGACATATCTTGACTTAAAAATGAGTGTATGTGTATATATATGTGTTTTTTTCTATATATATCACTTTATAGAGATGGGAAACAAATAATAATTTAGTTTACGCAGTTACTTTGATGGGCACATTTATCTCATTTTATGATGGATTCGTCTGCTGTGAGTGGTTAGTCATCACTAAACCTTGTCTTTTGCATCCCGGGCTTAGAATACATTTGGAAGTTTTCTTTTCACTGTTTAGCTTGAGCATACTTTGTGAAGTATTTTCAGTAAATGACTCCTAGTTAAGTCGATAACTACAAAAATATAATGTCTATAATTGCAATAATGCAGAAACATGGAGTAGAGAGAAAATATTAAGGCACTTTTAGGATGGAATAATCAGTAAGTATTACAGGTTGACACACAAGCTTATATTTAGTATTTAGAGATATAACACCATCAAACTTTAACATGGGCATTACTATTTAGGGTATGCTAAAACATTGATTAGTAACGATGCTAGGCAGAATTCTAAGATGATTCCCATGACCATTGCCACCTGGTATTTTACTTGTGATTATAAGTTATGTGGCAAAAGTATATTGTAAATGCAGTTAAATTTACTCATCAGTTGACCTTAAGATGGGGAACTTGGCTGAGTGAGTGCAACTGACATGAATCCTTAAAAGTAGAGAGGTTTCTCTGGTTGACTGCAAAAGAGTAAGTCTGACACACTCAGAGTGTGAGGGGGGATTTAATCAGAGGAATCCTGTTGCTGGCCTTGAAGGACTAAATTGTGATATTGTAAGAGAGCGAATGAGGACCATGGCATGGAAATTTGAGCAGCTTAAAAGATGACAGTGTCTTCTGGATGGCAGCTCACAAGGCAGTAGCAATATAATTCTTACAACTGCAAGAAAAGATTTCTGACAATGACTCTAGTGAGGTTGGAAGCAGATTCTTTCTTATAGCATCAGATAAGTAGGCAGTCAGCCAACACTTGGAGTGTGGGACCCTGAGACAAGAATCTAACTGCTGCAATTTACCATGTTGCAGTTTGCATGGATTGGGAGTCTAACGTGGCTCAACTGGATTTTCCAAATGTGAAGCATTGTATTTGTAAAGCTTTGAGAGAATCTTGAACTCCTCCAGAACCTTATAGTTCTTTCAAGTAAATAGATTAAAAGGCCAACCCCACACTAAAATTCCTTATGAGAACACACCCCAACTACAGTTAGAATTTCTGCCTTACAAACTCAAGTAATACAGGGGCTCTTGAATTTTTAAAAAAATCAAATAGTCTAGGATCAGAAAGTGATTGCAAGGAATATGTCTTTGTGTGGTGTATGTCTTCCAAGTCAGAGATATTTGCTGTATTTGGATGAGAATTAATCTTGTCAGTAAACTTTACCTACCTCTCCATATAAAATAAGAAAATGCAGATACTTCTATAGCCTCTCTTGAAATTAGGACACAGAAAAACCAAACCTGGAATTTTCATTTAGGGGCAATGATATAAAGAATGCCCAAGGGAAAAAATATTTTGATGGCAAGAGATGTATCGGTATTGATGTTCTAGTGTACAAATAGAGGTGCAGTATTGGTGTCCAAGGAAGATGGTGGCAGTGTGGGCTGGCTGATCTGTGGTCCTGACTGAGCTGAGTAGGAATGGGTGGGAAGTTGAGGAGGTAGGACAAAACGTATTGTATGTTTACTCTGCCCAAAATCCTGAGATCTGCCGTGTACATTGTGTAGAAAAGAGTTAACATAGCAGGTAGCAGGCCCAAAACTGTTATCCTTTAAAAGGCCTGCTAGCTAGCCATTGGCTGACATCTAGAAACTTGGATTTCAGGAGTATTCTCACCATCCACAAACTGACAAAGTAACCCACTCTGCACCAACTGTTTGTGCATATAATGTGTGTTCTTTGCTGAATACCTGCTTTCCTTTTGAGAGTCTGGAATTTTGGTATGCCCTAGGTAGAGGGCACCTATTGCAACCCTAAGAAAAACTCTGGACACTGAGTTTCTAATGAGCTTCCCTGGGCAGGAACATCAAAAACATGTTGCTGCATTTCTGTTGCTGGGGAGCAGTGTCCTCTGTGTGTTCTGTCATGGGAAGGAGTCAGCATAAGGAAAGCTGCACATGATTTCTTCAAGACTCCACCTGTGTTTTTGCCCTTGTGATCTGGCCATGTATCCTTACTAAATCACAGTCATAAATCTTGTCATGAGTATTATTATATGCTGAGTCCCATGAGTCATTCCATTGAATCTCCTAGATTCAGGGTCTTGGGGACTCTGACACATACATACATCATTTACTTTCCCAATAACTACTAAATGGATTTATTCCATTCACTTTGAGAAATTAGAAACCACACTCCACATTGCTGAAAAAATTGTCCAGGTTACAGGGTTGTGTAATGACATCACTAGCAGGCAAATCTGTGTGTGTCTAATAAGGTGTTTTAGAACTGGTTGAATTGTAGACTATGCTAAAATGGGAATTTAAAGTATTGTCTTGGCCTACAGTTCTCCTACTGTTTAAACTGTTACCTTCCTATGTAAAATCCTTATCACTCAGCCACTAATCCAGTCAATAATATGTCATTTAATAAATATTCATTGAGTTTTAAGTCCTAGCCAAAATATGGGCTCTACTAGTCACACCTGACTACTTTTATGTGTAGTTCAGTCCATATTTGAAGAGTTATTATTGCAAGAAAAACTTTCTGAACAGTAACTCAAATCAGCCCTCTTTATGTGCTTACCTCTGGACTTGTTCTCTCATTGTGGCCACAATGAGTAATTCTTCTCTTCCCAGTTCTGAGATTATAAATTTTAGATTTTTTTTTAGTCTCAAATATTACATACAATTATATCCTAGTTAAGAATTGATACCAATTATAGATATTCGATATTACTATTTCTAAACTCAAGCTTTTCCAACCTTTCCTGCAACTCTGAAAATTGGGACTAGATCAAAATTATTTGTCCAGATGTGGCTATCTGAAGAGCATAGTCCCTGTAAAGTACTTAAGTAGTCATTGTTCTAAAACGCATTCTGAGTCAAGGCCATTTCTTCATCAGAAAAACCTCATTGTTAAATCTTTTATTTCCTAGCTTCAGAATTGAAGGTTTCTACACCTGTTGATCATTTGTATGTCATCTTTGGTGAAATATCTGTTCAAGTACTTAGCCTATTTTTCAATAAGGTTATTAACCTTTTTTTTTTTTGAACTATTGAGTTTTGGGTGTTTCTAATTTATTTTGGAGATTAACCCCTTATTAGATATAGATGCTCGTGAACTAATAACAGGGTTACATCCAGATAAACTCATCATAAGTTGAAGATATTGTAAGTCAAAAATGCATTTAATCACCTAACCTACAGAACATCATAGCTTAACCTCCCCTACCTTAAATGTGATCAGAACACTTACATTAGCCTACAGTTGGGCCAAATCATCTAACATGTAGCCTATGTTATAATAAAATTTTGAGTATCTCATATAATTTGTTAAATACTATACCGGAAGCAGAAAACACAATGTTTGTATGGGTGCTTAAAAATAGTTTCTATGAATGGGCATAATTTTTACACTATTGTAAAATAAAATCATTGTAATTCAAATTATTATAATTCAATTCTGCGTGTATATAGTTTTCAAATATTTCCTCCCATTCTGTAGATTGCCTTTTCACTCTGTTGATTGTTTCCTTTGTTGTGTAAACACTTTTTAATTTGATACAGTCTCACTTGTTTATTTTGTTTTGTTGACATTTCATTTGTGTCATATTCATAAAATCACTGCCAAATCCAGTGTCATGAAGCTTTTCCTATTTTCTTTTTATTTTAAACTTTGGATATTTTACCCTCAACTTGAACATTTATTTCTTTTTTTTATTGACAAAAATCATATACATTTATGACTGGGGGAGGATTGGAGAGATGTTTGTCAAAGTTCAATTAAATAGGAAAAATAAATTCAAGAGCTCTATAGTTCAACATGGTGACTATGGTCAATAATAAAATTGTATACTTGAAAATTGCTAAGAGAATAGATGTTAAGTATTCTTACCACAAAAATACATATGTGAGGTAATATATATGGTAATTAGCTTGATTTAACCATTGCACATTGTAAACATGTATCAAAACATCATTTACTACCCCATGTTTTCTTTAGGGAGATTTAGAATCTCAGGAATTACATTTAAGAGTAACCTATTTTGACTTGACTTTTGTGTAATATATAAGGGCCCAATTTCATTCTTTTTTTATGTATATATCCAGTTTTCTCAGCACCATTTGTTGAAGAGACTATCTTTTCTCCATTGTGTATATTTGGCACCATTGTCAAAGATCAGTCGGCCATATGTGCATGGATTAATTTCTGGACTCTTTATTCTGTTAAATATCACTAATCATCACAGAAATTCAAATCAACCCTCTACAATGATATATCACCTCACTCCTGTCAAGATGACAATTAAGAAAACAAAACAAAAAACAAGTGTTAGCCATGGAGAAATTTGAACCCTCACACACTGTTGGAAATGCAGATGGTACAGCTGCTATAGAAAACCATATGTGAGGTTTCTTAAAAACTTAAAAATATAAAACTATCATACCCTATGATCCAGCAAGCCAGTGTCTGAATATATATTCAAGAGAACTGAAATCAGAGTCTGGAAGGTACATTGGCACTTCTATGTTCATTGCAGCATTATTCACAATAGCCCAGATGTGAAAGAGGTGTCTATCCACAGATAAGTGCGTGAAGGAAATGTGGCATATACATAAAATGGAATACTCTTCAGCCTTAAAAAAGACATTCTGCAGTATGACATATTTAATTTGAAAAAATAAAGTTATTTTGAGGAAGCTTTATAGTTCTTTGCTAGTATGAAAGACAAAAAATGGAGTATCTAACTTTACTTAAGACAGAATAATATTGTTAGAATTTACTTTTTATTTTGTGATTATTGCAAAAATAGCCCATAGACATATTCAATTCATCTCATTTACATTAATATCATAGATAGCTTAATACAACCTCATTTTCATTAAATATTATAGGTATTCTTCACTTTTGCTACATTCTTTCCCCACTTTAATTATTTTCCTCAACAATTTTTTATTGTGTTTATGCCATTTGGTATTCCACAAACACATACACATAAATGCATTACAATTGTTATGTTTTTATTACAGATTCCAAATCACTTATTCCAAATCATCAAGATTAATTTTTGTATTATCTTGGTCTGCCATAACAAAATACCCAAGACTGGGAATCTTAAACAACAGAAACGTATTTCTCAAAGTTCTAGAGGCTGGAAGTCCCAGATCAGGTTGTTAGCATGGTAGGGTTCTGGTGAGCACCCTCTTCCTGGCTTGCAGATGGCTGTCTTCCAGCTGTATTCCTAACATACGGGAGACAGACATTTCTCTCCCTCTCTTCTTATAATGCCACCAATTCCATAGGATGAAGACTACTCACTTATCACCTCATTTAGTCTTAATTGCCTCCAAAAATGCCATCTCCAAATACTATCACATTTCAGGTTAGTGCTTCAACATATGAATTTTAGGGAGGAGGCACACAATTCAGTCGATAGCAGTTTTAAAGTAGGTCATAAGAAATGGACCCTTATTTTATAGATGTATTAACTCTACGGAGTTATAACAATTTCATTCATGTTGTAGTTGTCAGTAACTAGCTCTATAATTGAAATCCACAGTAGCACTGTTGAGCCTTTGACAGTTGCAAAAATCAGGGGTAAGAGAATCCTGATAGAATAAACCAACCAACCTTTGGTCTTGCAGTAAGATAAAAAGGTTAACTTCATTTCTTTACATAGACCAAGCTTTGGCAAATGTCATCAGCATATTTTCTCCCCTCATTTAAAAGTCTGAGCTGGTAAGGTTTAACATTAAATCTCCAATTTCCTTTATTGTCCTGGAATTAATCTTTTAAAAATTCTTGAAATATGTGGATGCATAAATTATTAACTAAAATTAGGAATGACTTTATATTTGAACTTTGTACAAAGAGAAAAAAAAATGAATCGTGCCTAATTCAAAGTGTGATGCCTGAGTTTTTGGATGAAGGAAATAATTTCAAGGTAGGATTTTAAATTTGCATTTTCCTCTTTGTAAATTATGACCTCTGTTTAATTGTCCAAGTGTAGCTTTTAATCAAATCGACTTTGGAAAGTGAGTTAGTGAGTTTTACTTTATGTTACATTGTCATTCCCTTATACAGATAGATATCTAAAGTAGGAGGTATAATAATCTGGGGGAGGGACACTTTAGACACTTTCTGGGGCCTGATTTTCATGAGGTTTATCATATATTCTTACATATAAGAAAGTTTAATAAATATTTCTGGAAGCTAATTTGCCTCAATTTGGGAAAATCATTTTTATAAGGAGTGTTCACTATATTTGAGCATTTGAGGGAAGAAAATAATGTATAGATTATAATCTCTGCTCTCAAGAAAATAGGAGAAGCAAGACTTTTACAGAAGAAAAAAATAACACAATATATAATCGACAAAGTGCAATACAGATTGTAATTTTTGGAAGCCTTCAGGGAAATATAGTAGCTTTAGATTAATACTAAATGACAGAAAATGTGTATAGATGAGTACAAAGGAATGTGGGGAAAATAGAAATATTAAAGCAAGCAAGAATCGAAGTCAAAATATGAGGTTGAGCAGAAGGTTTACACTGGACTGTAGTGAGAATAGATAAAGTAATAAGGATCCAGTGTGAAGTTTTTGGGTTGTTATATTTTTCCTTCTTAATGAGGATTTTGCATGGCTATTTTCTGTAAGTTTTGCGATTGACCAGTCTGATTCTCATTGACATTTCTGTGCTGTAGATATATTTTGGCAGTTCTGTCCAGCTTATCATAACTCTTTTCTGTGAGAATATCTTTCTCCTTCCTTAGGGTTGCCAATCACTCTGTTCACGAACTACTACTGTTTCCTCAACTCTGTCTAGTTGCTTAGACCAGAAGTAGACATATGATCCAGTTTTGTTATAGGGATTATAAAATTGGGGATCAGAGACAACTAATAAGCTTCTCTTTGCTGGTGAAACTGAAGGGCATTTAAAATATGTAAGTTTAGGGAGTTATACTATGTGGACAGAGAGACCTTAGAAAATTGTTTTTATGAAGGAAAAGATTGAAATAGACATGAAAAGAGACACAGGAAGATGTCAAAGAAAATTGCCAGCTTTTGATTGCTTCCCAGTTCATATTTTTCTCTTTTCTTTTTCCCCTTCATTTGTTTCTTCCTTTCTCTCCTCCTTCCTTTCACTTCATTAGGTGTTTAGATACCTTCTGTAACATGCACCTACAAGTCAGTTATGGAAGAGACCACAGATGTTGTGGTATATTTAATTTTAGTAGTAGTGTATTTTCTTTGATTAACCCATGGCCAGTACAAATCAAATATAATGTACTAGAAATTATAATATACTAACAAAGCCTAATACCAGAACTGTAAGGTGAAGTAAGGAAATTAACCATTAAAAACAGAAACATTGAAAATCAATTTGATTGGGAATATCATTCCCACATTTAACTCCAGGCTGGTATCATCTGGGAAACTAGTTAACTTTTGAAACAAAGCTAGTCTAGGATGGTGATTTTAACATTGTCAGTTTTCAAAACATGTATCTATTTTTTAAATTTAGTTTTGAATATTCTCAAAGTAATTAATTGGTTTTACAAATTAAACACCAAAAATATACATGAGAAAATATATTTTACTACATTTTCTAATTTACCTTCAAATAAAACTATTTGTTTAGTCTCTCAGAAACGATTCATACATACATTTTTTTAAAAACTTTGAAATCTGCATTAGAACCCAAATCTAAATTAGTATATTTAATAGATGCTATTCTTTTATGAACCACAGGGTCAGAAATATCTTCCCTCTAGCTTTGTTGAAGTTTTGGAACAAATTATTGTTTCTGATATGAATTAAAGTTGCCATTGTATGAAATAATATATTTTCAGAAACACTGAATTGTCAAAAATATTCTCCTTAAATAGGTCTATTTATGTCTCTTTTCAAAATATATTCCTAAGTAACATCAATGCATTAGACTCAGCAGAAATATCACTTTTCATCTTACACTGAAGTGTGTTTTCTCATTTAGCTTTTACTTTATTCACAGCATTTTGTTTTCTGTGTCTTTCTCTATATTTCAAGAAGCAAATTGAGATATCAAGATGAAAATGGATGTATGTTTGCATATAATTTTAAGACTTGTCATTACTGTTATAACATCAACCTATTTTATACAAAAATTGATCATCCAGTGATTATTGACAATTAGGTTTCTTTATAGACACTAACTATATAACAAGAAGAAACACAGATAAAATTTCACAATTTGATCTCAACTGCAGAGAAAACTCATGCAAAAGAATTTAACAACAAGGCCTGTGTTTAAATGTTCCATTGGTGACATGGAATATTTTGAGTTGCTAAGTTAGATATTTTTACTTTCTCGACTGATCTATTGCACCTTTAGCTTTTGACCAAGATGGAGTAAAATGAACTGATTTTGTACTCCTGCCTTAAACAACGAGTGACCCAGACACAATATATGAAACAACAGTTTTCAGATATTGGACAACAGCCAGCACAGGAAAGTTAACACAGAGAGAAACAGACAAACAAAATAGCCCTGTAATTGCCCCATTGTTTTACCTGTCAAGAGTTTCTAAGCTACAATGCATGAAGGGGGTACCCAAACCCAGTCTTATGTTGAAGAAACAGAACTGTGAATTTGGGAGGCCAGTTAGAATTTCCAGGGCAAATTATAGGAGAGAAGAGAGCTGCATGGAGAGCAGAGTTGTATACAGAAAATCACACAGGGTTTCCTTCAAGTCCTCAGCTGATGACCAATCAGAGAAAAAAAATATATAAAGAAACTACCCAAGGTTGAAGACAGACCCATCAAAAAATAACCACAAAAAGAAAAAGAAATAAACGTAACTATATGAGATATGAGCAGTATTTAATTTGCTTGACTACAGCAATCACTTCATTGTGTATATTTATATCAAGATAAGTACATCAAAATATCAAATTTTAAACTTTATATATAATAAAAAATGAAAATTTCCCCGAGGCGGGTGGATCACGAGGTCAGGAGTTGAAGACCAGCCTGACCAAGATGGTGAAACCCCGTCTCTACTAAAAAACAACAAAAATTAGCCAGGCACGGTGGCAGGCGCCTATGATCCCAGCTACTCAGGAGGCTAAGGCAGGAGAATGACTTGAAGCCGGATGGCAGAGGTTGCAGTGAGCCGAGATCGTGACGTTGCAGTGAGCTGAGATTGTGCCACTGCACTCCAGCTTGGGTAACAGAGTGAGACTGTGTCTCAAAAAAAAAAAAAAAATTAAAAAAAAAAGAAAAAGAAAAAGAAAATTTCTCAGAGCTCAAACAGAGCAACAAATAGTTTGTATTTCTACCTGCCAACATGGAAAAAACAAACTTACAGTGGATTGAACATTAGACAGGATATTCAGAAAAATATGGCCTCAGTAGTTTGGAAAAATTAGTTCTAGACTAACAGCTCTCTGAAAATAAGCTTAGAAACATGACTTGGAAATATCAAACCTTTCCATTGACTTAACTGTGTCCTAAAATAAAGCTAAGAAATATTTACAGAACACTTAAGTATGTGGCACTAAACATGATAAATACAATATTCAACATCTTAGAAAAATTACCAGGCATACAAAGAAGCATAAAAATATGAATTATTATCAATTTAAAAATCAACAAAAAGAAATAGTTTCAGAAATAACATAGATGTTAGAGTTAGTACCCAAGTATAATAAAAAACTTATTGTAACTCTACTTTATATATTCTACCAGGTAGCGAATGTATGAGCATGTTAGAGAAGTAAAAAATTTAAAAAACAAAATTAAACATCTAGAATAAAAAGAAAAAATATCTGATATGAAAAATACCCCATATGGAATTAACAACAGTATACACATTGCAGAAGTGTGCTTGTAGTGACAGCAATAGAAATGACCCAAAATAAAGCATACAAAGAGGAGAAAAATAAAAATAGATAACACTGTAGTAAATTAACAGTGCATCAGTGAACTATGAGACAACTTTCAATGGCTTAATGTATGTTTACAGTAATTGGAGACCCCAAAGGACAGAAATGATGAGGTGGCCTAGTCTTTGAGAAATAATGGCCAAAATTGTTCTAATTTGCTGAAATATATAAACGTACGGACCCAAGGAGCTTAACAATCCAAATCTCAATAACAAAACAACATGAAGAAAACTACATTTAGACACAGCATAGTCAAATTTCTCAAAACCATTGAGAATGAGACAATTTTAAAAGCAATCGGAAAGGACACATTACGTAAAGGGGAAAAAATATAACAACAGCAGAAGACTTCTGGTCAAAAAAACAATGCAACCCACAAAACAGTGGAGCACTATTTTTAAGGTACTAGAGGATGAAACTGCCAACTTAGAATTTTATACCTAGAAAAAATACCTTTCAAAAATAAAGGTGAAATGAGTACCTTTCTGAAATACAACAGCTGGAAGAATTAATCACAGGCAGACCTCTACTCCAAAGAATGTAAAAACATTGTTTTTTTAAGTCAGAAAGAAAATACCCAGTGGAAATCTGGATCTATGCAAATTATTAGGTGCAATGGAAATGGTAAAATGTAGGTAAATAAAAAAAAATTATCTTGTCTTTTAAATATCTTTAAAAGATAACTGACTGTTTTAATGAAAGTAACAAACTTTCTAAGTGTTCTGAGTGTCCCATATGTTGGTTAGGTTAGTAAGTACATGGGTGTTCAGTTTTCTCAAATCCCATCAAATTCTGAACTAAAATCTACACAGCATTTTTTGTGTGAATTATACCTCAAAAATGATTTTGCTTGACAAGTGAAAGAATTTTGTTATAATTTGAAATCTATGGAATATCAGTGATACTAAAGTTATATATTTTCATCTGTTTATTGCTAATTTGTGGTATTTTATGTTATTATTTTGAATCTGTTTCCGAATATTGTTTCATAAAATGTTCCAAAGTGTGTGAAAGTTGATCATTCCAACTACCATAATAAGATGTTAAGTTCAGAGTGAAAAATCAGTGAATAATTAGAAAATTCCATGTAGATAGTATAGACTGCCACTGTCATACTGTCCAATTACAAAAAAGTATCCATTGAGATTGGTCTAATTAATTATTAGTATTCCCAATTTATCTATTTTCAGTTTAAGGTAGAAACTGGGGTTATCTGGTATCTAAGTTAATGAATGCATTTGTTTCTCTAAATTATACCATGCCATGTGCAGTAAAAAAAAGCCCAGGGAAGAAAGTCTTAAAATTTATTAGTAAAGATTTATATAATATGAAAAGAAGAACTTAGTTTTAAGGTATGCTAAGTTTTGCATGCGACCATGGAATTTCATTATAGGAGATCTTCCATAAGTGATTTTTTTTTTAAAAGAGGCTTTTCTTTTAAAAAATCTAGATCCTTCTTTACTGAAAACTGCAGATCCCTCAGATCTCAAATTCATTTGTGTGGGTGTGTAACTTGTTTTCAGCGCTGTGCAGTTATTTCAACTGATCCAAATGGAATTACTTAAATCCCATTGTTCAAATCAATCTTCCATATTGGAAGAAGACATTGTTAGGATTTCATTTTAAATATCTGAACCATAAGGGTCAATTATTTTTATGGAAATTGCTGTCTATCTCATTGATGTCCTTCATGTGGATGCTTTTTATTTCTAGTTTGGCTAAGACATGGAGATTGTAATTTCTTTTAAACACCTACTAAATTACAACTGTTCTGTCAAAAATATAACATGTTATATGTGTGCCACATTTAGCTCTGGCCTCCAATTCTTCCAAACGCAAAAGCTCCATTACTGGAAGCTGTCAGTTGAGCTGTTTCATAACTGTCAAATGCATTGTTATTTGGGAACTTCAGCAACCATGTCCCTTTTGCCGTATTCAGCATATTGACATTTCCTTTAAATCAGGGGTGACAAGCCAAGTATAGACTTGGCAGTTATCTTAGGGGTTTAATTAGTGGCAGCTGGAGATGCTGAATTTCCAATCCCTTATGTTGAAAAAATACTGAATTTCCACCTGATTTTAAACTCCACCCTCTTTTGAGAATCACACTAGCCTTCCACCTTAGAAACTCCTTTATCTCCAAATCACTCTTCCTGACTATTGGTTAAACTGAATCTATTTAAATATCTGAAAATAGGAAGAAGATAACACTAGTGTGAATGATTGATAGCAAATATATTTTTGCCCTATTTCTAAGAAATTATTTTACATGTGACATCTGATCTTTTCCCCACTGCTCTAGACCAGAGGTTCCATTCCATTGTTGTTTTTGGACCATCTGCATCTGCATCACCTAAGAACTGGTTAGAAATGCAAATCTTCAGTCCTGCCACAGATCTATTAAGTAAGAAGGTCTAGAGGTGGGGCCCAGAAATTTGTGTTTTAACAAGTTTGAGAACCACTGATTTAGAGGTCTAATACTGGCTGGGTGTGGTGGCTCAGGCCTGTGATCCCAGCACTTTAGGGGACTGAAGCAGGAGGATCACTTGAGCCTACTAGTTCAAGACCAGCATGGACAACATAGAGAGACCTTGTCTCTGCAAATAATTATATACATATATATATATATATATATATATATATATAATGCATGTTATATATATATAATACACATGTCATATAATACAACATAGACCATGTCTCTGCAAATAATTATATATACATGTATATAATACATGCATGTTATAATACACACATTATATATATAAAATATACACTCATATATAATATATGCACATATGTGTGTTTCTGTGTGTGTGCATGTGTGTGTGTGTGTGTGTGTGTATTAGCTGGGCATGGTGGCAGGCACCTATGGTCCCAATTACTTGGGAGGCTGAGGTGGAAGGATCACTTGAGCCAGGGCAGTGGAGGCTGTAGTGAGACATGATCATGCTACTGCATTCCAGCCTGGGTGAGAGAGTGATACTCCATCTCAAAAAAAAAAAAAAAAAAAAAAAGAAGAAGAAGAAGAACAAGATATATAGTATTACTGCATCTCTTTTCTCCTATCTCTTTCTTCAACTCCTCTCCTTTAACTTCAAGATATATATTTTGCTTCCCCAAACTTTATAAGGAATATTATTTACATCTTTAAACTTTAGTGAATGAATAAAGTTTTACCTGATTTGTTTGATTCCAAATCCAACATTTTCAGGGACATGTCTTAAATGACCAAAAGTGTGCCCTGTTTCTGTCCCTGGATTATTGAACTGTGGCCAACAGATAGTAGTTTATATTTACCATAGTTTTTCTCACTGCAATCCTGTGAGCTATGAGAAAGAAAGAAGAAATATAAATTCCCAGAAGAACGAGATAGATAGGAACATAATTCCAGAAAGCCCAAGTCTACATTCATCAGAATCTGGAAACCCTACACCCTTAAAAAACTCTCACCTTCAACTGGATCCTAAGTACCTTATGAACATCTTTTCATAGTACATTAACATTTCCTTCATGTATGGTTTGGTGCAGCTCCTGATTTTGATTTCCGAAGGACTCAATCAGTAGTAATTGCTGATCTTAGTCTTCTTGTGTGTGGGTATGTATTTCTTTTCTTAAATTAAATTAAAGTTCTGGGATAAATGCAGTACGTTCAGGTTTGTTACATAGGTATACATGTGCCATGGTGGTTTGCTGCCTCTATCAACCCATCACCTATGTATTAAGCCCCACATGCACTATTTATCATGGATAATTGACTTATAATCATTAGATCACATACTACTCCAGTGAGCTGGAAAATTCCCTCTCCATGAAAGTTAAAATTTCATCATTAAGATCCCCAAAGAATGATATCACTCTTTGTTGGTAGCTGCTTCTTTCTAGAAACTTGGGACGAGTTTGTTAACAATGTTGGAAAATAGCTGAGTGGTATGTATCACAGACTCATTTCACTCCAATATGCTATCTCATTTAATATCTCAGAAATCAGCAGTAACTTTTCTTACGTCTGGGATATAACTCGATGAATTAGGTGCTGAATGAAACACAAAGGATTTTGTGGTCTTTGGAAATCATCTTGTATCTTGAATAATATTGAGATGTTGTCCTGATTCAATAATTTATTGAGTGACTTTATACATGCTAAGATACGTTGTCTCTGCTGTGTTTCTTTATCATGAGAACAGAGATCATCCCCACAGTTTACTCTTTATTTATTTAACATGGCACTGTTATTTATTTATCAATATGTCTTTATTCTTTATTATTTATCCCAGGAGATTTTTGCCTAGGAAGTTAGAGCTGCACACATCTTTGTTGCACATTTAAGAAACCTCTTAAAATACTCATCAGATCTACCAGAGAAAGTTTCAAACTATGATTTATGCCAAAGAGTCTTTGAAACCATTACCTCAGAATCCTTGCCTTATTCTGTTCACATATATTAAGCTATTATATCATGGCCTTTCTTCAATCCTAACCAAGCCCTTGCACTGAGAGAACTGCCTTAAACCAGATGTAAAATCTCAGTAAATATACTTTTTACTCTCCCACTCTGGGACATTACTAAGGCCCTAGAAAATTGCCATTTTCCAAAACTCAAATTTGTCTTATCAAAGGCTATTTTGGTTAAGTTTGGGAAAGGCAGCATACACATGCAGCTAATATAATGTGTTCAGATTGTACATTTATTCACACAACAATGAGATGTACAGAGCAAATGCAGTCTCCATAATTAATTTGGTCCTAATTATTATACCCTATCTCCTGCCTTAAATATCCTCACCTCAGTTCTAGTTGATGTTATGAAACCACTGAGTCTCCAGTGGCTTTCATTTTGGACCACTGACGTCCTCTCTCCCCTGATGTCAGCACTCAAATCAACTAACTTCCAAGTATCCTCTTGGGGTGATCAGAAAATAATAAATTTTTCCCAGGAATAACAGTAGCATAAGTCAACCTTCCATTCCTCTTAATCTAATTTTGCTGCCAGAATTTCATGACGTCAGGGTTCTCAAAGAATGCACTTCTGAGAAACAATGGAAGAATGAGACACATATTACCATTTTATAAACAACTGAGCTTGAATCAGGACTTTTTGATAAATATGTAACTGATAGATGTAACTTAGATTTTAGTCTCGAGTTGTGATTCTAATTTCTCTCTCACGGTCTACCTCATGAAAACTGCTGGGGCATGTATGCCTACAGAGAGAACAGAGAGAACAAAGAGATGGCTCCAAGTGAATTCATTTTCTTGGACACTTGCAATAGTGCAAAATCTAGAGAATGACTTGGCTGCCTCCGCAAGCTGTCCTGACCCAAGTCTGAACCAGGAATCAGAGAGGGCATATTCGTATTTTAAAACATTTAAGTTTAGCCTCATCTAGTCCAATGAACCTCATTGGGTGGTAATTGTGGTAGGCAGAATAATAGCCCTGTGCAAAGATATCCAAGCCCTAATTTCTGGAACCTGTGAATTTGTTACCTTACTTGGCAAAGAAAAATGAGTTGCATATAGAATTAAGGCTGCTAATCAGCTGATGTTAAAATAGAGACATTATCCTGTATTATGTGGGTAGGCGCAATGTGACCATCAGGGTTCTTAAAAGTAGAAGAGGGAGGAAGAAGAAAAGGTCAAAGCTGTGATATAGTGTGTAAGTGACTTGACCTGCCATAGCTGGCTTTGAAGATGGGGGAAGCATCCATGAGGCAAGGAATGTGTGTAGCCTCTAGAAGCTGGAAAAGACAAGAAAGTGAATTCTTTCCCAGATCCTACAGAAAACAAAACAAAACAAACAAACAAACAAAAATATATAGCCCTACCAACACCTTGATTTTAACTCATCAAGACCTGTGTCGGACTTCTATTATAAAGAACTGTAATAGAGTATATTTTTGTTATTTTAGCCACAAGTTTATGGTAATCGATTACAGAAACAATGAAAACTATATGCCAATTAAACTGTCAGAGACCCTTTCCTTGGAAACAAGTGGGTAAAGCAGACAGGGGTATTGGTAATGAATGGGCAGAGGGGAATAAAGCTACACCTGCTCCATTCTGAATTAAGCACCCCTTTCTTAGAAACTTATATTCTTTGTACATGCCTCTGTCACTCCAGTTATTACATGATATTACAGATGGAGATATGTATGTCTGATTGTCAATAAGATAATTAGTAATTTAATGATCAGCAGTATTATTATTTTATCTTCTTAAGTTGCATTCCCAACGTTTAGTATGTTTCACTTAAAATTATTATATATTGTTAATTTATTCAACAGTTAGTGAGCACCGTCTATGGGCTAGTACTAACAAAGGGGATTGAAATGCAATTAAAAGCCCCCAAGAAGTCGATTTGTTAGCATCACTTGGAAGAGACAGGTTATGCTGAAGTCATACATGACCTCAACATTTCAGTGGCTAGCAATAGCAAATGTTTATTTTTTGCCAGTGACACTTGACTAACATGGGTCAGTTTTGACTCTGCTTCATACATTCTCCAACCTAAAATCCAAACTGATTTGGAAGTCAAAATCCAGAAGCAGTCTCTTTCTACTGCCTTGCCACTCTCATGACAAAAAAAAAGAGGAATCATGAGTATCCTTGTACTAGAGCCAAAAACTTTTTCCTATAGGTAACACATGTTACTTTTGCTCACATTTCATTATTCAGAGCAAAACTAATTGCCACACTTGGAGCCGGTGGAACAAGAAATTATGATTATCTCCTAAGGAGGTGCAGCTAATATTTGTGAAAAAAAAAAACCAAACGCACATATAATCTATTGCACTACTACCCCAACCCTAATATTTTTAAAGATTAATTCAGTTCTAGTTTTCTCTATGAAAAATGGAGTTAATTCATGTTGAACACCTCATCAAAACTTGACAGTTTAACCACTGTGTGCTTTTATATTTTTTAATCTAATAGGACCATATGCTGATCATATTTCATTATTCTGGCAACAGTTAAAATAGTTCTGGACATAAAAATGAGTACCAATAAATGCTTGTTTAGTGTTGAATTAAACATATGTATATTAAACATATATAAATATACATATTTTTTCCAAAAAGGTTAAGTGCTATAAAACAAACCTCTTCAACTCTGGTGAGGCTTGCCTTAGAAATAAATCCATGGTGTCTTCATATTAGACAGAATAGAAAAAATAATATGGGTACCATAGAGCAGATGCCTGTTTTATGAATGTCTTCTACAGACATAGCTGCAAGGCCACAGACAGGTTAATTATGACTATCAAGCACAAAGTAACTATGCGAAGGGCAGTAATTTTCAATTGGAGGATAAGAGAGGACATTTAAATAATAATGGTATCATAAAAATTTGTATATATTTAGAGACGCAATAACAAGCTTCTAAGTAAAGTTTCTCGCAATTGAAAATGCTAATGAGATAACTTGAACATCCCCAACCCAAAGACAGACACACACACACATACACACATGCACAGACACACACATACACGCACAGACACACGCGTACACACACAGTGTATAAAAAACTTCTGATAAATAATTTTTGATTATATAGTGTGGTAGGAAACCTGGTATTCTGATAAAATGTAAAATGGGTAATACATTTTAAAGAAAGTTACAATATAAAAGCAATTTCCAAGAATTATAATTCAATAAAATTCCCTGAATATTAAAGCTCAGCTGAATATAATTTTGTCCTCTATTTCAGAAAGCAATTTAAAATCACGTAGGGCATTAGAAATGTTTCTTATATTTGTAGCCTATTAAATTGTATAAGGTACTTTTCACATACATTGTCATTTGATTCTCACGACGACCTCATGAAAGGCAAAGCATTATTATGCCCCATTAGCACAGCTTATGACATATAATAGGCAATTATTAATAAATATTTGTTGTTGGAGTGAATGAATGGATGACTATGTCAGTTATGAGGAAGGTGAAGTTAAAGGAGTTAACTGTTTTACTCAAGGAGACAGACCCTGAAGCTAGGACTTCAGTTTTCTGAGAAAATCTTCTTTCTCTTCACCATGAATATGACCTCCCTTTGAATGTGAGCTCGCCTTGCTCAAATGGTACATAGAATAGAAAAGTGTAAATAGTATATTAAAATATAAATTGGCTCTAATCAAATCTCAAAAGGCTATTGTGAAGTAAAACTTTTTTTGTAAAATAAGTAATTTGACTTAGTAAGTAAAGTTTATTTGTGCATTTGTGCATGCATTCAGTTATTTGAAAATTGCAGAACCTGTGTTCAGTGCTACAAATTATACAGAACACTGGCTCCTACTTTCTGTGTCATAGGCTGCTAGGCAGTAGTGAAGCCTAGAGACTTCATCTCAGAATAATATTCTTAAATGCACAAAATAAAATATGTAGGATTACAAAGGAGAGCAATTATGCTTAAAAATAGTTCTATCATGTTGATAACCACTGCATAGATAGTTAAATTATGGTAATGATTATTATAATTATTGATCATTACCCATGATATTGTAATATTATACACACTATTAGAAGGAAAACAGAGCCAGTAATCCTTGCATAATACATATGCATTTATTCAAAGAGAAAACGAAGGTGAACATGTACATTTCACTGCTTAAAATTCCAAAAATATTGCAGTTAAAATTTAATATTATGGTGTTAAAGGTCATGCTAAGGCAAGAATTATAGATATTATTTCATACTCTTCTGTGTGGGTCTGAATTATTTATTTTATTTTCAAAACCTCCCAAAAGGGGAGAATGACATACATCCAACACTATTTAATGGATTTGTTGTGAAGGTGAAACCTACTAATATATGGCAAGGCATTTTAAAATTTATATAATACTTAAAATGAAAGGTAGAATTTTATAGAATAAGCAATAAAGTATGAAATTTAAAAAAACAAGCCAGACCACAACACTCAAAGTTATGTGCCAGGATATGCAGAGTAGAATGGTTCAATCAAACAGTTGAAGAAGTGTCATAAAACAGCCAGTGCATGTTTATTGTCAAGTGTGTGGTTTAGATAACTAGGCTCATTGGAGGCTGTAGTCCAAGAGATAAATATGATCTGAGATGGGAAAGTAATGCTAATTTAACAGGAAGTATTTGGAAGGAAGGAAGGGAAGGAGGGAGGAAGAATGGGAGAAAAAGGGGAGTGGAGGGAAGGGAATGAGAGAGGAAGGAAAAGACTTCAGTCACAGGGCAGTTAAGAAAATTAGTGATAACAATGGTAAGAAGCTTGAAGTATATTTAATGTTTAACAAACGATAGCTATTATTATAATTTTGCATCAGGCAGTCTTTGCAGGAAAGCCCCTTTAGTTTGCAAGATCTGCCATAAAAAAAAGTATGTCTAGGTTTGTGTCACAGGGAAAGGCCAAGTAATAAAATTCTTCATTAGCAATTATTTGTATGCAAGTGTTTGATTTCTACTCTAATCAGCTAAAACCACAAACTGAAACTTATTTAAGGAATTAGAGTGCCTGATGGAACTCAAGACCCCACAAGAGACTATAGAGGCATCTGCAAAACCACCAGGACCCAAAAAGCTCCATGATGTAAAGAATCCACATTGTAACTATCGGCACACTTGACAGCAGAGACATATATATCAAATCCTTTCTGTAAAACATGCTAACTGGCATTCATTGAAAATATGACTTACATCCCATATGAGACTTTAGTGTTTTCCTAGGTTCAGAAACAAAAATTACTTATTTTTCTCCTAGTTTGAGTCAAAGCCTCAGTACAAATGATAGAAGTCACATACAATACATACCCAAAACCAAAAGATTATCATGTATATATATCTATTATATATATAATATGTAGGTTTATTATATAAACTTCTTGTAATAATTATATAAAAATATAATTGTCACACACACACACACACACACACACACACACACACGAGAATCCTACTGTAAATCTCTCACTTATTACCACTCCTAGATAGTCACTCCTATTACAGTTATATGAATCCTTCTGGATATGATTTTGCCATTAAAAATGTATGTCTGTCGTTTGTTCGTATTTTTCTAACATTAACATTAAAGATGACTCACAATTTCCCATACATTGTGGTGTTTATTGTTAAGGTTTTAAAAATTATTATACCTTGCCCATCTTTTTAGGGCCTTGTAACTCAAAATCATTCTTTTTCAAGCCTGCCTAGCTTCACAGGATGACTGAGCTATAAATTACTTAAGCACTTTCATACTTATTAACATTTAGATATTTTTCCATGTATCAGTTACTGGATATTAAGTAAAAGTTAAAATACACACACACATTGCCAATTTGACTGAAGAAAGAATCTCATTATTTAATTTGTACATGCCAATCATAAAAGATAGTTACAAACACTTTATTTTGTTTATTTTCCTACTTCTGAGGATTACCTATTCATGTTCACAGGTATCATAGAATCCTCAAGTGACACTGGAAAAGCTGGAACATGGGAGCAGCCACATTTGTCAAGGATGCATAGGAGACAAGAGTATCAAAGCGTTCTCAAAATTGCAGGCAACCTTGTTCTCAGCCAACAAAGCCCTAACATGCCTATAAGAGGATTTGTAGAAATTTAGGGTGACCTTCAGACCAATTGGTATTTTCCCTCATGTTATGAATAAAATTGGGTAAATTTAAACACTTATTTCTACTTAATGAAAGTAAAAGAAAAATAAGTAAAATGAGTAAACTGATTTAATAAGTCAATTAATTTGGAGGAGTTAAGTGTTCCTCTAACAGGACCAGCTGTTTGTAGATCAACATTCATTCTAGGGCTTTGCTTTGGCATTGTAATACTGCCTTATAGAAAACCTACAAACTATGTTAGTATAATCCTAAGAAGATGGCATCCCCAAGACATTGATACTTTAAACAAGATAGCAAAACCTATGAGACAAAGCCTCCTTACTCGCCCTTTGTTTTTCTGATTTTGTGGCTGAGAATGGGATAACAGCTATTACCATGGGGATAGGAAAACATTTCCTAAAAAGTAAAAAATATTTTACCACATGGGTAACGTGTTTGCTGACATTTTTTTCCCTTAATCAACTAAACAAATTGGTCATTATTTTGATCCGTCCATTTGTGAGGAGAAACAAAGTCAGTTCAGTGGCAAACCCTCTGTTGTGTCCACACTTCAGTTTATAAAGGTCCTAACGACTGGTAAGGTATAATAGCAGGACAGGAGAGTTTTGTTAAAGGTAACCCGTCTCTACATTTTCTGTGAAAAACCAGCCAATATACCCCAGTGGAAAACATCAATCAGGTTAATTGTTTGCTTTATTCTTATTTTCATTCTATCTGACTTATTCTAATTATAGATCCCCCTCTCAGACTCCCAAAATAAGTGCTCAAACTTCTGATCATTCCGTATCTCAACTGCCAAATTAGATGCCAGCTATTAACCGCTGCCACCTCATCAACCTGAACTGTTCTTTCACTGTCTGCAGTTAGGTCCCTTCCAGCCACCTTAGAATGACAATGCTTTGTTCACATGCCACTGAAGTCTGATCACATGCCCACTGAGTCTCAAGCTTCTACTTTAAGTAGCTTACTCTGCTTGTCAAAATGATCATCCAGTCAAAGGATCCACAGTGTTCTAGTTTGAGTAAAACTCAAAAGGTCTTGAAGGTTTGCATTAAGAGAAGTTGGTTAATGGGTACAAATATACAGTTTTATAGAAGAAATAAGACCTACTGTTTGATAGATCAGCAGTTTATAATAATCCATTGTGTATTTCAGAATAGCTAGAAGAGAATAATTCCAATGTGAATGTCTCCAGCATAAAGAAAAGACATACATAAGATAATGTATATCCCAGTTACACTGATTTGATCTTTACAAATTTATGAATGTATTAAATTATCACATATACCCTTAAAATATGTACACCTATTACCTATCAATAAAAAATAAAATTAAGAAAAAAATATCTGGTTTAATTGCATAGTCACTGATTTATTGATTATCATGTAAATGTCATTACTTACTCATGTAATTTCTTCAATTATGAGACCATATGTTATTTGTAATATGCTTTTCTCTAAATTTTATTAAGATTTGATAAACAACCTTCTTATATAGCAATTCACCACTCACATATTTCTATCTCTTCTTCAGAAATATTCTCTATTTAAAAAACATAGATTTACTGTAAGCAATGTGATGGTAAATGTTTTAATAAATGTGATCCAGTGTCTTGAATAGCACTGAGATGGATGATAAATGACTCGCGCTATCATAAATATGAAGGCAGTAATATTGGGAAAGTGACTGCTTTGGTTTTCTGGCATACCCTTTGACTGATGTTGGCACAAACTAAACCTTTTCTTCTCTAGCTTTACTTTTTAAGGACATGAAAAAAAATCACTTTTAAAAATTTCAACAGCTATTACATATTTGTCTTTGTCCTACCTTTTTTAGTTAATATTTTAATCTCAAATGTTTATGTTCTCTGGAAATTGTACTACAGATATTCTTAATACCTTGCTGGGGAACTTGATCATTTTTAATGACTCTAAATTTACCATTCTTTTTTTGCCTGGAATCACCTCACTCTTTTTTTTTTTTTTTTTGTTGGAGTCTTGTCACCCAGGCTGGAGTGCAGTGGTGCGATCTCGGCTCACTGCAAGCCCCGCCTCCCGGGTTCACGCCATTCTCCTGCCTCAGCCTCCCGAGTAGCTGGGACTACAGGTACCCGCCACCATACCTGGCTAATTTTTTGTACTTTTAGTAGAGACGGGATTTCACCGTGTTAGCCAGGATGGTCTCGATCTCCTGACCTCGTGATCCGCCCACCTCGGCCTCCCAAAGTACTGGGATTACAGGCGTGAGCCACGGCACCTGGCCTGAATCACCTTACTCTTACACGGGCATTACTATTCTCTATCCTGATAGAGTCAATCTATCCCTTGCAACTGAGAGTTCAACCAGAAAGGATGACCAGCTTTTACTCATAGATGATGTAAATAAACCTCCCACCACAGTGTCATTCCTTGTTGCTTGGGAAAATGCCTGACCCATCTCCACAGGCTGATGTAACTGCACGTGTCACATCGCAGCTCAGGTGTTCTTTGGGCCTGTCCTGCCTGTGTGAAAGAATAAATTACACACAGCACCAAAGAAAGGTTAAAAGTAGTAAGGATTTGAAAGTTATTTCTGAAAAGATACTGCAAGTTAAGAAACTATTCAAAGTAAATGGGACAGGGCAGTTACAAAGAAGGTAACCAGTTTGAGAATAGTCAAGGTTCATACAGCTAGGTTCAGTGATTGGCATGTAAGTGACAGTATAATATCATCAACAAAAGCATGATCTCTAGTGCCATCTTGTCTGGGATAAAATTTCAGTCTGGACTAACCATTTGACCTCAGATAAATTACTTTAATCCTAATACCTTGATAACCTTTTCTCTATAATAGGAATAGTAATAACAGTACCTATCTCCTGAGATTTTTCTGAAGAATAAATGATTTCATATACCATGCAATTAGAACAGTGCCTAGCACATAATAAATGCCACATAATATTAGATGTTATTTTCCTAACTCATATGGGCAACAATATAAATCTAAATTTGTGTATTACTTTGCTGGCCTTGGGATGTTTACTTCTTAGGACATTATTTTTCAAGACAAACTACATGTAACAGAACTTCTTGTAGGCAATGGTTAAAAATCCAGATCTCCACACCAACAAGATGTCTACTGTGATACACAGTGGAATTTGAGACTGCAGCTAAAATTCATTCAGGGTGAAAGTGGTCTCTGTCAGGACCATGTTGCATAATTCCTGTGGCATTTATATGAACCAATTAGGACATCAACCTTATTATAGTCAATAGAAGATGGTCAGGCTTATATCTGCAGTGATTTTGTACAGGGTTCTTCCCTGCTATAATGATGTTTTCAGTTGGATATAGCACACAACGAGGCAAGGGGGGAGAGAATAGAACATTTTATCTATTCTTCTTTTTCTTGTATTTCAGCTAGGAGAGTACTTCCTTGCTTCCAAAAACAACAACAGCCACCACCACAAAACTGACAGAATATAAGCTGCTCAACACATTTCTGATCTAGGTAAAAAGGGTTTGGCTTCTTAGATGATATGGTTTCCCTTAGTTATGATCTAAGGTGAGCCACTCACTCCAAATCTCTGGAAACCTCTATCATTCAGCCTTTCAATGATAAAACAGGACATCAAAGAAAAACACATAGAAATTTCCATTGAAACATTTTTTTCTCAATAGTATGGGGAGGTGACAGAAACTTTGGCATTTGGAAAATATATAGTTTGCTTCTTTTTTGACTTGATAGAATGCAGTTAACAAAATGCAAACCTTAATATTCTTATGGTATTTATTTTTCAATAATCTGTCTTATAATTTTACCTAGGTAAGACAAAAAAATATTTCATGAGATGGAAGTTGGACTAGGACTAGTAGGGGGATCACCTAGCAGTGTGATATTCAAAAAGTCAGGGCAGAGCGGTCTTAATGTCATAGGATAGATTTTCCTAGAAACAAATATTTAGCTTCACATGAGAAACCAATATCTGGAAAGTCTTATTTCCTCTAAACTATTAAAGGTGTATTATAATATGCATTTTATTATATTATAACATACTGAGGTAACATCAGGCCAGAATTCCAGACGAGCAATAGATGTGAAAGGAAAAGAGAAAGTCAGGGAAGAGGAGCAAGATTGCGTTGGCTGGAGAACTGAACCATTGTCTTTTCAGAGAATGCATTTATTTATCTCTTAACTTTGTCAAAAATTCACAATTGATAGACATGCAGGCAGGAGTTAAAATTCTGATTTCTCATTGATAAGCTGTAGACTAATGTTCAAACTCTCAATCAGGGAACTTTCAGGAGGAAAAGCAGAATGTCATTTTTTGAATGCAGAGGAGAGGTGTTAAGATCATGATGTGAGAAAAGTAATGCATTAGCCCTTTGGGAGCAAGGGGAAAACAGCATTGACCTCAATTGTGAGGCATGCGGCTTAATTATGGCTTTAATTGTAAAAAAAAAGAAAAAAAAAGTATGTGACTTTCAGCAAGCCATCTCTCTTTTCTCATTTATAAACTTAGGAAGTTGCACTAAATTATCTCCATGTGGAATTAATGGGATCTTTTGGCTAAATGAGTATTTTGTGAAGGGGAAAAGAGTATGATACTTACACATATCAGCTCTTCCCATAGTTATCAAATAACTTTAAATGCAATAGATTGCTACAGGAGGAACTATTAGAGATATTATTGTATTTGAATGTAATTATTTACATTTCATAGACAAAGAACCGATTGGGAGAAAATGCTTAAAGTGCTGCCTGAAGAGAAAAGAAAATGAAAGTTCTACTTAATAATTTTTCTCTTTGCTTCCAAGACTACATGTCCTATGACTAAGAGATAGTGTTGGGTAAAATGTGCCTAAATTCTTTTGGGATAGGATGAAAGCCCATGCAAGCAGTGGGAATCCCAAGAAAACTAGACACTCTTTTATTTTTTTGTGACCTCAAGAGAAACAAGTGTGCCTCAATATTTTACATGATTGTCTAAGAGAGCTGTTATCCATGTCAGTAGAGAGAGAAAATTGATTTTTTTTTTTTGAGACGGAGTCTTGCTCTGTCGCCCAGGCTAGGGTGCAGTGGCACGTGGTCTCAGCTCACTGCAACCTCCGCCTGCTGGGTTCAAGCAATTGTCCTGCCTCAGCCTCCAAAGTGAAAATGGATTTCAAATATTGACAGCACTCACTGACTTTCAAAATCAATGTGAATTATATATTCACCAATCTTCATGTGTGTATGATTTCTTCTTGTTAATTATACTTATTTAGGATAATCAGAAATTCTAGAAGTGCTGGCAGAAAATATTTTATATAATTAATTCCATAGAGAAATCATTAAAAAATGCACTGATGAAAACATTGATCAATAAACCAAAGTGAATAAAAACTATTTTCAAGTACAGATTTAAAAATCTGAGCCATTTTTATCTATTCTTGGTTACATCAAACAGACATAAAGGGTATTTATACAAAAGTCTCATAAACATTGCCCCAACTGTACATTATGATCCAGAGGATTGATTTTTTCAAACATAGCTGAGCTTCTACATTGCCAAATGTGATTTAACACAAATATTTTAATGGCTTACATAATAATGTGTGCAGTTCTGGACTCTGGAAATATACATATATACACACATATCAATGTTATTCTAATACAGCTGGTATGTAGATGTGTGTTTAGAAAATCCCGGGCTGGGGAATTGTCCAAATGCCATTCTCAGTAAAAAATGATTTAGTCTAATGTTTCTTTCAAATGTCTATGTATTTCAATATACTTTGGATTGCTCTGTTTAAAGAAAAGACCATACGATGTACCAAGAAATTTTTTACACTCCAGCCTAAGTAACAACAGAGCTTTAGGCTTCAGGTCTCACATTTGGAACTATGAATCCTGAATCCATGGTATGTGTGTGAAGTGGGAGACAAAGAATGGCTATGGTTGGGATAAGTTTAGGAGGTGAAGCTATTTGGTAATCAGATTTTATTGTCCCCAGTAGTTTATATCTCTGAAATCAAATCATCGGTAAAATAGGAAAAAATAAAAACCTTTTACGAAAAGATCCTCTAGTGTTCCTGTGTGTGTGTGTGTGTGTGTGTGTGTGTGTGTGTGTGTGTGTGTGTGTATGTGTCTGAAGGAGTGTTTTGATACCAGTTAGTTGTTTGCCATCTGAACAGGATGAAGACTCTGAAACATCGTTCTTATCTTGGAGTTAGTCATGCCTTTCACTTTGTGGAAATCCAACCTATTTATACCTGAGCTAGACAATGACCTTAGAAAGTGGTGTTCTTGGGTATATTTAAGGAACATGGTGAGTTATGGAGGAAAAGGGAGGCTGACCAGTCATGATTATCTTGGGATGTCCATGGGAATGGTCTATGGGACAATGGAAGCCCAGAAAAGTGCTACCACCTCACACAAGGAGGCTCAGAGTTTAGATTGAAAGTCAATGGAATCAAGAATTTGATTGCTGAGTTCATTAGTTATAGTTTGCTGCTGAAACGAATTACCACAATTTTAATGGCTTAAAACATCAACTTAATCTCTTATATTCCCATAGTCAGAAGTCTGAAATGAGTTTCATGAGGCTAAAGTCAAGAGGTTTCCAAAGCTGTTTCCTTCTGGATGCTCCAGGGAAAATCTTTCTTGAATCTTGCAGCTTCTAAAGGATGCTCCCATTTCTGGGATTGTGGCTGAATCACTCCAAACTCTGCTTTGTCGTCACATTGCCTTCTTCTCTGACTCTGGCTCCTTCTGCATTCCTTTTATAAGGACCTTTATGATTCCACTGGGCCCACTACAATGATACAGGATACTTGAGAATCCATTATTATTATACCACAATGAATAATAAATCAACACATCCAACTGATTAAACTTCAGCATCCTACTTTCCCAAACTGACTTTCCTCTTGCTTTCAAGACAAGCATCTCTTTTCATGATACTTAGAGTATACATTTAATTAAAAATAACTCAGAAAACATGCAGTAGGAGTTATTGTAATTGCAGATGGATGATGGTGAAAAAATATATTTATATAATCACACTTACACAAAAGTGTGAATTATGGTGGAAGACTACTTTGTTTTCAGGTTTCTCATCCACTGAGCTCAGCTGTGGCAAATCACTCTGCTCTTGAAAGTTCTACTAGTCTTTATTGGAAGCCACATATAAATAAGAATAAAATACAGCAGACATCTGCCATCTATATGGGGAGCAGGGATGGGGTGGGGTGAAGTAGGGAGCAAATACTAACATTTAGGAATGAGAGTAGATTAATCATCTGAAATGAGTCAATCATGTATGGGGTAACGTAGCCTAGACCATTTGTTTCTAGTAGTTATGTAACTTTGCATTTTCATATGTGATACTTTTGATTTTAATATCTGAGTTGGCTGATGAGGTAGCTTTCTAAGATGAGATGTTTACAATATTTTGTCAACATTTACTTTTTAACTTAGACTCATGTATGTTTTTAAAAAGTGAGTTTAGTCAATCATTAAAAATCACCATTCTTGGCCAGGCGTGGTGGCTCACGCCTTAATTCCAGCACTTTGGGAGGCCAAGGCGGGCAGATCATTTGAGGTCAGGAGTTCGAGACCAGCCTGGCCAATATGTTGAAACCCCGTCTCTCCTAAAAATACAAAAATTAGCCGGGTTAGGTGGCATGCGCCTGTAGTCCCAGCTACTTGGGAGGCTGAGACAGGAGAGAACCTGGGAGGTGGGCATGTAGTGAGCTGAGATCGTGGTACTGCACTCCAGCCTGGGTGTCTCAAAAAAAAAAAAAAAAAAAAATCACTATTACTTTTAGGTCTTATAGATAAATTTTTCTGGAGATTTGGATTGCACCCTGTCTCTAAGCAAGTCTCTCTGGCATTACAATTAAAAATTTAAAGTCATCTAAAAATATAAATATCAGTTTCAAAAATAAAATTTCCCAAAATCAAATTGGCATATTTAAAAAATTTATAAATGTTTCATGTCCTTTATAAGTTGAGAAGGAACTCATACTGCATTTACTTCCAGCTTTAAATCATTAACAATTATATTACCAATATGAATATTTTCTTTTTAAGACAAAAAGAAGTAATTTAATGACAGCACTCCTTGAATTATATTTGTGCACTCATTATTAAATTAAAGATATCATAAGATAAAACAAAGGTTTTGAAATCTAGGGCTTTTTTATTTAAAACATTCTACTATTATTTGAAGAAATCTTTTTTATCTTGTATTTCTCTTGTCAGCTCTGAGTAATTACAGTAACATGCTGCACGCTATTATATTAAACCACCAGAAGCAGCAGCACTTTGATCTTTTCAATAAACTTTTGTTTTATGTCAGATGAACTACTAGGTCTTAAGGTCCTATCATAAAGTGCTCAGATTATATATGTATGTATATGTACATGAATTCAACAAACAAGGAAAAAAGTGGTAATGGAGCAAGTGTTTCTTTGATTCATAGTTAGCTATTTTTGATGCTAATGCTGTTTGAATATGCCGATCCTCTCAAACATAACACGTATAACGTAAGGAGGAAAGAGAAGAAACAACAGATGTAAATCATAATTTGAATTTCCTAAATCCATTAGTAATTATTTTCTGATAGGTTAGACATAAAAGGCTGATTTGGGGGGGAAAATAATATTGCTTTGGCATTAAGTATGATTGAGTCTGAATTCAAGTACTGTCTCTCACTATGTGACTTTGTGTGGGACTTCAAACATTTTTCACCTGAAAGTCTTTTATATAAATGAAAGAAGTTGGATTAGGTCATGTCTGTGGCCTCTTTCATAGCCCTAAAATGTTGTCACTTGTTTGTCAAACATGACAAAATTCTGCTCTTTTAGGTTAAAAATATATACTGATGATGACATGAAACAATTACTTAAGCCTCAAGTAGAGAACATTTTTGAACTGAAAGATTCTGTTAAAAACAACATGTATGTAACTAAATTTCAGGTAGTTTGTGAGCTTCTATTGGCATTTTAATTAGGACATGTAGAATAGAACTTTATTGTTTGAAGCAAATAACTTGTGATTTTATCGGAATGTAGGTTCTCTTCGGGCAGGGATCATGTCTTGTATATTTTTCTCACCCTATAATTTTCTCACTACTTTATTTACTGATTGGTTTCTGTGCCCTTTGCCACCAACCTCATAATCCCCGCTGCTCTCTTTATTTCATAAAGCTTTACTTCAAGATGTAGTTTGAAATACTTCTGCCCATTTTTTCAGCCCATGTTTATATAATTTGGTTTCCCAAGAAGAAAGAAACAGCACAACAAAGCTAAGCATTTTAGGAAGCAGATATTCTTGTAAACTAGTAATATATGGCACATTTCTTTCTGCCTAATCCTGTCTATGTCTTCACTCATTTGACTGGTTAATACATGTGTGTGTAAATTCTTGTCCAAAGATAAATCTAGATCATCTCTAATAGGTATCATAAACTTTATATGTAAGTGTTCTGCCATAGAAACTGAAATCTACACCAATGAATCTGCATTCCAATGGTTTGTGACACCCTACGTTCAACTGGCTTCTCTAACAGATTTGGTGACCTGCTGTAATTTAACCTCAAAGTCCTAATGATTGATTTCTTTACTGTAATTTGTTTCTACAGATCATTAGCTGATGGAGCAAGTGTCACAGGGAAACTAGCTGAAATGAAAGACAGAAAGGGAAGAAAATAAAATCTACTGATGGGTTTACTTGTTATTTGTTTTTAAAAGTACAAACTATTCTAAAAAACATTTAAAATTGATGAAAAGGAGCTGGATACCTCTCAGTTTTATCCTTCCACCCAGTTAATTTTGTAATCTTTAACTAGGTTCACCTTTAATTCTTTACGGAGTCCCACATTACCTGTGTTACCTGGATTAGTCCCTTAAGCCTTCCTTGCTTCGCTTCCCAGCTCTACCAGAATCCATGGCTGAATGGTTCAGTCTGCATGCCAGCAGACGCTTACAGAATACACATGCTCTATCCTCAGCCAAGCTTTTCTCTGACTAAAGCCAAATCCCATCTTTGATTTATAATTAATAACTGTCTCTGATATGACCAGGTATTTTTAAATAAATAAAGTAAGAAAGACATAAATTAAGCAAAGAAGGCAGATTATATCATTTTGTAGAACGGACTTTGGTATAGGCAAATCAGCTATTAAGTTTCACAACACACTAGAAAATTACCCAGTGAGTCTTTAATTATCACTCCAACACCTAAATTATGAGTTTATATTATTGATCACTTAGGTATTAACATTTGTAGTGTGCTGCTGTACCTGATAGACTGTTATATTGAAAAAAATCAGCTCTCTCAACATCTGAGAAATTTTGATATATAGTTTTCATCACTTGGGCATTTTCCATTCTTATTCTGAGGGCTCAGAAATTCTCTGTCTCATCAAGTGAATGGATGTCCACACAGTTTGGTTTCTCTAATGGTTTGTGACACCCTACCCTGAACTGGCTTCTATAACAGTTTTGGTGACCTACTATAATTTAGCCTCAAAGTCCTAATGATTGATTTCTTTATTGTAATTTATTTCTACAGATTATTAGCTGATGGAGCAAGTGTCAAAGGGAAACTAGCTTAAATGAAAGACTGAAAAGGAGGAAAATAAAATCTACTCGTGTTCATTTGTTCTTTGTTTTTAAAAATACAAATTTTCTAAAAAACATTTAAAATTGATGAAAAGCTGAATCTGAAATGAGATTCACATACCTGAGAGGTATTAGGGAATACACTTGGGATCGATATTGGTGAGCAGAAAAAAAAGAAGCAGAGTTACACATAGGAAGAAGTTGAGCTCTGATAATCTCAGTGAAGGGCCTATGGTGGTCTCTGAAGTTGGAATGACCCTGCAGACTTTTCTTGAATTTGGGCAAGAGACCCCATGTCAATCGATATTGAATGTGGGTTGCGCAGGAAGTGGATGTGACCTTGGAAGGGGCAGCTCATATCAGCTAAGACAATTCAGAACACTGATAGCTAAGACCTGACAGCCAGCAGCAATCCCAGCAATAGGAAGAATAAGTTCTTCCATCCTGAAGAAGGACCTGGGCAACACATTTGTAGATCCCACTACAAATATATTTGCAGAACAATATAAACAAATATCTGGGAATCAGTGCTGCTCCTCTACTTTGTAGCTGAAGCCTAAAATACCTCCAGGAAATATTCCCTCTCACTTCGTTTCTCCTTTGAAATATAGCTGCCCAAATAGCAGCACATTAAGTCATTTATATTTGTAAACAGATACATCTGTCATGTCTCTCTGTAAGGAGAATGACTATGATCATAATGGGCATCTCTTTGAAAGGACATAATAAAAAGTGAGAAGAGAAAAGGAATGACCAAGTTAAGAAATGAAGGAGGGTCCTTTCAAATAATGTTTTGCATAATTGTCTGCAACTAAGTCAATGAGTGAGTCTTGGGTAAGTTGCTTAGAATCAATCACAGGAGATATATATATGGACTCTGAAAGATACCCTCTAAAAGCATCACCATTTGATGCTTACCTAAATGAATTTTGCACTTTTTATCTTTTCTATGCTTTTAAATACCAATAGTGAAGGAAACACAGTCCATGTTTACAGGACTGAATTACCCATGTATCCATCCAGCTATCTATTAAAGAAATATTGCTGAGAAACTGTTATATGGCTATGTACCTGTGCAAAGTGCTTGGGGTACAAACTTGTTAGTCACCATCACAAGGAATTTACTGTCCATCAGTTGAGAAAAGAAAATATAACAGAAAGTGAGGAGAATTGCAGTAGAGATGTGTACAAGTTTTAGTGGTGACTAGAAGAAAGCCTGTGGAAAAGCAGAAAGGTTGACACCAGAACTGGATCTTAAACTTGTTATTACAAGAGAGTGTTTGAGTCAAAATAAGTAGAATGTATTAAAAAAAACTCTCCCATGTAAGTTATACTTGTTGTTTAAAAGTTTCTATTCATATCAAGAATATTAACGTTATACCTATCTTGTAGTGTGTTCTACATATGGAAGAAAATATAATCCTATGGGAGCATTCCAGTGGAAATCCTTAAGCAGAATAGTTGGGACAATCTTTGCTAAATTGCTTTCACTTTAGTTTTGTGGACAGCTGTTATACAGAATCCTTATCAGCTATGTTATATTTCACTTACAACTCCCACCAAATCAATTTTTTAATGTCACCTACTAAGTCTAAGTTTCCCTATCTGAAAAATAAAAAGATTTGTTTGAATGGTGACAATGGTTCCTTTGAGGTTCAATATCCTGTGAGTCTACTTTAAATCTACACAAAGGAGGTCTTACATCTTTCTTTCCATGAAGGAATCTGTATCTTTGGCTTCTTTTGATTCATTGTAGGCACCGGACATAACAGAAATAATGTAAAATCATAGACTGAACAAGTCTGTGGGATGTATTTGAATATTATCATTTGATTCCACAAAAGGCAACTTCACACTTATTTTAAAACTGTTTCAAGTTATTCAGTGAACACAAACAAGCAGTCTAGATTTCCATTCCATGTCCTTGGCCCCTGCCTTTGTCTTTCAGCAGTTGCAATGACTTTTTTATGTCATCGAATTTGTTGCAATTATGGTAAAAAGGATTTCTTTAAAGGTATGAAAGTATTAGCAGAGTAAATTTTACATATCAACACCCTATGTAATTCACTTAATTACCTATATAAGGAAGCCAAAATGGAAGGAAGGAAAGAAGGAAGAGAAGAGAGGAAAGGAAGGAAAGAAGAAGAAGGGAGGGAGAAGAAGAGGGTTGAAGAAAGGGGGAGAGAGAAAAAAGAAGAAAATAAAGTAAAGAAGGAAGAAAGGAAGGCAGGAAGGGAAGAACTTGAACAAATAGATATGTGACTTTAGCAAAACTTGAAGAAATCATTTCTGGATTTTTGGATAAACTCACTTTTATATGTTTTAGAAGTGGTCATGGCCAGGTACGGTGGCTCACACCTATAATCCCAGCACTTTGGGAGGCCAAGGCAGGTGGATCACCTGAGGTCAGAAGTTCAAAACCAGCCTGGCCAACATTGTGAAACCCTGTCTCTACTAAAAACGACAAAAATTAGCCAGGTGTGGTGGCGGGCACCTGTAATCCCAGCTACTTGGGAGGCTGAGGCAGGAGAATTGCTAGAACCCTGGAGTGGAGGTTGCAGTGAGCCGAAATTGTGCCACTGCCCTCCAGCATGGGCAGCAGAGGGAAACTCCTTCTCAAAATAAAAAAAAAAAAGTGGTCATTGGTAATGTCAAATTTAAAATATTTGAACAAGCCTCAGTGAAATACCTCATCAACATACACCTTCAATACATATCAGCTTGATTATTTTTACCACTAGTTGATGTTTTTGAAAGTCAAACATAGGTTGATTTTTTCCATCTACATATCTTACGTCAGAATTAATAAATTGAATTGTTCTTTATATTTAAATGGGGTCCAGTTAGGCATTTGTAAGTGAGAAAACCTCCTCTGAACTCACAAATGTCATAGACATATTATAACACTCATATATATTTTGGCCTAATCTAAATATAGAGCTATACCCTGTAGAATTCAGAAGCCTAATATATGTATTGCATTTTTATCTCTAATGGACTGAGATGTGTTCAGTTAGTCAAGAGCATAACTTAGAATAACATCCTTAATTGATTCAGTTCTTCTTGTGATTCATTGTTAAACATCTGTGTGATAATGGAAAAACTCTGAGACAAAGTTTTAAGTTGAATTGGAATGATAATAGAAATATGGAAATTCCTAAACAAACAAAATTTTTTACCTGTTGGGCAAGTATCTTGTACTTGTATAGTAGTTTGTATTAGTTCATTCTCACACTGCTAATAAAGACATACCTGAGACTGGGTAATTTATAAAGAAAAAGAGGTTTAATGGATTCACAGTTCCACATGGCTGGGGAGGCCTCACAATCATGGTGGAAGGTGAAAGAACAGCAAAGGCACATCTTACATGGCAACAGGCAAGAGAGTTTGTGCAGGGGAACTCCCATTTATAAAACCATCAGAGCTCATGACACTTATTCACTGTCATGAGAACAGCATGGGAAAAACCCACCCCCATTACTCAGTTACCTCCCATGAAGTCCCTCCCATGACACATGGGGATTATTACAATTCAAGGTGAGAGTTGGATGGGGACACACAGCCAAACCATGTCATAATTATTAATTCTTGATTAGGTAACATCACTGAAGAAATATAAAATCCAGTTTGTCCTGCAACATTACACAGTGTTTGCATTCTCAGATAAACTGTGCTTGTGATTTATGAGCAAAACTTACATAATCTTGCTTCCACCCATAACAGCATTTCTCAAACTTAAATCACACAGATATGTTGTCTTAGTGCATCTGGACTGCTACAACAAAACACCATAGGCTGGGTGACTTATCAACAACAACAATTTACTTTTCACAGTTTTGGAGGCTGGGATCAATATATCTAGATGAAAACATCAGCAGAGTTGGTGTCCAGTGAGGACTCACTTTCTTGTAGACAGCCCTCTTCTCTCTTCAACCTCACCTGATGGAAGACAGAAAGGGTCTCACTTGAGCCTATATCATAAGGGCACTAATCCCATGCATGAGAGCCCTGTCCTCATAACTTAATCACCTCCATAAGGCCCACCTCTACTACCATTACCTTAGAGGTGAGGATTTTGACATATGAATTTTGGGGGGATGTAAACATTCAAACCATAGCATGTGTGTACCCTTTTCTCAATGTCCAATAGCTCTACTAGTGGAGTGGGAGGCCTTGAGATCTATGTTCAGATTTATAGTTCTAGAGTGCCTGTGCTAAAACTGATTTAGACATTATGGAGCTATTTTGAGCATGTGCATTTTATTTAATGTAGCAAAGCAGTAGAGTTTCTTAACCACTTTGTTATGACCAATCAAGAGGTAGCCATTATTGTCTCCCCACAGATTATTTATTAGTTATAATGGAAAAATAATAACTGTAAAGTGGAGTGACATACATCATCTTGCACAGGTGATCAAGATTAACATCAATGAGGAACAAATGTTTACTATTTGCTCTTAGAATACGCTGAGAAAAATACAACATTATTGATGCAGTGTTCTGGCTTGAAATTCACAACCGAAATCTAATAATGAGGAATTATTAGCTAAATTAGATGAGAAGAAACTGAGTAAAATAATAATAATAATGATTTACTATATCCTTCAAGATCTTCAATGAAAGGCTGTGGTGATACTTGACATTACGTAAAGATTCAAGAGACATGACAAGTAAATTTAATATTTGAACTTTGACTAGATTCCCTACTGGAGAATTTAAAAATGTTATAAAGGATATTATAGTGTCAATTGAAGAAAGTGGAATAAGGATGGTAAACTAGTTAAAATGTCAAATGAATGTTAAATTTACTTCATGAAAACTGTGATTATATAAGATAATAGCCTTTTTATAGGAAATAAACATAGCGGTTTTTATTGGTAAAGGGTCCTGATATATGCAACTTATTATCAAATAGTCAATAAAAAATACATATATGAAATTGAATAAAGGACACACTTGTTTTGTATTATCCTTATAGTTTTACCTTTAATGTAAGCTTAAAATAATTTTAAATAAAAAAACTAAAAAAATCTTTTAAACAGCTATTTATTATTTTTTAAATGGATATGAACCACTTTCCTGAAATTTTAAGAAAAAAAAATAATTAAAAGAAAAAGCCACTGAATTATAGGAACAGAATTCAGAATGAGGGTGGAAGAAAATGTTATATATTTTCAAAATTACCTTTGAATGGATATCAAATGCATGCTAATACAAGTAACTGTAATTTCTTCACACACACAGACACACACACACACACAAACATACAAAGATATATCTGTTGAGTTAGCTTCTTATTACAGAGGAAGGAGGTGAGGCATGGAAAATTTACCTAATTTACCCATATAACTATGTAGAGGTGCAAGCCGAGATTTGAATTCCAAAATATTGATTGTATTCTTTGAATTTCTATTATATTAAACTATTATTGTTGTAGTCCAAATTCTCATTTTACAAATAAGAGAAGTAAGATCTTAAGATATGAAGTGACTTGGCTCACGACATGTGGCCAACTAGTGGACTAGATTACTACTATGACTCAACAATTAATTAAAGGACCATGGATGGAAAAACAATGTAAGTGAAATTGACTTAAATTATTAAATTCCATTGGAATGGCCAAGGCAAACTGATGAGATAGATCAAAACATCTCATTAAAATGAAGTAAAGGAAATCCACAGAATAGAAAAAATATTCGTAATATGTATATCCATAAAAGACTCATATGCAGAATAAGTCCTACTGTAATTACTCAATAAGAAAAAGATTAAATAAAATATTGACAAAATTTTAAATTGACAAAAATTGACAAAATTTAAGCCAGGGAAACTGGCTTAAATACATGATACTAGATTACCATTAAATGACCTTCACTCTTTTGAACATGTAGGAATTCATGATTTATACCTTTTAAACTTTCTTTATTAAAATATATTATACATATAGAAAAGTTCACAAATCATAAGTGGAAAGTTTGGTTAATTTTTATAAAGTGAACAACCCTCATTACCTCCTCCCAGATCAAATAACAAATGAAATGGAACACTACCAGCACCCTAGAATCCCCCAATTTTTCTCTTGCCAAGGGGAACTACTATGCTTGGTTTCCTTATCTCTGTCATCACAGATTAGTGTTTTCTGCTTTTTACACACCAAAAATGACATCAAGAAACATGAGCTCTTCCCCATCACTCTTTTGTTTTGCTCAATATTTGTGACAGTTAAACACATTGTCTGTTGAAGTAATGTATTTATTTTCACCATTGCATATTCTTTGTGACTATATCACCATGCATTTGTTCATATTACTGTTGATGGATATGTGGGTAGTTATGAGTAATATTACTGTGCACATTATTATATGTGTCTTTTAATAAACTTCATATATGCATTTTGCTAAAGATTATGCCTAGGACTAGAATAGCTGGAATGTGCAGCTTTAACAGATACTGCTTAACAATTTTCCAAACTGTTGCATTAAACATTCCCTGTAGGAGAGTTCCAGTTGCTCCTAATCCTCACAGACACGTAAAATTGTCTTTTTCATTTTATTTTAGTTATTTCAATGGGTATGTAGTAGAATCACATTATAATTTTATTCACAGTTCTCTGATGACTAATAAGGTAAAATGCCTTTCCAGATGTAAATTTTCCATATCCTCTAATGAAGTGCCTGATTTTGTCAATATTTTATTTAATCTTTTTCTTGAGTAATTACAGTAGGACTTATTCTGCATATGAGTCTTTTATGGATACACATATTACAAATATTTTTTCTATTCTGTGGATTTCCTTTACTTCATTTTAATGAGATGTTTTGATGAATTAACTCCATTTTATCCATCTTTTCATTTTTCATTAGTGATTATTATGGCCTATTTAAGAAATCTGCACCAACTTATAAGGTCATAAAATAGTATCCCGTTTTTTTCTTCTAGAGTTCTTAATGTGTTATGTTTAAATCTATAGGCCACATGCAAATGGCTTTAGGAAATGGTGTGAAGTAAGGGAATAATTTCTTAGAACTGACTCCATTTCTACTGGGTTTACTATTAGGACCCCATCAGGTGTCTCCTCAGAATGTCTCTGTCCTATTACTATGTTTCTTGTCCAGCCTGGGTGATCATGCTACATTAGTCAAGCTTATCAAAACCCTCTGACATGATTATCAAGAGGGTTACAAATGGGAACCTTAAGAAAAATACACCTGTCTGCCTATGCCTGAATATTGTTTCCTGCTAAAGTATGGGAGGAAATGTTACTGCCTCTGGACTGGGATAATATTCTCTCCAGGAGAAATTTAAACTTGGGACATAAAGTTAGTTTGAGCCAAGCAATATAAGTATGCACTGAATCAGATAGCAAGCATGGGAGCTAAATAATGAGGTCAGAAGGAGACTTGCAAAAGTAATGAGTCTATAAATTTTAGAAATGCAGGCCATTTGAAGAGAGCACTTCAGGACCTCTCTGTGACTTCTGTGTTGAGTTTGATTTGACACAGTTATCTTTTATCCAAGCATGGGTGTTACTTTGATATGGTTGGTTAGGCTTGTAATCAGACAAATTCCCATACTAAGAGGGACATTTATTCTTTCCCCTTTTATTGAAAAATTTGCAGCTGTTCATTTACTTCCCACTTACACAGCATGCCTTCATCTAATTCTTAGTAGTTTCGTTTAAAATTTTGCCTCTCTTAATAGAATTAACATAATACTGCTCCCTTCTTATTCAAGTAATCTGAGATTTTTATGCATTCCCACAGCATCTATTTATCTTTTCATTTAATGAACAGTCTCCACATACATGTTTATAACCTGTAGAGAGCTTTAAATGAAGGTATCAACACTAGCCTAGATAAATTGAACTGCCTTTAGCTCCTCAATTCCCTTACGCTCAAAGCAAGATTTTTTTCTCTGACTTTTTAGCCATTTGAGTTGTCCTGGGTAGTCTCTTGATTAAATATTTTACATTCTTGGAGGCCATTTCACTGCTTCGTGGTAGCCAAGTGGCACAGATAATCACATAATTATTTTGGGGGTAACATTAAGTATCCCAAATAATACTTTCTTTTTTTCTTTTTTTCACTCCAAATTATTTAAACCAATGAACTTGCTCTGGGGTCCCTGAAACACCAAATTTCAATACAGGAGTTAAATACAGTATCAAAGCTCATATATGCAGTACTTTGAGTTTCAAACTCTTCCTAAGCTGAGAAACTATTTTTTGCCTTTGTCCAACATGATTGAGTTATTTCTTTATTTAATTTATCAATACTTACAAAGCACATTTATGCCAGGTTCTCACTTAGGAACTTCACAAGTTAACTAATTTAATGTACCTAACAAAGCTATGAGGTAGCTGCTCTGATGGCTCACGTGTCATAAACAAGGATGCAAATGATATTAAGGTTTTTTTTGTTTGTTTTTTGTTTGAGACAGAGTCTCGCTTTGTCGTCCAGGATGGAGTGCTATGGCGCAGTCTCTGCTCACTGCAACCTCCACCTCCCAGGTTCAAGCTATTCTCCTGCCTCATCCTCCTGAGTACCTAGTACTACAGGTGCCTCCCACCACACCTGGCTAATTTTTGTATTTTTAGTAGAGATGGGGTTTCACCATGTTGGCCAGTCTGGTCTCAAACTCCTGACCTCAAGTAATCCGCCCACCTCGGCCTCCCAAAGTGCTGGGGCTACAGTCGTGAGCCACCACGCCTGGTCTGATATTAAGTTAAATAACAAAATAGCTTGACTAAGGTTTCACACCTCAAAAATGGTGAAACTAGTATTCAAATTAAAAAAGTCTGCCTCCATAGTGCATGCTCTTCAACTGCTATACTGATTTATTTATTTGTTTAGAGACAGGGTGTCTCTCTCATCCAGGCTGAGCAATCTCAGCTCACTGAAGCCTCCACCTTCCAGGTTCAAGTAATTCTCATGCCTCAGGCACCTGAGAATTAGCCAGACATCACACCTGGCTAATTTTATTGTATTTTGAATAGCGATGGGGTTTTACCATGTTGTCCAGGCTGGTCTAGAATTCCTGGCCTCATGTGATCTGCCTGTCTTGGCCTCCCAGAGTGATGGGATTACCGGTGTGAGCCACCTCACCATGCCCGTAATACTGATTTTAAAGCAGAGACCATGTTGGAGAAGAAGGGGCTCACTGTAAACTCTGACCTTTGGTTCCAGTTCTCTCATATTGAGGACCTAATTTTGTTTTAAAAGCTTTATGCTTGCCTTGTTCCTTATCTGATTCTCCTGACCTCTTTTACAATCTGCTCTAGAAATAGAGACACATTATTTTTGTTCCTCCTTTATACTGTATCCTAGAGAGAGCAAAGTCTTGTTCTTGATCTCCAGGCTATGACTGACTGAGACCCTGCTTTCTGGTATCAGACATCACTGATGAAGCCCTTGTATCTATACAGGAGTTAAAGTAAAGTACATGCTTAAGCATATACTTTTGTTCAGTTGCTTTTTCAGGATGCACGAATATGCAACTTTCTGTGCTACATTCACGTTAACCACTCACCTATGAAGTTACTAGCCATCTGCCACCATAATTCTTAAATACTGTGTTCTAGCTACTTAACATAACAGATCTTCATCCTCTGTGTGAAGATAGACCAGTTGTGTTCCTTGGGGGTGGGTAAGAGGTGGGGAAGAGATGAACAAGACACTTTTTATTCAAATATTCAACCTACAATTTAATGAGTGCCAGTGGCTAAGTCTCTTAATCTAATTCTCAGAACCTTGGCTTCTCCATTTATAAAATCTAGATAAAAGATTATACATATTCATTAAAATTCTCCTACAATGTTTGGCATGTGTTTTTATCATTTCTGGATTTTGTCAACTCCAGTTTTCTCCCTGTATCTAAAATAAAATCTTCCATGGCAATATGTTAGCAATATTGATAGTACAATTTCTGGCCATTATATTGAATTAGAAGTCCATTATCCAAGAAGTGTCTTGTTTTTGTATTCCTACAGCTGTCTTCTCTTCAGAGTAAGAATTTAGGAGATTAGTGCTAGGGTAAAACAGAAAGCTGCTATGTAAAATGGAAACAACTAAAATGTGATTTTCTATTATTCCAGTTGCAAGATTTAATAACTTATATCTCTATAAGGATAAACATTTAATCTGCTTCAAAACTAAGGACACGCTGAAGAATCTGAAAAAGCAATCATCATTCATTTCCTCAACAAATATTTGGTGGCTATTTTATGTACCTCATCAGCTACATGAAAAATACTGCTTTACAAAACACAACAGGAATATTTCTTTCTTTTTTGCAATAGTCTAATGGGCCAGAAGACACTTAAGTAAGTCAATGAAAAAGTAATAAATTTTTATCACAATGATGATGGATAAAAATGAGATAAATTAAGAGAGGTTCTTTTTAAACAGGGTGATTAGGGAAGATGTCTGAGGATGACATATTTAAACACTCATATTAGGAAGGAGAAAGATCAAACCATTCACAGGCTAGGTGGAAGAACACTTTTGGTCTTTATCTTACCAAACAATGTTTGGCATAAGCTTTTACTCTCCATTTTACAAGAGACTCGTTTAATTGGCTTCTTATATGCCACACCCTCCTCAAGGTTGCTGTCAAATAATGGCAACCGGGACATTTTGCATTATTTAAGCACATACCCAATAGCTCACAATACTATTATCATCTGAATTCTTGGTAATTTTAATTTATACATTAATAATACTTCAAATGTTCCTGCTTCTCATATCCTTAATCTCATCTCTTCCAATGATTATATCCTCCATTCTACCTACAACATAGCCTGCACTTGTTATTACCAGTATTACCAATCCAGTCATTATTTTCATTTTATACATTCAATAATGTGAAAAGCATCTCTGGCTTTTCAGTTTTCCCCTTCTAGGATCTCAAAACCAACAATCCAAGACTCTATCTGAACTATGTTCATAGTCCCTCAGATCCTTGCTGTCTTCAATTTCTTCCTTATTCAGCTCAAAATCCAAGCTCAAAATCAGTATTAGTCACTCCATTATGTGTCTTGAACTCCTTCCCTGGCCAATCAATTTATCTTTCTCAACAAAACCACAATCCTGATTAAATCTAGGTTTTATTTTTCACTCTTGAACCCAGACAACTTCAGTACCTGGGAAAAACAACAACCACATTTATTGATCTCACTTTAAATTCAAGACCACAGACCACAGGTGACGCTTTAATGCTAACATGCATTCATACTATATATACTTAATTCATTCACTTTCTTATGCTAAAATGTATACAGATGTGTGTTACTTGCTTGAGAAATAAATTATAGTGTGTTCTTATAGCTAGAAAGAAGGCCACAAAACCATATAAACATTTTAGAGGATGCCATTTTCCTTCATATAAGAAATAAAGTCATTTTATTTTTTGCTTTTTTGAGTTTCATTTTATTTCAAATGTGTGCAATGACTAGTGGTTAATACAATTTTCATGCAAATGTGTGCATCTAAAAGAATGTACCCAAATACCTCAAGCTACTGACAATAGAATATACAGAGTTAAATCAAGCCACACAAAGATTATTGCTCTCAGCAAATGAATGGCTTGGGGAAAAAAATAAAAATTGCAGAGAATATTACAAATCCTTTACCTAGTAAAAGGATACACAAACTCTACATGGACTATTTACTAAGTATCAACTTGTGCCTCTGAGATTCTGTGAAAACCCTCAGTTAATTACAACATGGATCTCAGCTCTACCCTCTACAATGAAATAGGTTCTTGCCTACCAGGGTTAGGATTTTAGATATTTAATGTTTCCCTGGTCTGCAAAATGCAATAGGGAATATGTACCAACAGGATAAAAGAGATACCTTCAGATAATAGGCTCTTAATCCCCTCCTTAGGACTTTAAATTAGCCCTAAAAGTTTCTTTGTATTTGTCCCTAGATCTTTAAATCCTGGATAAGCATCAAGGTCTAGAAATATGTTCATGTAAATAAGGAAGAATAACCTTCTTGTGGAACTTTCTGTATTAGTTTGTTTTTGAATTGCTGTAAAGAACTACCTGAGACTGGTTAATGTATTTAAAAAAAGAGGTTTAATTGAGTCACAATTCCACAGGCTGTACAGGAAGCATGACTAGGGAGGCCACAGGAAATTTACAATCATGGCCTAAGGTGAAGAGGACTATGGCACATCCTACATGGCCAGAGCAGGTTAGAAGAGAGAGAGAAAGAGGAGGTGCTACACATGTCCAAACAACCAGATCTCATGGGAACTCTATGTCGCAAACAGAAGGGGGAAGTTTGCCCCCACGTTTCAATCACCTCCCACAAGCCCCTCCTCCAACAATCGGGAAATTACAATTTGACAAGAGATTTGGGTGGGGACACAGAACAAAACCATATCACAGTCCTTCAATTTTTTTCATAGACTTAAACAGTGAATGTCTTGATTCTGTTTTCTTTCTACCCCTCTCTCCTCTATAGACATCCAACATTCTGAAATATTTCTTGTTGCTTTTGGTTTTGATTACCTGCCATGAAGAAAGCAATTTATTACCTTCACACACACTAAAATGTTGGAGTGATAGTATTACGTGTTTCAGAAATGTTGAATTTTTAAAAACTTATGGATAAAAAAACTCTAAAATGGAAGAAATTCTTGAAATTTCAGGCACTTAGGAGACAAAGCTCCAGCTTTCACATGTAAGTTGATGGTTGGATAAGGTTGCTTCTTGATATAGACAAGAGAGTGAGAAACCTGTGTTCCATAATTCAGAATTAAAATATTTTTTCAGATAGGTCTGAGATTTGCAGAACATCTATGAAAAAAATTTTAAGATAAAATTAATTTTAAAAAATTAAAAATATTTTAAAAACAATTAAAATGTTCTTTATCTAATGTTTCAATTTATTTCCTCCATTGCAGAATAAGCTAAGTCTTAGTCATTGTGTTCCCAGACAAATGAAGTCTGGCTGCGTGTTCTTGTGGTCCAACAGTGAGATGCAGACAGACTGAGAAAGAAGGGAGTTTATTGCTACAGCTGGTTACAGGGAGAAGGAGTAACTCGCCAGACCAACTCAAATCTGCAAGTTTTTTCCTTAGCTTATATATACAATTCAAGCTTTATGCCTGTGTGCATCTAATCTTATCTAATCTAAACTAGTTGTCTAGGGTAGGAAAGTTTCTTAGATTTGTTCCTGGATGAACAAGGGTGAGAAATTCCAGGTGCGGTTTTAATGGTTTGTTTTTGTGTTCCAGCCCTGGTATTCAGGAACCAGTTTCTCCAGTTCTTTAATGTTTGACTTGTACATTCATCATTACAGCAAAAGGTTTATGGAGACTTGGCTGCTTGTGGCGATCTGGCCTGCCACAATTGCATGTTATTTTATAAATTGCAACAAATTTGAACCATGCGAACTTCAATGTGCCAACAAGTCTCTCTGCAGGATGTCTTCCATTTGGATGCTGGTATGTCCCCACATTCTCCTGTCTGACATTCTACCTCAGATAGGGTGATCAATCATCCCGATTTCTGAGGATGTTCTGCGAACATGGGACCTCAGTGCTAAAACAGAAACAAAATTCAGGCAAAGAGAGAATGTCCTAAGAAAACTAGGACTAATTGGTTACCCTAATTTTCCTTAAAGCATGTATTTGTACCTTGAATATTGTGCTTAGAATTATATATCTGAACACAGGGTTAGCCTATTAGTTTTAAAGACCACTCAAAAAAAGAGTAAAAGAAAAGAACAGTAATGCAGGCATTTCTACCCTAGGCTACTCTCTAACTCTGCCCCAACTCCTGAAATTGATTTTGTGGGGGAACAAAATGACTCAATAGCAAGGCAATCAATTTCAGAAGTTCTATCATGATTTCTTGTATCTCTACTAGCTTGCTCTTGATTTTTCTCTAAGGATTTACAACAACCTTTCTGAATCTCTATTTTTAATCTGGACCTTTGCCAAACACATGATGTGTCAGGACAAAATAAGTCAACAAAGTCAAGAGCCTAGGCTTTGGAGACAGACAAATCTGAAAATGAATCTTGTAAGGGTCCTTTTTGGCTCATACAACTCTAGATGAGAGTCTATCTACCTGAACTGTAATTACCTCACCTTTTAATGTCTTTTCCTATGAGAAAGAAGAAAAGCACATAAAACTTCTAAAACACAAAAGGTTCTTAGTAAATGGCAATTTTTATTAGAAGTTAGGTTTGTGCGCCGGACGCGGTGGCTCACGCCTGTAATCCCAGCACTTGGGAGGCCGAGGCGGTGGATCACGAGGTCAGGAGATAGAGACCATCCTGGCTAACATTGTGAAACCCCGTCTCTACTGAAAATACAAAAAAATTAGCTGGGCGTGGTGGTGGGCGCCTGTAGTCCCAGCTACTCGGGAGGCTGAGGCAGGAGAATGGCATGAACCCAGGAGGCGGAGCTTGCAGTGAGCCGAGATAGCGCCACTGCACTCCAGCCTGGGTGACAGAGCGAGACTCTGTCACAAAAAAAAAAAAAAAAAGAAGTTAAGTTTGTGTTTTATAAATTAAGAATTTTAAAATTTTAATGGCACAAAATTATATATTTATAGCTTCAGGAGGTACACATAAGAATTCATTATATAAAATTTAATAAAATTATTAGAGTTTACCATTTTAATGTAAGAATTTAAAAATGGATATTTAGGCCTCAGAGATATACATTTGCAGCAGAGAAGCAAAAATGTCATAAGCTATGTAAGTATCTATTCTTGAAAAGGTTTGTGTAATTCCATAGGTCAAATTTTCCCAGAGTCATTAAGTCACTTTAAGAAATTGCGATTCTCTTGCACAATTCCGGATGAAGGGTGATATTGGAAGAATTGTTACATGTTCGCAACTTTCAGGTCCACCATTCTTACTGTCTTTTGTTTGTTTTATAAATCTTCTCCTCTTTAGTTTCTTCAATTTAACTCACTGTTTGATATGCTTGCGTAGCTTTCAATTTTCTTCGAATAGTTCATTGCCTGCCCCCACTAACCCCAGACCAGTATTACTTTGACAATATGGTAATAAATTGGCCTAGTGATAACTAAAAGCCCCCATTTTTATCTCATTTTGTACACAGGCGCGCGCGCACACACACACACACACACACACACACACACGCACTATACAGTCTCACAAACTATACTGATAAGGCATGGGCTGATCCCCAAACTGTTTTGGTACAAACAAATTGTGATGATTGCTTCATTTTAGCTTTTTGTATATCTTTCTAAATATGTCTTTTGGTTATGATCCCACCTCAATATTTCCTAGCAATCTATTCCAACAAGAATGTATATTACATTTAAACACATTAAATAGGGTTTTTAAAACATTAAATCAATGCATTGTTTATTTAACTGGCTATTTCTTTTACCCCCGTAATTATTCATAGGGCTGAAGATTCCAAATGGCCTAACCTACAGTTAATTGGAAATATGATTCATAGTCATAAGCTTTCATGTTCAAAATTACTAAAACTTTTTGTAATAGCTTTTAAAATTAGAAGATGAATTATTTTATGATCAATTTTAATCACAGGAAAAAAACATCATTACAAAGACTGCGTCCACTTTGTAGCTCATAATACGAATGTTAAAACAGTTTCTAAGATTGTCCTAAAGCAACCCATTCATTTCCCAACATGAGGTTCTTAGTCATGAAAAGAATGCGTTGGCAGAAGATGTACAATGGTCTGTAATTCAACTGACTCTTCAATTTAATATTTGAAAATTATTCACTTTCGGCCGTGAGCTATATTGTGTGACAGAGCCCCTGATTGCTCACTTAGCCATGCACTCTTAGCCAATTTAGCCCTAAGCACTTTTCAATAATTCATAATTCCTTAAATGCGTAAATCCCTTGCCCACATTTAGAAGGATAATTTGTGACTATAACTACATTAAATTTCTCACGTTTGCTTATCACAGAACGGCAACATTCAAGACACCAGCTTTCCTCCCCTCTCATTATTATTCTATTGAATAATATATTTTTAATTTAGAATAATCATTTCACAAACAACATTTGCTTATTTTAACTTATTGTTACAATTGTTAAAGTAGCTTTCTTTTCTCCTTGTGTTACACAGCAAGAAATGAAATTAATTATTAACAATTACCTTTAATTTAAAAAGAGTCATGTCCTCATAAGCCACAGTTTTGGAATGAATAAATGATAAAAGCAGATGAATAATATATTGTATCAAACAATCAGTAATTTAGAAAACATCTAGCTGGGCACGGTGGCTCACACCTGTAATCCCAGCACTTTGGGAGGCCGAGGTGGGCAGATCACCTGAGGTGGGAAGCTCAAGACCAGCCTGACCAACATGGAGAAACTCCGTCTCTACTAAAAATACAAAATTAGCTGGGCATGGTGGTGCATGCCTGTAATCCCAGCTACTTGGGAGGCTGAGGCAGAAGAATCGCTTCGACCTGGGAGGCGGAGGTTGTGGTGAGCCGAGATCGCACCATTGCACTCCAGCCTGGGCAACAAGAGTGAAACTCTGTCTCAAAAAAAAAAAAATCTTTAAAACTCTTAGGATAAAATGATAAGTAAGGCATCTCTTTAGGAACACAATGGATCCAATTAAAAAAAAAAGTCTGACTTTTTAAAAAATTTTATAACACAAGTTAATGGGTCTCCTGTTCTGACACTTAGAGCCCACGGGAATTAGCTTAAAGGTATCTCTCAAGCTATTTATAAGACAATCTCAAAGTAGATCAGAGATATTTTCATTCTTCTCTCTTCTACTTTTCTCTATAAGTTTTTGTGATATTATGTTTAGACTTTGTAGTCGCTTTGTGCTATTTTACATGAATGCAACTCTGATAATGCTTTCTCAATATCAGAATTATGCTAACTCATTTCTATATTGGTACAGAGCAGTCATTTGTTGGTGTTATTTCTCTAAGAGAACAATGTTGCTTCAAGGAGATAATCATATGGCACTACTAAACATGTAATTTTTTGATGCAAAAAAATTCTACCATTCTGAAAATAAAAAAGCAGATAATAGATTGCAAAAAATAATTGCAAAGGATATGGAAAATAACGAGTAAATAACTATAATTTTAACAAATCTGAAAAACTAATTAGAAAAAAGGACAGAAAAGCACACAATAGAAAATTGGGGGAAAAACATATAAATAGGCAATTACAGAAGTGGAGAGAAAAATAGCTAGTAAAAGCTCTTTAACTTCTCTAGAAGGCAAGGAAATGAAAATAGAATTTAAAATGAGATACCATGTTTCATCATGTGATTCAATATGAAAGAAAAATCAAGGAGGAAAGAAAGGAAGAAAGGAAGGAAGGGAGAAGTAGGAGAAGGGAGGAAGGAAGGGAGGGAGGGAGGGAAGAAAGGAAGGCAGGGAGGGAGGGAGAAAAGGGAGGGAGGGCGAGAAGGGAGGGAGGGAGATACCTCCATTGTTTCTGGAGATTCAGGGATTAAAACAGGGCATTTTTATTCACTGCTAGTAAAATATGTGTTGTTATACATATTTTATAAACTCTTTAGACTACTGTTAAACATTTCCACTTTGAGGAATAGAAATAAGAATGTTGAAGTATAGACTACAGCATTGTCTTGCTGGGTGAGAGCAAACAGTAAGAAATTTGAATTATTAACAGGGGAACAAACCACTTAGTAAATGATTTTATAGCCAACCATAGATTATTATATAGTCATAAAAAATAACGAGTTAGAGCTTGATTAATTAAACTAAAGGAATTTCTAGTATCATGTTAAGCCAGAATAATAATTGTGCATTATGTTATCCGATAATATTAAAATAAATTATAACATGATTACTCTGAAAAACGATGTTTTAACTTTGGATATGCAGAATGTATGGATGGGACATGGGAGGTCACAAGATGGAAGAGAGGGAACAGGGATAGAGGCACTAACAAATGCACATTAATAAATAAAATGGTTCTGAAAACAGAAACATCATGCATAATATAATCCTATTGTTATAAAGCTATATGTCTATATCTTATAGATATATAGCTCTATCTATAGATAGATAGATAGATAGCTCTATCTATAGATAGATAGATAGATAGCTCTATCTATCTATAGATAGATAGATAGATAGCTCTATCTATCTATCGATAGATAGATAGCTCTATCTATCTATCGATAGATAGATAGCTCTATCTATCTATCGATAGATAGATAGCTCTATCTATCTATCGATAGATAGATAGCGCTATCTATAGATAGATAGATAGCTCTATCTAGATATATATATCTAGCTATTTCTAGATGGATAGAGCTATATATCTATGCTTGTACATAGGCATTAAAGAGTGGTTTTTAAAGAAATGATGTCCATACTTATCCTTGAATGCTGGAATTTCCAGTGAACTTTGACTTTCTTCCTTAATTTTCTCTGTTGCCTTGAGCTTTTGCAGTGATTAACTTGTATCATTTATACAATCAAGAATAAATAGCTATTTGAATTTTATAAAAATAATGTTTCAAAAACAACACTTATTTTTTAACAACTCTGTATGTGATTTGCTTATGCCTAATGTGTTCGATGATCAGATGTGCAAACAAAATTATCTAGATGTGGAAAGCATCTCTCAAAATCTGATGGCCACTCATGATTGTTTTTTTGTGTGTGTGCATGCATGTGTGTGAAGTAGGAGAGGACGTATCCTCCAGAATAAAGAAGAAGCCACTTCCATTTAACCTATCTTCCCTTAAAGAACTACTTCAGGTGTAGTTTTTATGTTCTAATGGCCTGAACAATGTGCACAGCTATGTACCTTTTTGTAACTTATTAAAATTTATATACAATTTTCTCTGGACATTAATTGAGATAAAAACTGGGGAATTTGCTAAAATTCCAAGTAGATTCAGCTCATTCACACTCGAAAGGTAGTTCTCTCCCTGGCTTGAGTGTAAGTTTCCGAGAAGGGTAAATAGATCTTATGCAGCCCACAGGAGAAAACCTTTTCAAACCACACAAAGAGCAGTCAGGGTAACCAGTTCCTGTTTCCAGAAAGATCCTATGGGACCAAAGAAGAGATTCGCTGGAAAGAGAGTGAGTGAGCAACATGCCAAGGCAATAGTTTTAGTCCCTCTAATTAAGTCTTCCAGAATTTTTTTTTTCCTGCTTGTCTGGAGTTATTTTCATCTAAGAATTATTATTTTTTGGCCGGGCGCAGTGGCTCATGCCTGTAATCCCAGCACTTTGGGAGGCCGAGGCGGGCGAATCACCTGAGGTCGGGAGTTCAAGACCAGCCTGACCAACATGGAGAAACCCCGTCTCTACTAAAAATATAAAATTAGCCGGGCATGGTGTTGCATGCCTGTAATCTCAGCTACTCAGGAGGCTGAGGCAGGAGAATCGCTTGAACCCTGGAGGCAGAGGTTGCAGTGAGCCGAGATGGCGCCATTGCACTTCAGCCTGGGCAACAAGAGTGGAACTCTGTCTCAAAAAAAAAAATTAAAAAAGAAGAATTGTCATTATTTTTTATTCTCAGTGCTTAATCCTGGGCCAGGTATTTAGTAGACATTAAATACACACATATCAAATGGAACTATTTAGCTGAATTCATCTTTTGTTTTTGTGGGGTTTGTATTTTTAAGTAAACGTGTGTGTGCTTGCAATTGTTCCATGTAAATTCACCATTTTGCCATCCTTGAATTTAGATCAGGATAGGTATAAATACAACAAATGTGTGAGGAGGAAAATGCATATTGAAATTTGAATGAAACAAATAGAAGTCATGACATTGTCCTCTTTTCTATCATCAAATAAAACATAATTGGATTGTGGGGGAACCCTAAATTAGAATCATTTTAATATGTTTGGGGAATTCAAACAAATAAAAATGTGTATATCCAATGGAAATTTTCATAACTTGCTCTTAAATCCAGCTACTTAGTTCTGAATTATATCTTATAAAATAGGTATGCCAATATACTTCTTCTTTTAAAAATAAATGAGCATATTTTAACTCAACACAAACTTTGTGTTATTTGGGTAGTTTTGTGCAGAACAACCAACTGCAATTTCCAGTGTCAATCAATTCTCTTTTCTAAGGCTTTAATGAAGACATTAAATAGCACCTGAATTCATAGAAGCCCTGGCAGCACTGATTCTGTCTCATATTCTTTGACATTTTATCACAGTGATTGATTTATTCGTTGCCCTCTAGTCTTTTTCTGTAGCCTGGCAAGCCTTTTTTCTCTCTTTTATGACATGATCCAAAATAAGTCCTTTCAAATTAACTTGTGGAAATCAAATTTCATGGAACATGTTTACTAAAGGTCACGTTTATGAAATGTTCTATAATTCTTTTACTATTTGGATTTATATTGAGGAAAACTGAGTTAGGATAATTACTATATTAAATACACCAGACATGCTTGTTGCTCACAATTATTCATTTAATTGGGCTCTTTTTAAAACTGTATTTCAAGTATTAGAACATCAGGTACATAAAGTGCTAATTTCCAGACATGTCATATCATCATAGTTTTATAAAAATCTGCCTCATATATACTTCCTTACCTGTGATATCCATAAAATATATAAATTTTTTCAAATAGATTTTAAAATGTAGCTAACATAGTTTTTAATGAAAAAGAGATCATCGAAAAAGTATGTCATATTTAATGAATATGTCATTGCAGTTTGAGAGCATTGTTTACTGTTTGTTTTGGATTCACTTGCTCTAAAAACCTCAGAGAGATGTACCTCTTAGCCGCCTAGAGGGTCTCAAAGTGTTGGTGTTACAGGAAAGGGGTCCTGATCCAGACCCCAAGAGAGGATTCTTGGATCTCACACAGGAAATAATTCAGGGCAAGTCCACAGTGCAAAGCAAAAGCAAGTTTACTAGGAAAGTAAAGGAATACAAGAATGGCTATTCCATCAACAGAGAAGACTCAAGGGCTGCTGGTTGCCCATTTTTATGGTTATTTCTTGATGATATGCCAAACAAGGGATGAATTATCCATGCCTCCCCTTTTTAGACCCTTTAGAGTAACTTTCTGACATTGCCATGGCATTTGTAAACTGTCATGGAACTGGTGGGAGTGTAGCAGTGAGGATGACCAGAGATCACTTTCATCGCCATCTTTGTTTTGGTGGGTTTGGGCTGGCTTCTTTACTGCAACCTGTTTTATCAGCAAGGTCTCTATGACCTGTATCTTGTGCCAACCTCCTATCTCATTCTATGACTTAGAATGCCTTAACCATCTGGGAATGCAGCCCAGTAGTTCTCAGCCTCATTTTACCTAGCTCCTATTCAAGATGGAGTTGCTTTTGTTTACACACCTCTGACATTTCCCCACTCTGCAACCTAAGGGTTGCAGAGAGGATTCATCTTCTGTAACTTCTTCAGGCTGAATAGGGATAATGATATTCCTGCCTAACAGTGAGGGTCTCTTGTGTTCAGGGTAGAGAAGAGCTCAGTATAAAGCATTAGTATGGAGACAGCCATTCATGACTCATGATTTCTGACAAGAAGTGACATCTGGAAGATTAGTAAGTGTTCAGTTTAAGAAAACACTTAATAAGCTTGTCCTGCATTCTTCCATAAAGAGTACAATGGCAATATATTTCACAATAGTAAAGCAAAATAAGTAAAATTGTCCCAAGTAAACTAAGTAAGAAGGCTTTCCATGAACTGCGCAACTGTTGGAACCAAGTTGTTATTGGGTTGCTAGCCAATTCCAGTGTGCCCAGAATTAGAATACTGATTCAGATTTTTATATTACCCACCCCTCTTGTTTCTTCTGTGTAGTAGCCAGAGATGACTGTTTGGTTCATGGGAATAAGCAGGGTTTGCCTAAATTGCAGAAAAAAACTAAAACAACTGTTGAGACTAGAATTTAATAATGAGTGTACCATAGTTCTTGAAACATAATATTCCTCTCTCCAGTTCCCAATTTTTTGATTATTTTTATAAAGTGCAGCAAGAATAATTATTTCACATAAGTTCTTTTTAAATTGGCTTATTGGAAATCTGTTCCATAGAAGGAACATCAGATAAGGACTTTTTTAAAGCCAAGCCCAGCCATGGGCTTGTACCCTTAAATGCCTATGAGTTGAGTAAATTCCTCTCTTCTTGGGTTTCCAAGATAACTTAGGGCTCCAGGACCTGTTAGAATGTGACATTACTTACCATAGGTCAGAAACCCTGTACAGGGACTGTACAGGCAAGGTATGAGACCAGTTCCCAAGGGGCTTTTATTGGCTCTACAAGTCAAATTTGATTCCTTAAAGATAAGCATGCCATTACAGTTAAAGCCTTGGTAAAACAACCAGTTTCTCCAATTGTGTCCTGTTTCAAAAGAAAAGAGATTCTTATTGCACTTATGCAAATAACTATATTGCCATTAGTTAAGAATGCTCACAAATAGTTTCCAAATTCTGGAGAAATCAGGTAGAGAGAAACAAAAGCTCCAAATTTTGTTCACAGGAGTATACCTTAATTAATTGCTACAAGCTGTAAAGAGCTCAAAAGGAAAGTTTTCTTGACTCTGAAAAACAAAACATAGGATTAGCAATGTTTTAAGCAGTTAGACCTCTATTAGTTTAGTCCATGCAATTAACTTGTTTGATATTCATCAACATTTCAGCTCTCTATGAGAGTCTTGAATGTTTTCCCTCTATTGTGATGTTACAATCTCCAAAATTATCAGAAAATCTGCATTTAAGTACATCTGTTAAGAGTTCTATAGCTGACTATAAACCAACCTTCTAAAGAGAACCAAAACAAGACAACACGTGTCTGTGGATGACAAAAAGTCTTAGGACAGCCAATGTTAAAGTCACAATTGAAAAGAAAATTTGGTTACTTCTGTGGCATATAACAATTTTACATAACAATTATAACACTTAATAATATACACTAAGTCATATCAGAATTATAGGAGTTTCCCGTTATTTTGGAACATATACGAGTAACACATTTGTACAAATATAGCACAAAGAAAGCCAAACACTGTTTCATATATGATAATGTTTCCTGTTCGATTTTTTAACTCCCTAAATTTTATATACTCTAAGACCCTCCTAAGTTGGGCCTCTAACCCAAGGCTGGTCAGGTGTCCTTGCATTTTATTAAGAGGGGCCTCTAACCCACTCTGTCTTAGAAGAGACTCTAACTCCTGTAAGTTGGGCCTCTAACCCAATCTCATTCTTTACCCAGGTACCCCACCACTTACCAAAAGTCAGCTGATCAGTGCTGCAGCCTATTTCCTTTGGTTTTGGAGGTGGGGGGGTCTCCTCAGTATCATCTCTTCCGTGGTTCACAGAAAGATGTTACTGGACCCCATCACTTACCCAAAGTTAGCCATCGGGTAGGGGGTTTCCACTGTCTAGTCGCTTCTGTGGTTACCAGATAGATGTTACAGGAAACGGGCCCCAGTCCGGACCCCAAGGGAGAGTTCTTGGATCTTGCACAAGAAATAATTCAGGTTGAGTTCACAGTGCAAAGCAAAAGCAAGTTTACTAGGAAAGTAAAGGAATAAAAGAATGACTACTCCATAGACAGAGCAGCCCTGAGGGCTGCTGGTTGCCCATTTTTATGGTTATTTCTTGATGATATGCTTAACAAGGGTGGATTATTCATGCCTCACCTTTTTAGACCATATAGGGTAACTTCCTGATGTTAGCATTTGTAAACTGTCATGGTGCTGGTGGGAGTGTAGCAGTGAGGATGACCAGAGGTCACTCTCATCACCATGTTGGTTTTGGTGGGTTTGGGCTGGCTTCTTTACTGCAACCTGCTTTATCAACAAGGTCTTTATGACCTGTGTCTTGTGCCAACCTCCTATCTCATCCAGTGACTTAGAATGCCTTAACTGTCTGGGAGTGCAGCCCAGTAGGTCTCACCGTCATCTTACCTAGCTCCTATTCAAGATGGAGTTGCTCTGATTTACAAACCTCTGACAATAGAAGATATTATTTGCTGGATGATCTATTGTATGGTTTCTAGGACTGGAATACTAAGACATGCCTCATTGTATGTCTTCTTAACACCTTGGATTTTTTTTAAAGATATCTGAAGGCCAATGTTAAATAAATACATATTATATGGGAAAGAAAGATCATGGAGGGATTTCAGCACCCTCTGCTTAATTTATGATCCATTTCATTAATAAAGAAAGTGACTTATTGGGGGCTAATACTCTATTTAATGAACAGACCACCTGTTGGATAGGAGGTGGTTTGCTTTGAGGAGCAGGTTATCCTGATAAGGAAAGTCAAGAGACTGGCAACTTTAAAGAAAGCTAGATGTGGTTAAGGAATTATTCAGGGAGACCCAGACAGTCAGATAACAGTTGGACTGCATCACAAAAGGAACAAAGCCTTTATGGTGGGGGGAAAGGTGGTTTCTGTGTCATATTTTCTAAGATGTATCAGATCTCGTTCTATGTTAAATAAAGCAAAGAGAGTTCAAGTAGATACCCAAGTAGAGACAGTAATATGTGTGTAAAAAAACATCAGTTTTAGTGTCAGAGGATCTGGGTGTTCACAAAAAGAGCCAACCTCTGTAAAATATTTAAAGAGATTTATTCTGAACCCAGTATGAGTGACCACAGCCTAAGGCACAATCTCAAAGGGTCTTGAGAACATATGCCCAAGATGAGTGGGTTATTGCTTGATTTTATGTTTTTGGGAGGCATAAGACATCAATCAATACATGTGAGGTATACATTGGTATGGTCCAGAAAGGTGGGGCAACTAGAAGTAGGATGAGGGACTTACAGGTCATAGGTGGATTCAAAGACTTTCTGATTGGCAATTGGTTGAAAGAGTTATTATGTAAAAATCTGGAACCAATAGAAAGGAGTGTAGGATTAAGCTAAGAGTTTGTGGAGACCAAGGTTTTTGTTATACAGATAAAGTCTCATAGGTGGCTGCTCTCAGAGACAACAGATGGCAAATGTTTCCTACTCAAATCTTTAAAAGTTGCTGGACTCTCAGTTCATCTCTGTAGGATTGGGAAGGTCTTTAAGGGAAACGATCTAGTTATGTTAATAGAGATTCTTTACAGATGCAAATTTCCCCCAACAAAAGACTTCTTTGCAGGTCCATTTCAAAAGATGGCAGAGAATCATATTTTAGGGTAAAGTGTTTTGACATCCTTATTTGTCTGTCACGTGATATTATGCCAGAGTCAGGTTGGAAAGTAAGCCAAATTATATAGGGTTAAATAAAACTCGCTTGATAAGACATTATGGTTTGTAGGGTGTGACTTCCCAGTTCCCTTAGATAGGAATTTGGGCAAGAGAGAAAAAAGGTCAGAATTTAGTTCTCATGGGTCTAATTACCAAATTTATCATTTATATTAGCCATGATATTTAGCCATTCTGAACTTCATTTCAGAAGTTCAGGAAAATGAAGATAGTCAAATCTAACTCACAGGTGAGAATGTAAGTTAAATGGCACAGCACATATGGAAAATCCTTTAACAAATGCTAGTTTCCTAATAAAAAATGCAAATGTTAACTGTAATTGTAGTTGCCTGAATAATCTAAGGGAAGAGAAGTCATCATTCTTTTTAAACAGTATTTGGAGCTTTTTCTTGAATAACCCAAGATAGATATATAGATATTACAAAAGAAGATATAGATAGATTTAAAAAAAAGAATACACACACACACACACACACACACACACACACATATATACATTATTTCCCTCTATTCAAATATAAACTGGGTGGCAGCTTAAAGACTAGTTTTAAGACATACATATAATTTACTTTCGTTGCTCTTCCATATCTACTGGGAAATCCAAAGCCCTTCCCTAGATTTCTGTGAATTCCCAGAGGCTTACATTCTCCGTTTTTTATTTAGCCCTTCTTGCTCACCTCTCATTTTCACCTGAGTTTCACCTCTAGTGTCTGGGCCAAGATTTGTACCATAGTCCCTCAAAAGCACACTAACAACAAGGTATGTGTGTGTAGTGTGCTTGAATGAAGTTGATGAGACTTTAATGAGCTGTGAGTATAAATAACCTTTAATTAACTTTGTTACCCAAATATTTATTAATCTTGTGATCTATGTGCAAGACTGGTAATACTAGTTTTAACCTCTGTCCTTTACTTCTCAAAATTTGTTACCTATTTGAAAAATAAAATATTATTCTTTTTTTTCTTCCATACCCTATTTTCTTGCTCTGAGTATTCTCAATATTCAAAACTTCACCTACAAGTATAAAGATTTATGCGTTTCGTAGAGCTAGTAAAAAGAACTGGCTTTACTCATTTCATAAAATCACTTGAAAGGCTCTTTAAGGATGTAAAATCAAGTTCGGAATTTTCAGATGACAATAGATTTGAACCATCTTACTACAAATATTTGTTTGTTTTTCTCTTGTCTGTTTGTTGCCATAAGATAGCTTATAATTTTATAATGTCTCAATCATAAATAACTTTTCTTCATAAAATTCTTGAACTAGTATTGATATGGACAGGAGACAGTGAAATACTGGGTAGAAGAGGGTGGGTGCCTGGCGAGGGTTCCACCCTCAATCCTGGACCTGGGGACCAAAATGAAAACTTTCCATCTCTTTTTTCACACCCGAATGTTGCCATTTCCAAAACCACTCTGGCCCACCCCGCCCCCCACCCTGAACCCATAAAAATCCTAAGCTCCACTGGCAGAAGAGCAGAGCGGAGGGGCAGAGGAGAGAAGAAAAGAAGCAGCTGGACGTCGAAGAGAAGCAGCTTGACTTCAGAGGGACGGCTTGATGGTAAGACGTCAAAGAAGAGTTTGGCCAGGGATGGCCACACTCCAGGGGAAGATTATTTTCCCACTCCATCCCTTTTCCAGCTGCTTCCCTTCCTGCTTAGAGCCTCTCCCCCCACTCAGTAAAATCCTCCATATACACTACCCTTCTATTTATTCCTGTGACCTGATTCGTCCTGGATGCCACACAAGAACTCGGGTACCAAGAGGGCAGGGTGTAAAAGGCTGTCACCTAGACCCTCCAGTGAGCTGGTTTAACACTTAGCCATCTGAGGACAGCAAATGCCAAATAAGCACTGATTGTAACATATGCCCTCGTGGGATCTGGGGTTCGTAGATACCCTTTCTGGAGCAGCAGGGCTAAAAGAACATTGTAACATGCTTGGACGCTGCCGCAGGGCCCGCACAGAGCCTGCTCCCACCAGGAAGGAATAACCGGCCAGTTCCAGCATTTGTTTGCCCCACTTCGTGCACCCACTCACCTAAGTGCTCCTTATCCGGTGAGGGGTTCAGAGCTGCAGGCTGAGTAAGTGAGCCACCCTTTCACGATTCCCGCGAAGGGGTCAAGGGAAATATCCTGTCTCAGTATCATGGTTAATTTTATGTGTCAACTTGATTGTGTTAGGAGATAAACAGCTGATAAAACATTATATCTGGGTGTATCTATGAAGGTCTTTCTGGAAGAGATTAGTATAAGAATCAATGGAAGGATTTAACAATATCTCCTCTCACCAACGTGGGCAGACATCATCCGAACTATTGAGGGCTCAGATAAAAAAAAAAGTGCAGAGGAAGGGTGAATTTGGACTTTCGTCTTGAGCTGAATGTAAGCCCCCAACCCCCAACCTGGTTTTCAGGCCTTGGGCCCCAGACTGAGAGTTACATCATTAGCTCCACTGGTTCTCTGGTCTTCAGACTAAGAGTGAATTACATAACCAACTCCCCTGGCTCTCCAGCTTGTAGACGGCATATTGTGGAACTTCTCAACCTCTATAATAATGTGAGTCAATCCCCATCATTAATTTTTTTGTATATATCTCCCCATATATCCTATTGGTTCCGTTTTGCTGGAAAACTCTAACACAACCAGTACAAATTTATTGCCTTGCAGATTGCCTTTCTTATACTAAAAAAATTAGGTTACAATTGTTCTAGTTATGTCCTTTAATGCTTTTCCTTTGTACATATTTATATTGGTTGAAATATGCAATGATTTTACTTTTCAGCATACTAGTTTCATTTCTTGATCTATCATCTCTATATCTTTGTCTACATATTTGTTATAAAACGGGTACAAACATATTGAGTTCCTATTGCAACCATTAATAATGTGTTGGCTTATTTATATTATTTTGAGTAATAATGCTATGTGGGCTTAAAATGTACTTTATTCGAATTCACTTGAATTCCCATTCTTCTTTAAAAAGGGTTTCATAACCTTGGCTCAAATTCTGCTTTAGTAACTCACCATCAGTGTAACTTCTGACAATTTACCTAACCTACCAAACCCTGAAATTATCTACTTTGGACACTTGATGTTATAGTGCAGTCAGTGCTTATAACAACTTAGTTCCTCTTACATTCTTTCTTGTCCATCCTTTCTCTTATTTTTTTTTTGTTCATCTCTTCCTTTCCTTTTCCTATAAATTCTTCAACTTTTTTTTTTTTTCTGAGGTAGAGCTTGTGCCTCACCCTCCTATGTAGCTGGATTACAGATTTGTGCCACCATGCCTGGTTAATTTTTGTATCATTTTAGTAGAGAGAGAGTTTCACCATGTTGGCCAGGCTGTTCTCGAACTCCTAGGCTCAAGTCATCTGCCCCGTCTGGCAGCAGTGCTGACATTACAGGGATGAGTCACGGTGCTTGGCAATTCTTCAACTTTTGAGAATTTTGAGTCTCATATCTTTCACAAAGTCTGTCTTGATAATCAAAGCTATCTACCATTTGAAAAGTGTTTCCTAGAACTTACCCAATTCTTCATTATAAACTGAATTTAGTGTCTTCATTGTCCTGTAAGTGTGAATTTTCTTCTCTCAGTAAGATTATAGTAAGGTAGTAAAATATCTTGCTATGGGGCTTGTCATAAATATCTTTATATAATTCTCCCTTTGTCAAGGGCAGTATGTTGCATATTGAAATCACCCAGTAAATATTTCTTATTGTTTTTATTTGTATTTACTTTGAAAATATGTGATGAATTTCATGAATAGTGTTCATTGATAAAGTTGTATGAAAATCACTGGCCCAAAGTGCTCAGGTCATTTCCCATATCTGAGACAGCTTTGCAAATATGTATCATTTTGATAACCAGTCTGATCTGAGAAAATTAAACCATGTCATTCAAAACATGTCCTCCCCAAATTTAAGAAACATTAGGTCAATCTCCTGGTTAAATAATAGCTGTATGTTTTAGTCGATTTTGAAATATTATGTAATCATTTGAAATTATAAGCTTCTGGCCCACAACTTGACTGACAAATACCTGTTTCATTATTTTTAACTAGCCTTTGTTGGACTACATATCTCCAAAGACAAAAGAAAGATAAAAGTTGAAATAATCCAACAGTTATCCTACACAAAAGTATGACAAAATTACCGTTGCAGAAATTGAACTCATCAAGCCTGAACTTTTGACTTTGAACAATTACATGGAAGAGTGCCACCATGGTGAACTGTCAGACCTGTACAGCATCACAGCCAACTCTATACACAAACAAGGGTGGGCTGTATTCTGACCATTATTGGAATAAATTATCCTGATTACCTAATGTCTCTTCACACCCACTAAATTATTTATTATTATTATATTTTTACACTGCCATCAAATTAAAGTTGCTAAAACACAACTTTGCTCATGTTCAAAATTTCTATAGTGTGCCTCAACAATCACTAACTAATCTTCAGAATTAATTACCTACTAATTTGTTTTTGACATATTTATAAACTTAATTTCTTATCATAACTCATGCCAAACCATCCTGCTCTGAATACTCACAACTTTCTATGACCTTTGATTTTCTGCCTTTTATAAACCAGAGCGCCATTAGTTCGGTCTGAATGAGTAATTTCCTCTGTAAGCAGCAGGACCCTCAGAGCTTATATTCTTCAAGGCATTGGCTAATGGGGGTTCCTCACACACAGCAAGTCTAACTGTGGCTCAGGCTTTCCCCTAACTGATGTGCCAGCAGCAGATTTCATGTTTTTCTAGGCTCACCAGGAGATAGAATTTGCTTATATTAGTCTGTTATAAAATTTGTCATTGTTTGTTATTGAGAGGTAGAATAATCAAAGTAAAATCTTCTTATATTCAATGGAGGGAGTGGAATTGTCCTGAGCATGAAAGAAGATGGAAAGCACCTTGTGAAATCATACCACAGTTGTTCATAAGCACAAGAACTTTATAAATTCCCAGAAGCGAATGCTGACTGCTGGGAGCTGAGCTCCAGTTTCTTAGGTAGAAAGAAAATCCAGTGAAACCATGATGAACTCTGCCTCTGTATCTGTAAGAAGAGGTGTTCTGTGGGAACCTGGGTTGTAATTATTGTTCTAAAATAACAATTTTCCCAAATCGTACCTCTGTTATAAGCAGCTGTTCTCTCACATTATTCTACAAAAGGCATATATTTCTATACTTTCATTAATCTTTTACCTTTTCTAGAAATCTCATGTCTGCCCCCTCCTACAATCAAATCTGACTCATTCTTCAAGGCTCAGCTGCAGACTAAACTTTATACAAAGCTTTTCCTTATAATCTTTTTAATCTTATGATCGTCAGTCCTTATTTGTTATTGTTTCCTCATAATTCTATTTAATTGCATCTGTCTTTGAGTTGTTCATTTCAAATAGGTTGGAGGTTTTTCCTCAGTTAGATCTTCAGCTGATTTAGAGAATGACTTTATCTATTACAGGACTCATGCAGCAAGTCAGGGCTCCACAATGCTTTAGATGGAGGGCAAGCCCTACAATTAGAGTGTCCCGGTTGAACCTTAGAGCTATCAATTGTTAGCTGGCTATGTGAAACTGTGCAAGGTATTAATCTCTGTTCCTTATCTGCACAGTGAAGATAATGAAACCTCCCTCAAAGGATTTTATAAAGATTACATAAGTTATTCCAGATAAACATTTAAATAGTGCTTGGCATGTAAGATAGGAAGTCTAAATGTTAGCTATTCTTATTAATATTGATTTTTGTCAGTTTTACTTTACCTTTAAATGAGGTAATCACTGTCATTGAACACAAAGAAAAAAAATACATATATATATGCTCTGCAAGTATCTACATAAATAAATGAGCAACCAACCCTGAGAGTCAAGAATTCTGGGAAGGAGGTTATATAACCCTTGCATGTGTGCCTTTACTTTGATAGCAATTAGCAGTACAATGTAGTTAGTGTAAAAGCACAAATCAGACAGAATGGGTTCAAATATCAGCTCTGTTAGTGGTGTTTACCCAAGGAAATAATTTATGGAGAATTTCAAATGTATACAGAAGTAGATGGAATAGTATACTCCCATCTACCAATTAAGCTTCATGTTTAATTTTTGGAATGATTCTGTATCAAATAACACCCTCCAAGGAGAAGGGAAGAAATGTGTTAGCTAGCAATGCATTAAAATTTAGAGAACTATATAGATTCAGAGTAAAGTATTATTTTACTTATGGAGAAAAATCTCTTAAAATAGAACCCTCAAAACATCATATATCTCCATTTGGCAGAGTGCGTAGCCATCATTTGTTTCTTGGAGAAAAAAATAAAAAGATAAAGCAACAAGTTAAGTTCCAAGGTTTGCTAAAGCAAACCAGAGTAAATAAGCGCATAAAGGTGTATGTAACCTTTTCTGATTTCAGGTTTTATTCTCTCCAATCTCCTATGTATCTTGCTTCTTCAGCTACTATCTTAAATGAGAATATATGAATGAATTTTGGCCTTGCAACTCCTGATACTTTGGATAAATCAAGGCAGAAAATAGAGCTCAGAAAATGTAAAATATTTCTGGCAATAAGCAAAAAAATAACTACAGATTTTTTTTCTTCATATCCTGTGGTATCAAATAATTTTAATTAGCCAGAATTCCCAATTCCTGGATCATTCTCACTCAGGAAATATCTACAGACATTCTAGCCTTGAAACCTTGCTGTTCAATACAGTCACTGCCACAAGGGCCAACCGAATATTTGAAATGTGGCTGATGTGACTGAGGAACTCTTTTTAATATTACTTAATTTTAATTAATTTAATTTTAAAATAAAATAGATTGAATTATTGGAAAAAAATTTAAGCATCTTTGGAATGATTGGGTATGTGAATCTACACTTGTAATTGTAAATTTCATGATATTTGATTAGTATTTCCAGTTAAAATTTAGTATCTGGATTAAGATGTGTTCTAAGAGAAGTATTTCATTAACATTGCTGTATTGATTACATGTTATACTGATGGTATTTTGGATACATTGTATTCAACAAAGTGTTACTTATAACAGTCTCACCTGTTTCTCTTTGCCTTTTTTAATGTGGTTACTAGAAAACGTAAAATTATGTATATTTTTTAATATTTCCTAATACGTATTATTTAATTATTAAATATTTCTCGTTGACAATGCTGCCCTGAATAGTTTACAATATAACTGCAAATAAAGTCTGCCAGTTTCTCACTCTCTTCCTTCTTGTTTTTTCCTCCTTGTTTTTTCGTTCTTTCCTAGAGTTCAGATCATCTTTGGCTTTACAGAGCAAACATACTTTCCAATAAACGCGTATGTCATCATACCCAATGACTCGCTGAAATAACCAGACAGTTTACATAAACCAATCAACAGCAGACACATCCAGCATATTTTTAGTTAGTTAAGAATCTGTATGTTTTATGAGTGGACTTTTATTACTGTCCAGATTCAGTCTGAGGCAAAATGGTGATACTAATAGTTGAGTCCTGTTTGTTTCCTTCTACGTTAGTTTCCTCCTTCATGGAAACCCCACCTACCTCCCTGTTGCAGTATCTAGTGTCCTAAGGAACACTTCTCAGAAAGGTCTGCTTAAAATATTATGTTTAAGCAATGGCTTAAAGATAATAGCTTAAAGATCATGTACTTTGACTTAACCTGCCCCCTTATCTGCATTTGCCAATCTTACACACTGTTCTCTATGGTGCTAACAGAGTAATCTGTCTAAACTGCAAATTCATCCACATCACTCTTCCTGCCTAAAAGTACAGAGGAAAAAAACTCAAATGTAGCATAGGAAATAGGCCAGTCCATGAGCTAGGCCTTACCTTTCTTTCACTCCTGGGGCTTCCTGCTTTGCACTTTATGCCCTAATAACACTGAACAGAACAAACATTTCACGCCTCAGTGCTTTATCTCAAGCCATTTCCTTTGCCTGCAACACCCTTTGACTTTTCAAATATGTGCAACTGTTGTAACATAATGATGCAGAATAATCTCTACCTTAGAAATAATTTGTTTGCAAACAAATAAACAAAACAAACAAAAGCTCGATCAAGGTGATCTCAGATAAGGGTGACTTATTTCCAGTATGTAACAGTATATTACAACCCTGAGGGAAAAAAAGTATAAACGAAATTCATCAGAGCTTATTTTTCACTCAGTTCTTCTTTTTCCTTTGCCTGCAGAATGACATTTTTTTTTTCTGTTGCTTCTTTTGGTTTCAAAAGGCCTACAGTGGTGTCAACAACTCCTGAGTCTAAAATAACTTTGAGATCCAGGACCTATTAACCTTCTAGGGCTTTCAGGATTCCAATTCCAAGGATTCCCAAGGGATAATCTGCTTGGGTTAAACTCCCTTTTTCTGTTGGTGAGAAGGTAAAAAAACAACAACCAAAAAATCTCTACATATGGGATTTTGATTAAAGGAAAAATTAGCAACATACCTAGTACATTGTGTTATCTTTGGAAAGAGAGCAATGATTTAAACTACTTACTATGGAAATTATTCCCCACTTATCTTTAATATATGCACTAGAAATTTGGAAAATATACAAAATTGATAGCCAATGGTTAATGCTTTTATTTTTAATTATTTTAAAAATATTATATTTAATAAATAGCATTATATTAATAAATATAAATTACTATATCCAGAAATGGGCAAGTAACCATTAAATATGTATTCAATCTGCAAAACAATATGGATGGGCAGTCAGAGCACATTTCAAGGCCTATGAAATTAGATTCAGAGAGGTTAAATACTTTGTTCAAGTCTTCACATTTAGTATGTAGCACAGCCAAGAGTCAAACATCAATCTGACCATAATTTCTATGCTTTCTTTGAATAGTGGAGTCATTCCCCAATCAAAGAGGCATGTGATCTTGGATCTATGTTGGTAGTAATGTTCTATAGTGACGCATCCCCAAAGATTTAGGGAAAATAAAATAAATTCGTAATAATAGTAATAGAAAAACAGCAAACACTTAACAATGCTCACCAGTTAGCAGACACTCCTTTAAGCATTTTTACATATATTAACTCATTTAATCCTCACAATAAGGCAATAGGGCAGCTTCCATTACTTCCCCTGAGAAGGAAACTAAATCAACTCATAATGGATCACAGATAAGAAATGGAACATAATGTTAAATATCCAAGGAACCCAGAGGCCAGATACTCTTAACTGTAAAATGTGAATATATTAGGAAATACGAAGTTGTATTAATCAGCAGGAAAGTTATGAGCGATGTCCATAACCTAAACATGAAGACAGAGAATCAGAATAGTTACAGAGATTAATTAGAATTGCCTCTTCTAAATGTATTATTTTTCCCAAAAGAGTGTTCTACTGACACAAAAATCCACTTGTCTGAGTATAAGGATAATTTTAAAGATTTGTCACTGAATTTTAGCCTCATACCATTAATCATTCAAATCATATAATTAACCCCCCTTGCTTTGATTCTGTGTTCACCCAGCAAGTTTTAATTACACTGTATTTTCCTACATGGATTTCTCAGCCGTAAGAGACTGTGATATTTAGAGAGATTAAATGTACCCTCTCTAAAATTGTTTGTAATTTCAGATTAACAAATTCTCATTAATGTTACACAACAGTAACGTCAGTTGGTAACGCACTTCTCTATGTGTACTGTCAAACAGAACTTTAATATTCCAATGAAAAGGCTGACCACGATGATTTATGAGAGGTATTTCACCAAGAGCCCAGCTTAAGTCCTTGTGAGAAATTTCAGTGGATGCCATAGCAATACGCAATAACATGTTTGGTTTCTTTTCCCCACTGCTAGAACTAATTGCTAAGCTTTGTCCATCATTTCTTAAAAATCACCCCTGAATGAATCCCATCTTCCTTCCAGTTTGCCATTGCCATTTTGGTGGCTGAGATCATCAATAAATAATACCGTGGACATCACAAGAGGGTCTTCTCTGCTTCTCCGGAAAGCAGAGAAGACCTCCTTTCTCTAGCACACCACTTTGAAAATAAACTTCTAAAATATTGATTGACCCCTTATTCTTTAACAACTCTCCATACTCAGTATGATAAAATGTCAAATCATACAAATTAGTATCTAATCATTATTCTTGAAAAACTCATAGTTTCCAGATAGCAGCTTGTATTTCAGAATCTGTATATATTTTTGTAAAATGGAATGTCTTGATTATTTTCTCAGTTAAGTATACTCAGAAAATGAGAGAAAACATAAAGGATTTAAACATTTTCTGTGATTCTACCACTCAGGCAAAGACTTGTATTTTTGAAGGATATTTAACTTTTTATCTTGTTAATGATTTGTACACCTCCCTTAGTAGTTCTATCTTCAGACCCTTCCTCCATTTTATCTTGGGCTTTGAATTTTTATTCATTTCTAAAATCACCTTTTCTATTAATTGTATTAGAGTTTTCCCATATATGTGACATTATTTTATCGGTGTGACATTCTCTTTTTAATGTTTAAGCTGTTCTTACTGCAGTAAAGACATACACAATTTAAGAGCATGAGATCTGGTGACAAAATTCCTGAGTTTAAAACCTGGCATCTTCATTTACTAACTGAATGTCCTTAGTCTATATACTCCAGTTTTCTCAACTACAAAATGAGAATATTAATATTGATTTGTGGAAAACTTAAATAAGTTAATATATATAAAATTCTTAGAAGAATGCCTGGTACAATGCAAAGATTTAGTCAATTCCATTATTACCATGATAATAGTAATTATAATTATAGGAACTAATGAGAATGGTATTGATATTGTTGGTAATTATGATTGTGATAACATTGACAGTTACAATGATACTCTAAATTCCAGTATCTTTTTTTCCTGTAATTAAACTTTTTTAAAAATGTCTGAACTCAATAGGTGTTTCTTCAATGTGATGTTTCAACTACTTGGGTGCAGGGACTATCATTCCTATGTCACTGAAGATGCCTCAAATTGTATTTTTCCATATAGCAGGTAACTGACAATATAAAAGGGAATATTTATTGCAGTGTTACCTCCCAGTTATTACTCTCAATATTTTTTTTATGTATTAGGCTATTTAGTCCTCAAAAGAATCCAACAAATTAAGTACAATTATTATCGCAGTTTTAGAGATCAAAAAATTAAGACACAGAATTATTAAGTAACTTGGCCAAACTTCCTAGCTAGTTGGTGGCATTGCTCTGGTGTCTAAGCCATTAACCACAGTGATGCTATTTTTTGGTAGTAGATATTTAAGAATTGTTTAAGAAATATTTAGGTGACAGTCTGGCTTTTGTAGTATAGCATTGTATTCTTTTGTAATGGATGATTGTTAGTATATAGCATTAATATATGTACAAAAGTACATATTGTTTAATATTTTAACATTTCCAACATATTTAATAAATTATCTTTCTGCTCTCCAAGTTGTAGCTTTTAAAAACAGTAAAACAAGATTCAGTACTACAGAATCTTTTTTGCTTCCATCAAATGAATACAATTCTAAAACATTTAAAGAGAAAATTAAAAAAGATCATAGCTAATCGAGCAATCTCCTGATTACTTAAAAGCATCAGAGATCCAAATATATAGAAATCAGTCTAGCTTTCCATTTTGCTTTGTTTTGCTTTCTGTCTAAAGGAACATAATTTAACCTGCCAATGACATAGCTTGTCTATAATCTTAACTTTTCTGATTCCACCTGACAGATATTGAAGAGATCAGTGCCACAAATATTTCATTGCAAAGAAAGAAACTAATTGTTCTATCAATTTACAGAGTGACATTTTCACAACAAATACTATTTTGAAGATTTTGCTGCCTGAGCTGTCCAAGGTGCCCTGCTTCTGTTCTCAAAGTATCTAAATCCTACTTAAACTTTCATAGCTCCTCAATCTTCCATGAAGCCTTTCATGATGGCTAGTCACTTCAGACTACTTTTCTGTGAAATCTGTGGTAACATTTCTCCACTGAACTCTTTATGTTTTACTAGGAATTTAGATACAGTTTTGAAGTTCATTATTAATGTGGAGTTTAATCGCTTTAACAAATAATTAGCAATTTATGGTTGAGCAAATTTTTTTCCAAATTTGAATTCTTTGCGTTCTCAACTAGATTCTGTTTCTTTCACAAAAGTCTCATTCATGTAAAGCTGTTTCAGAGAATAACAGACTGGGAATAAAATATATATATATATATATGAGATACACAAGGACAGTAACATTCTCTGGATTAATTCCCAAACAGGTTCATTACAGCAATACCAATTTAGTGTAAGTCTGCTTCTGAAGCTAGGAGTTTCCATCCTAAGCATGGTCTCAGCTATCCTCTACCTCTAGTCAATGCCACATAGCCCATTCACTTTTCTACATCTTGAACCACCTTGCTTTTTACCTTCCATTGTAGTCAGTATTTATCACCATCATGGGAGATGCCATATGGAGGAAGGTTTCCATACTTAAAAACATAATGAGATGTCCCACATACAGATCTTTTCAGACAAAGAATTTGGCCATGAGAGGGTGTGGTGGGCAGCAGGGAAAATAACTCAGGTTAGATAGCATTTTTTTCCCCTTAGGTCTATTCTAGCATCATTCTTCTTCCCTAGTGATGGAAAGAAAAAATAATGAACGCTTGCTATTCTCATGCCTTGGCTTGGGCACTACTGTTTGTTTCCCATCTGGATATTGCAGAGTTCATGTAAAGTTATGAGTACTTCCCTCTCAACCTTATTTGTCATTCTGTATCTTCACAATGGTTTTTTCCCTAGTTCTCAGCTATGGTTGGTTCTCAGTTAACACTGCACTAATTCATTAATAGTACAGCTCAAAATGATAAGCAAGATATGGGCAAAATTGAACGATTGCCAGTTTATTAAAATAAGTAACAGATATCATTTTTATCAGCAGTGTTATGACCTTCAAAGAAAGAGGAGCAGATGAGACTATGCCAGGGCCTGTCCTGAAGCTCCAGCAATTTCTAGAATATTCACCTGGGGCAAACCTGGTCTGCGGCTTATGTGGATTAAATAAAATATTCACATAGACACCTTTGAAAAAAAATCAATTTCAGCATTCTCTTGAAGTGAATAGGAGGCAAATTATTGAGTTCATTTTAAATATCATTCATTTCTCCTATATGTGTACACAGTTGCAGTGCAATCTGAATATATTACATTTAACTTGACAACTGCCTTCTCCACCATAAGCCTTCCTGTACAGTACCAAAGGACTGAACATAACCCACTCTGAGTGTTCCTTTCCTTCCCATCCCTTCATGACATCACCTTGCCTGTAAGTGAGGTGTGTATTGCCTATCAGCCCTGCCAAACAGTTGCATTGGTACAAATTGAGGCTCTACTGCATTGTGCTGAGAAGGCACAGTTAAGGAAATGGAGTTAATAGACATATAATAATATTTCAATTACTTTGATAATGAGACAGGAAAAATTAGAATAGGACAATAACAAATTTAGAACCCAGGACTGAGAGTTTAATTCATTTGTTTGTGTTTCTTGCGAGCTGAGAAAGACTTGAGCATTTTTGACGTGCCCAAGAAGGAATGGCAGTAGCAAATCACTGTCCAGGATATGGCAACCATTAGCTTCTTTTCTGCCTAAAACCCGAGTTAGCTAGAGGAACACAGGCAAGGAAAAGCATAATTTTCTTATTTTCCCTAATCTATACCAATTGCATACTCCACTTAAACAGTTTTAACCAAATCCTTCTTTTTATTAAGCATAGAGGAGAAAAGGTGGTACTGGTATGTAGTACCTATTGCTCCTCAGCTCATATATTTGGTCCCACAAATAGATACTACTTAGACATCTGCTATTGTGAGCAATGACATTGCTAATCTATAAAATGCCTTTGTGAAATTAGGAAAAATGTGCCCATTCCTCAGAGAAGCACCTCCACTCCAGGGAAGACACATTAATTAGCAGAATGTAAGATGGATTTTAGCCCCCATTTAACTCTTTAGTCAGAGCAGTGTCTCCAGAACACCAGCTGTACAACCATATGGAAGACTAGCTAGGAAAGTATGATGGTTTCAATAATTTCTCAAAGGTGAAAATGAAGAAGGTGAGGTGAGTATCCCAGTGCCACCCAAGAAAATAGATTCTGAACTAATATCGTCAAATACAACACTCAATTCTTTTAACAACATTTTACACCACTTCTCTGTACAAAAGGTGGATTCTGTTTTTCATCTAGTTAAATTCCCAGTGTTACTCCCTACTGGTGTTTCCACTCTGAAGCTCACATAATTATAGTGAACATGAATTCCTTCTTATTGGAAGAATTTAACTCTTTTATCTTATTATGTGAAACAAAGCTTAGTAAGAGAAAAAATAAGGCAGTATATCCTAACAGATATATCAAGCGTAAACTCCCCAAAAGAGTGCCGGGGGGAAAAAGCACTATTAATCAAGCAAAGCTAATAGTGTTAGATTTTCTGCAGAAATGAGAATACCATCTCAACAAACTCTTAGTAGTGTCTCAAAAGTGAAAAAATTAGAGGAAGATTTTAATAGGCAGAACAGACAATAGTTTATGGGGCTCAGAGAATAGTTAAAAACTGTTAAAATAGTGGCTCACGCCTGTAATCCCAGCACTTTGGGAGGCCGAGGCGGGCGGATCACGAGGTCAGGAGATCGAGACCATCCTGGCTAAAACGGTGAAACCCCGTCTCTACTAAAAATACAAAAAATTAGCCGGGCGTAGTGGCGGGCGCCTGTAGTCCCAGCTACTTGGGAGGCTGAGGCAGGAGAATGGCGTGAACCCGGGAGGCGGAGCTTGCAGTGAGCCGAGATCCCGCCACTGCACTCCAGCCTGGGCGACAGAGCGAGACTCCGTCTCAAAAAAAAAAAAAAAAAAAAAAAAAAAAAAAAAAAAAAACTGTTAAAATATGATTAAGAATTTCAAAATGGTGACAGCATAACATTAAGCCACCTCATGGCTATACAGGTCACATGCACTGTGAAGCCAGCCTGTTAACAGAGTTTTAGGGCCTGAGCTGAGAATTTTTAATGTAGTTTGTGAAAGTAGAAAACTGGCTAGGATTAAGCACAATGTATATCATGATATTTCTGGATTAGTGGACAGAGTAATCTGAGGATCTTGAAGTGAGCTTTGATGAACAATCTATTAGTGTTGAAAAGTAAGGTGTTTTACTTGGTTTCCAGCCTGAACTTCCTGGATCAAAATTGCTACATTAAGTACCTATGTTATTTTTGCTTGTTTTCAGTATTATTTAGCATAGAAGGAGGAAAGTATTCCTGGCCACAGAATTACTAACACATCTACTGAAACATATTTTGATTTGGAAAGGGGAGTGTTACCTGACCCTCTTGTGGGACTTGCAACAGGAGTGTGGCTTGTTTTTGCCCAGCAACCACACACTCAAACCGCTTACAGGAGAGGGAGCATGTAGATGGGCAGGTGCAGGAGCTGGGGTGAGGGCTTTTGGGCTCTGGCCCCATGGTAGCATCTAGGACAGCTAAGTGTTAAACTAGCTCACTGGAAAGTCAGGGTGACAGCTTTTACACCCTGCACTCTTGGTACCTGGGTTCTTGTCTGGTGTCCAGGAAGAACTGGGTCAAATGGACTTGAAGGATGGGGAGTGCAGGGATTTTACTGAGTGATGAAGATGGCTCTCAGTGGGATGGATGGGGAGCTGGAAAGGGGATGGAGTGGGAAGATGAATGTCCCCTGGAGTTCAGCTGTCCCATAGCCGATCTCCTCTCTGACTGTCCCCAGCTGAATGCCTCTCAATGTTCATATGCTCCTTCTCTGCTGTGCCACTCTGCCATTCTTCTGCTCTGCTGCTCTTCTGTTCCTTTGTTTGTGGAGCTTGGGGTTTAAATAGGCACAGGATAGGGGTGTGGTGGGCCAAAGTGATCTTGGAAAAGGCAACATTTGGGCACAAAAACAGGAATGCCTGTTCCCATTTAGGCCTGCAGGTTTCCAGGCTTGAGAGTGGGCCTTTGCCGGGAAACTTCCCTCTTCTACCCAGTACTTCCTTGCCTCCTGTCCATATCAGTTTTAGTTCTTACATATGTCAGTCTCTTCTTCTCTCACCCAAAACTATGCATCACAATGAGTTTCAGTCCTAAAACGGTTTAACCCAGGACAGACAAGTTTGGTCCCAGTATCTTTTATCTCAGTAAGAAACAATCACGTTCACTTTAGTTCTCAAGCCTCCTTTTCACATTTTTGGTCTACCTTAAGCTGATAATGATAGATGATTATTGCCTGGGGTCATAATCAATACAAATCTTACCACTGTTTTCTGTGTCATGGTTGTAAGTAGAGTTTCTAATGATTACTGTTCTAATATCTGAAAGTGTCAGATTTCTTATTGATTGGTTGGTTGAGCATTTATTGGAAAATCAGCTATGGTACATAAATTAAGCCTCAGAAATTACACATTTGAGGAGTGCAACACAAATACTATAAAAAAGGATAATTGTCATAATTTGTAGACTACTTCTAAGCCAGAAGCCAAGAGTATCTCCATTAAATAAAGACACAAAAATATCTACAGTCAGTAGCTTTGAAAAGGACTCCCAAATAAACCTGCCTCCTGATGTTCACAACTCTTGAGTAATCTTCTCCCCTTGAATAATTTGCTTCTAATCATCATCCCTGAGGGGATGACACTTCATGACTAGATTACAAGAGATTGTAAGTTTCATTTTGCCAGCAAACTCTCTCTTTTGCTGGCTTTGATGAAGCAGTCTGCCATATTTTAAGCTAATACCTGTGTATGGTTTTATATTATCAAGTTTGTGGTAACTTGTAACAAGGGAAGAATAACTAATACAATAACCTATTGCAAATCAAAAGAGCTCACAGATGAGATATGTTGGTATTAGTCTACTGAATTTTTTAAAACATATTTTTCATAATAGAAAAGATCCAAGAGAAGTAGATCTGTAGGGATATACATACGGCATTGTTTGCCTAGTGTATTCTACTTCAAGAAGACCCTATTGTGTCCAAATTGGATCTATTTGGGACCACAATCTGCACAATTTTTTAGAACTTCTCATGCAAAAATTCTATGGCCTTAATTACACTATCCAGTTTTCATAATATTCTCTGCATCATAATATATAGATTATTCCCACTTTTCAAGCCAATTATACCGCATTAAAAAAGAGGCTTGAGGGCAGGTGAAAGTAGTTCAAAAACTACTCCCTGGTTGCTAAAATTTTTAGAAAAATAATCAAATTCAAATTGAGGCTTATTTTTTTTCTTTTAAATTAAATTTCTTAATATATGCTAAGAAGAGAAATTGTTGAGCCTGAATCTATCCTTTTTTAATAATATCAGAACATCTCTTGAATGTAGACATCAGTTTATCAAGATATTAGGTCCTTACAAAATTTATGGGGAGTAGTCAATAGGCTTGTGGGCTATAAAACTAATACTAGTTGTTAGAACCATCTAAACATAAGTTTTTGATAAAAGTACCCATATGGGTTTGCTGAATAGCAATGAATTATTTTGGCACACTTTCCAAGATTGGTCTGACAGCAGGAAATAAAATTTGTGGTACAGAGATCATCAGGGAGACTTAAGTAAGGGAGCGTTTTGGTGCCTAAGCAATGTATCTTCCTTGTAAGATCTATAAAATTTGATGGCCTCTTAATACATACCATCTGGATTTAAATGGTTTAAATATTTTTCAAGTTTATTTCTGTGAATGTTTAGGTACAATAGATGACTTCTAAGACAGATTTTCAAATGTTATTCCTATGGTGACAAAAAAGCCCTCTTTAGGAAGGTTGTGATAGAGGTTGTGAGTTTTCTGGATGCCTGACTTGTATTTATTTCTATCTAAAACCTCACTTGATAAATGGATCTGTTTTTCCAGATCAACTGATTTAATACAGAAATGAGTATCAAAAACAAAACTGAATTACACACAACAGAAGGTGAATACAAGTCCAAAAGTTTGATTGTATCAAATTCTAGCTAAATATTGGGAAACATAATAAGAACTAAGAAAGAACAACAAAGAACAATATTAAGGATAGGGACTGCATTGACAGCATTGTGAAGAATTAAAAGTGCCTGATAATAATCTAGGACCTTAAACCATTAAAGAGGAAAGAAAACAGATGGAATGATAGAGAGATACAGAATATACAGAACTAAGAACACACAGAACATACAATATGTGGCCTGGTTAGCTGGCTCTTGTTTCAAGTGTATTTGAAGGATGATGTCTACTTCATGCTGTCATCTGCAGGTCCTGGATAAAAACCATCTTGTCATTTTGTATAGTTTGGCTCTTTGTCCCCATGCAAATCTCATCTCAAATTCTAATCCCCATGTATCAAGGGAGGGACACGGTGGGAGGTGACCAGATTATGGGGACAGTTTCCTCCATGCTGTTCTGTGATAGTGAGTAAGTTCTCACAAGAACTGATGGATTTAAAAGTGTTTGGCAGTTCCCCCTTCACCCTCCCTCTCTCCTGCCACTATGTAAGACATGGCTTGCTTCCCCTTCACCTTCTGCAATGATTATAAGTTTCCTGAGGCCTCCCCAGCCATGTGAAACTGTGAGTCATTAAACCTCTTTAGAAATTACCCAGTCTCAGGTAGTATCATTATAGCAGTCTGAGAATGGACTAAACATCACTCTAGAAGAGCTCTAAGAATCTCAGCTTTTGGCCAGGCGTGGTGGCTCACGCCAGTAATCCTAGCACTTTAGAAGGCCAAGGTGGGGGGATCACGAAGTCAGGAGTTCCAGACCAGCCTGGCCACCATGGCAAACTCTGTCTCTACTAAAAATAAAAAAATTAGCCGGGTGTGGTGGCACACACCTGTAATCCCAACTACTTAGGAGGCTGAGGCAGGAGAATCGCTTGAACCCGGAGGCAGAGGTTGCCGTGAGCCAAGATCGTGCCATTGCACTCCAGCCTGAGAGACAGAGTGAGACTCTGTCTCAAAAAAAAAAAAAAAAAAAAAAGAATCTCAGCTCTAAACCTTCGATTTCCATAATAGTTGTTAACAGTGCCATATTATGTCTTTTTCTATGAGATTTCATAGCCATCAACAGAATCTGTTGTCTTTTGGAAAAATCTGGGTCTCTAGGTTTTAGATCATGAAAGTAAGAGTTGTTTAGAAAGATGTTGAGTCAAAGTTGTTGTACTGATGAGATTGCCTGTATTATATTAGTCCTTTGCAGTATTGAGCTTTATCTATTTGCAGTAAGGCGGTTACTAAAATCAAGTGTCAAATCTGATTTGGCCAGTTTGTTACTAATTCATAAGGGGAGACCGGGTGAATCCCAATAGAAATTGATCTTCTTGTAAGTAAAACCAATAGCAAAACTTTAGACCAAGAAAGTATGAAGGTCTCTGAGAGCTTTGCTAAGTTTAGTAATAGAGTTTTATATGAGTATCATATATATATGTATATAATACGTATATATTATAATGAGTATTCATTATATATGATACTCATTACAATGAGTATTCATTATATATGATACTCATTATAATGAGCATTATATATGAATACTCATTATAATATGGAAAAATAAGTTTCTGAGTAAACAGCAAGATTTTACAAAGCTCTTTGATGTAGTTTCAGTAAAAGGGCTGCTCCTGTCCTTGAAGAGATTGGTTAGTAAATATCTGCCTGAAAATAAAGGGGTAAATGTAAATTTGCTATTCGCAGAGCCATATTTTTCTGGAAAAGAAATGCTTCAAGTTATCCCCCAAATAAGCAATGATAAAAGAATATTCAGAACCCATTGTAGGAGATAATTTTTTTGAAATTTAATTAGAGATGTTCAAATGAACTCTGAGATGTGGACTTTAGTCCAGGATAAAACTGATGATGGGTACAACAAACACCAGAAAACCCTCATTAATTTTAGTAAATTTTTTCACTATCTATCTCAACTCAGTAAAGTGGCTATTCTTTTCTTGTGGTGGTGAGTGACTTCATGTAACATCCTTGCAAGGTCCCGTTTGATTTTCTTTGAAACTAAAATGCAGTCACCATGAAAACATCAAAGATAATCCTCATGTAATTTTCGGCCTAACTATATCTCTTTTCTGACTATGAATCTAATGGCTAACATTCGATAGTAACCTCTTTAAATCTCATCAAGTATTTGGACATTTGAGTTTATCATGGGACTAGTATTTTAGAGGCTGCCTCATGTAATGATCAATCAGAACATGTTCTTAAGTATCCATGTTATCAGTTGTACTTCAGTATCTATAATAGTCACTTTGTAGAAAGGAATTGAGTACTTAAAAGTAAAAGTCTTTTAAGTTTAAAAAAAGACTTTTAAGTACTCAATTGCTTAATAATCATTCAGATTATGTCCCGCTGAGGTTAAAAAATAAGATGAAATACCTTAGAGGGGATTGGCTAGTAGTATATGTGTGTGTGTATGTGTATACCCCCCAACTAATCACAAATTCAGCTAAATGCAATGCATTCTTCCTTTCAGGCTGATTTATGCCTCTGGCTAGTGTCCACATAGAGGCAGAGTTGATATCCCTTATATAATATTATTCCTGATATTTTCTTGTTTCATAAACATCAACAAAGAAGATTAAATGTAAATTTTCTAGTGAAGTTCTATTAAAAATGTTCAGGGCATATATAGTTCTCAAAAAGAAATTAGGCAATTATGAGTTGTCCCTTCTATTAATAGAAAAGTAGCAGTATTTAGAATAATTCACCAATAAACCTAAATGTATGTAGTAACAGAACTGCATAGGACAAATGCTTACTTGCCAAAGAATGTTATGTATTCTCATTGAGCAACATGATTTGAACAGCATGGGGGACCATTAAATTTAAGAAATACCCTAAAACCAAGTTGGCTAAGGTCTCTAAAGGGAGACCTAAGAAAGGTGACCTATTGCCTTAAGAAAAGATGAATTTTGAATTCAGATGGAAAGAAAAGTGGTGATAAACTACTAGTCTCTGATGGTTTCTATGCAGGTGAATAGGAACAGCTAGGACTTGCATAGATTTCTTGAGTATGAATAGATAGAAAGGTCTTGGATTATCCGTAATCTTTAAGAAGTGAGTAATTTGCCTTCTTGAGATAAATTATTCCCTAGGTCATGAAATTTATCTTAACGAATATAGCATTTCTTTAGAAACTTCATTCCTTTACTGAGTTGAAGAGAAGATAATTAAGTTTACTTAATAGTATTAGAGTATATCTCATTTACTTAATAGTATTAGAATATATCTCATTTTTGGAACATAGCAATAATTCATGTATTAGATAAGAGTAGAATCACAGGAAAATTTAAGTTCCTAAGGTCCAGGTTAAGGACTTATTAAATAAATAGATGAATATTCAAGTAAACTCCAGATAAATAATTGTCCAGATATATGGATGTAATTTGAATAGAAAGGAAAATTTGTATTAATGATATTTTTCTAGAGAGAGGCAAATAAGGCCAAACACAGACTACTACTGTAAACTATGTAGCCTCATGTAGTACTAAAGATAAATATTATTCAGGTTTGGTTTTCCAAAATAGAAGGGCTTGACTATTTTATTTATGGCCCTCAAGTCATAAAACGTCTATATTCTCTCCCACTGGATTTCTTGAGTCAAAGTGTAAGAACATTACAAGGACTAGTACAAAATGACAATATGAGTACCGGCTCTATTAGGATTCAGCTTCCAGTTTTCGATGTTATTGTGCAAACTTGGCTAAGTTCTTAATTTTGTCAATCTGATTCTTAAGAACTTCAAGCTCAATAACTCCACACATATCAGTAACATTTTTGACCTAATATGGGACTGGCACATCATGCTGAACTTCAGATTTGAGCTAGGTTTAAAATCAAAGAATAAATCACTATCTAAATGAGTTATGTCTTGATTATAAATAGTGGGTACTTCATAAATTTTCAGGAAAAGGATATCAGGAGAGCATTTAATTGGGTAATTCCATTGGCACTGTAAATTTTTCTCTATTAAGTCAGTGAGAGAACATCACAAAGCAGGAAAGAATGCCCCTTAATTAAAGTTTGAGAGTAACAATTGTATACTGAGACCTGGAGAGGTCAAGATTTTTAGAGATGATAATGATGGAGTTGTCTATTGACTTTGCAGCAGAGGTTATGCAATAATGAAGGAATTTATAGGTTGATATTATAAAGCATGGATTAAGTATTTGTAAAGTTGTCTCATAATATTTAAAGACATTTTCTTCATGTGAGTTTAAGGACACACGAAAATAGAATGCTGTATTTTATCTGAGAACACCCCCATTGAATACTTATTCCATTTTTCCTTTAGTTCCTTAGCTAATACTGGTCAACTGTGTTTATAAAACCCTTTCAGCTTGTAGTAAGTTCAATAATACTTAACATAAATCCAAAAATACATACCAAAAAATTAATACCTTGCAGATGTAATTAAAAATCTGAAGATGAAATTATCCGTGATTTGGAATGGGCCCTAATACAATGGCTAGTGTCTGTATAAGAGAAATGAGGAGATGTGGATGAATATAGGAGAAGGACATGTTAAGCTGAAAGCAGAGCTTGGACTTAATGTTTCTACAAGCCAAGGGTTGCCACAAAACATCAGAAGCTAAGAGAGGTATTTGTTTTGGTGTTTTTATTTTGGTTTTTTTTTTTTGGTTTTTTTTTTGATCTCCTAGTAGTACTACCAGCACTACTGTTTATTTCTCTCTCTGTCCTGGTTCTTTTTGTTGTAAGTAGAGTATATAAGATAAATTTCTTAATAAAGGGAGTGAACACAGGTCTGATGAATCTATAAGTGCTGGCCCTGTGGACAGATAAGGTCAGAAGTTCTCATCAGATTGGTGTCATGATTGGACCATTTAGTCTTGAGTCACCTATCAAAGTTTCATGAGAACTTTCCTCAGTCTTGTCTCATTTTGTTCACAAGAGTCATTTTCAGACAGATCCCTCCAAACTTTCCCACTAATGTGAACTGTTGGTTTTATGTGCATGCAGTTGGATTTTGGCTGTTAATTTAGAGGCTCATACACAACTTTTAAAAGGCTATTGTTCATGCTCTTAGTTTTATCTTGGTCTACATGTGTGCTCAAATTGGGTTAGAACTCTGTGACTTACATGCTTTTGTACGAAAATTGTAATTAATATGCTTATCTCTCTTTATGCCATGATTTCACAAAGGATAATTTAGAATTGCAGTAGCTATTGAGGAAATTTTGATATTCGCTGACTTGTTCATTTAAGGAGCTCATTAGAATGAAAAGGAAGTAAAAATTCAGGTTTCCAAATCTCCAATAGTCTGCTCTTTTTTTGGATAGAAAACTTCTAAAGTAAATTCAGAACTCAAAAGTTCTTAAGAAGTCCTTACCCAAGCCAAATAATTTCTAGGAGACAAAATTAACTTATCGTTTGGCAGCTTGAAATGAAATTGGAGCTCTGATCCAACGCAGAACCTGCCTCACTCTTACGTTTGGATAGAACTTTCTGAGCGGGAGGCTCTAGAACACAGCCATGAACTCAAGAGACTTCACTGTAGCAGCAAGATTGTCTTAAAAGGATGTTGGTACAACTTTGAGTATCAAAATTTTCAAGCATCTACTTGCTTACATTTCATCAGAAAAGCTTTTGCCTTTTTTTTTTTTTTTTTTTTTTTGCTTAAGCACAGCTAAATTTATTAGATCTTGACAAAATCTTAGGAGATCTCAGAAGGGGAAAGTCAGAGAAGTTGCTTACAGTATTTTTAGACACAGGGCTGGGTAAGTTTAAGGCAGATATTGCATGGAGGGAAACTGGCTGGAATTGGGCCAGTTTTATGGCATAATAAATTTGAGTTGGTGGGCACAGAGAGGAGAGGGTTTCAAGGGCAGTCTTGATAAGCAAACTCTTATTCTTGATAATTAGCCTATTTATTTGGTTTACAGTCTTATCTTCCTTTAGCAAGTGGATGCATTATTTTTGCCTTTGCTCTAAATTATGTACTGCAAGAATGGGATAATATGCATCATACCAGAATTTTTAATTTTGGAAACAGGAAGGCATGTTGGTTTCAGAAGTCTGGGAATCTCTTCTTCATTTACTAAACAGTATACATTGTAAATCTGAACATTTTGAACGCTCTCCTGAGCATTTGAAATAAGAAATAATCCTATTTCACACTATAGGAAATAAATATGTCTCAGGAGAGCATTTAAAATATTCTCTAATGCTCTCTAAAATCTAATCCATAGATTTTTTTTTTATTTTTCTTTATCTGGTTTCCTAGTAGAATAGTATAGTCTATGTATGGAAAATCCTAGCAAGATATTTGGAGATGACAATACATTTCCCTTGTTTTATATATTCTCACCTGATTTAGTAGGTTTTAAATTAGTTAGACATTGCTATGTTCAAAGTCATTACCTAAGCATATAATCTGGTAATAGCCTGTTGACATGTCTATAGTATTTTTTGTTGTTGGTGGTGTGGTTGTATTGGAATTATTGTTTCTTTTTTTGTTTTCGTTTTTGTTTTTTTTGTAGGAGTGTGCAGAATCCTGAAAAGTAGGATGTCATATACGCAATGTGATGTAATTCTCCAGTTTTCTATTGGTAGCTTCTAAGTTGCCAGAGAGAAGCCAGTAAACTTCATGTTTGTGCATGGCAGAGACTTCTGCTTGGAGAAACAGAACGTATTATCTACATTCACAAGCATGTCAGGCTTAGAAACCAAACAGTTCTATTAAATACTGATGTGGCAAAAATATAATTTATCTTGTTTAACCCTTATAAGTTCTTAGTTGAAACACTCTCCTGAAAACAAAAGCTAGGTTAACAAGCGCAAAACCGGTAGAAGTTTATCGACCTGTGCTGCACCCGTCACTGGGAAGAGGCCTCAGCTCAAAAGTGTCTTTCTCTCAGAACAGTGACTTGGAGCCTTGCTTGAAAGTATTTTAACAGGCCGGGCGTGATGGCTCATGCCTGTAATCCCAGAACTCTGGGAGGCCGAGGCGGGCAGATCACCTGAGGTCGGGAGTTCGAGACCAGCCTGACCAACATGGTAAAACCCTGTCTCTACTAAAAATATAAAAAATAAGCCAGTCGTGGTGATGGGTATCTATAATCTTAGTTACTTGGGAGGCTGAGGCAGGAGAATTGCTTGAACCCAGGAGGCAGAGGTTGTAGTGAGTCAAGATAGTGCCATTGCACTCCAGCCTAGGTAATAAAAGTAAAACTCTGTCTCAAAAAAAAAGAAAAGAAAAAGTATTTTAACAAAGATCAATAAATGCTAACATAGTGACAAGACATAGGTGAGAGTAGTTCCAGTCTTTTAAAAGGGAGGAAAACGTGGGAAGGTAGTGAAATCTGTTCCCACATTCTGCTGGTACATTCTCTGGGCTGATAAGCAAGTGCTGTCTTCAGTAAAGAAGGATGTATGTCCTGACATCAGGCAATTAGAGTGTTCCCCTATGTTTTCATAGTCTTTAATTAGCAACTCTCAATATTTTGGAGAGAAATATTTTGGTTTTCTTTAATACCAATAGAGTATACTTTTATATTTGTATCATCTTCTGTCTACACATATTATTTTCTTCCTATGAAGTCAGCATTTACTTTTTTGAGCATTTTTACCTTAGAATTCATTTTCTTTCATTTTCATGCTTCTAAGAGAACTGTTTGATTCACGTATTTGTTCAGAAAACACTTTCTTGGTCCATGCTTTAATGGCATTGCATGTTGCTTATTTAGTGAGAACAAGCACTTTGCATATACTGAGATTCAAAAAATTATTCTTAACAGCTTCATCAAATGTGGTGAAGATAAGAGGAGAAATTTCTGGAATTGAGCTACAATTATTCTTCATTTCCTCAGCTACTTGACTACTTTAACTGCTTTGCATAAGTGATAAATGATTTGTAAAGAAGAATTAGAGTAGTGGTAAAAATTTCTTGCCCTGAAATTTATCAGTGAAATAACCTGCAGATGTCATTAGGTAGCTTTATTCTTTCTTATATATAAAATTATTAAAGTAGGATAATATTTCAAACATATCCATATCTATATATTTCTTAAACACTTAAAGGCATAAGTATTTTAATTTTTGTTTATTAGATTCAAAAATTAGAAGCGTGGTAGGTTAAGGCATAGAATACCAAGTTTCTTGGAATTGTTTGCAAAACCTAAATAAAAAATACTTTTCATTTATTTTCTTCTTTTGAATGTTTATACTCCTGCATATTGAGTGAGGGAATTATTTTTTTCTCTTCATGATTCATTTACACATAAGATTTTGTGAATGTTTCTATCTAAAAGATAGCAGAATGTTTAAAATGAGAAAAAATATCACCTCCCAAATGAAATGTATTCAACAAGAAAGCCATCAACCACAGCATACTTTTTAATATAGTTTCAAAATCTTAGAAAAAAGCATGAAAAACAATAAACGAGACAAAATTTTGTATTTTACAAACATGATTTTAGGCTATACTCACACATCTCTAATCAAAATGAGGTGGGGCTATCACTTTTGTCACCTTAATTGTATCTCTCTGAATAAATATTGTATCATATTACAGTTGAGCCAATATAGCCAGTATATAGCCTTTATATACTGAAGGATTATTTTATCTTTGGGCAAAATTATGATGTTTTTAAACATGGAATATACTTTGTATCTATGATCTCTGAATAATCAGAATGATACCACAGAATGGTAGGCAGAAAAGTGTAGGGCAAATAAAATTGCCCAGGGATTGAGTTAAGCCTTTATAAAAATGATTTTCTAACTTTCTTTATTCTGGAAAAGCTAAGCATAAATTGGAATCATTAACTTTTAGGTAAATGTAAATTCTTTCTCTAAATGTAATAACAGGGATTGAAAACTCAGTGAAACATTTTGATTTATGGGCTTGCAAAGATACTGAAAGAAGGGATTTGGGTAAATAAGATGTAGTAACAATTCAATACAGCTTTCTGGCTTTCTTTAACACCTCTGTGAGATTCTTGACAAAATATGTGCCATTAATACAATTACTAGCTAAGCCTTTCACTCAAATCCTAAGCTAGCTAAGGCTTTGAACTCTAGATCAAGTAAACTGCAAAAAAATGTGTAGGGATGAGCAGTACACAGAATCCTAGGCTTTTTTTTTCCAGGCTTCACTCATATACTATTAGATTTTCAAAATAATTGACAGGATGGGGGAAAAGAAATCACACAAAAAACCCAATAATCAGAGGCTCCTCCTAGATGTCTAATAAAGATGAGAGCAAAGAGGCAAAAAAAAAAAAAACCAAACAAAGTAACCTAGAGAATAAAGAATGTGAGAGAGAGAACAAGAGAAAGAAATTAAAAGGAGTCCTTTCTCCAGGGTGAAGCAGTTGCTCACTCTCACCACCTGAGTAGACAACGTGGACAAAGGCAAGTACAAAGACACTATCTTCTCTGTGGGCTCCAAAATGAAATCCCTTTGCTGAACAGGGGAAAAACCTATGAAGATTGATAGTTTCATCCCATGTCAGAGACTGATTTTTAGACTCATAGAATCATGGTCGCGATCTAATATAAATTTTTTAAGAGATGTGATCTTACTATTTCACCCAGGAGACTGAAACTCAGTGGCACAATCATAGTTCACCACAGACTGAAACTCCTGGGCTCAAGAGATCCTCCTACCTCAGCCCATGTAATAGCTGTGACTACAGGTGCACACACTACCGCACCTGGTCTAAAAAATATAATTTGTAGAGATGGGGTCTTGCTGTGTTGCCCAGGCTGGTCTAAAAACACCTGGCCTCAAGTAATCCTCCCACCTCGGCCTCTCAAAGTGTTGGGATTATAGGCATAAGCCACTGTGCCTGGCCTTAGGTTTAATTTCTTATGATTGCATTTTTGTTCAATGTTCTCTTTTTTCTGTTGGCCATTTATCTAGTTGTTTTGAACCCTCAAATATAGATTTGAAAATTTATTCTTTTTTATGTAATAACTCACAGACAAAGAAGATTCTTTATATCCAAGATTATCAAACTTTGTTAGCACAGGGGCAATAGCAACAGCATATTTTATTATATCTGTTCTTTGGTTTGCAAAGAAACATCTTGTGAACTCCTGCCCTGACGGTACTTAGGCTCATGCAAAAGAAAAATAAACGTGAGTTGTTTTCTACTTTTGTTTAGCTGGCATTCTTGGAGAATAGAACTTATATGAAACTTGTAATGAAAGAATCTTATTCACATCTGCTTAGCATTCTCTCATTGTTCATGCAATTTTATATAAAATACAACCTAAATACATATTGTTTGAAATCGGCCTTCAGCATAGAGAGAATGTGCTTTTCTTTAAGTGGCTTGTGAAAGCAGCATCAGTTGTGCACCAGTTCATTAGACAAACCAAACATCAGTGCTGTATTATACATTATTCACAAAAGGAGATAAATCAAATGACTAATTCCTGAAAACAGGGCTTGAAACACCTTCAGAGGGCACCAGGGCATGCTAAATACAGTAGGAGTCACTTAATGACAGGGATTTATTCTGAGAAGTGTGTCCTTAAGTGATTTCATCTTTGAAGTCTGGGCATCATAGAGTGTACTTACACAAACCTAGGTGGTATAATCTACTACATATTTAGGCTACGGGGTCTAGCCTATTGCTCCTGGGCTACAAATGTGTAGAGCACACTACTGTACTTAATATTGTGGGAAATTCTAACACAATGGTAAGTATTTGTGTATGTAAACATATCTGAACATAGAAAAGGTAAAGTAAAACTGAGGTATTATAATCTTACGGGGCCGCCATTGTATATGTGGTCCATTGTTACCTCTAATCTTTTCCTTAAGTGGCCTGTGACTTTGTCGGGAAACTAGTTCACACCCAAAAGGGCAGACTCTGGAGACTTGGAACAACATTTAAATATATTAAAAAGGAAATGCTCCAGGTAGAATCTTCTTAGGTCTGTCAATATGTAACTTTGCTAATTAGATCAATGAAAATAGAACTCGTGCCTTCTGTTACAAGGGGATTGTAACACTGAGTTAAACTGTCAATATGCAAATATACCAATTAAAGCCACAACATAGTATTAGATGCATTCTGTATGGGAGAGTTGAGAATAAGGAGGAAAAAAGTGTTTTATTTGTTGATTTATTTTCTGAGTGTATATTTAACGCAGAAAGTTTTTACCCTTCATAATTGGTAAAGCCTGTGGTGCTTAAAGAATAGGAATTAACAGACCCCAAAATCAGATGTTTAGCTTCCTTCCAAGTAGGCCTTCCCAGATGATTTGGAAAAAGACTAATACAAAGCTATTTGTCTCCTGTGTCCTTAGGGAATCTTGTATGGGTTTTGCCAAGTTTGGAAATGGGATAACAAATGAAAGCGAAGAGCTTCACCCAGCTTTCTCTTCCCTGGAATACAAATGTATGAACTGCTACTGCATGTGGAGTGTTGTGAGAAGAGGCACTGCTGCCAGCCTCCATCTCCATGGCAATAGCAAGAGATAAAAAGCATCTCTAAGGTAACCAGAAAATAAACAAAAATAAGGTTTCTAGGTTAACATCCCATTAATCAGAAGTTACTTCAGAAAAAAATAACTTCTAGAGACTGTAGGTGGATTATGATAATTAACATTTATATCATTAAACTACTACTCTCCTTTACAAGCTTTTTTTTCTTTGCTCTCTTAAAATATTTCTAGTTATCTTACTATCCTAGCCTGTAAAAAACTTGAAATTCCCATCATCAAAGATGTATCCATTTTTTAAATATTTGGAGACTCTGAAAATCCACATACATTATTGCCTTCCTTTTAAATGTTAGCATTAATTACATTGTCAGATAAATTATCAATAACAAATTAGCACATTGAGATGAATCTAATTGAATCAATATAAATTGAAATCAAGGAGCAGACTCCCAACATGACAGTTTACCAGAGGGATACTTGTTACTCGACAAAAGAAGGTAGCAAATAGGTGCAGGCCGTGGGGAATTACCAAAAAAAGGGCTGCCTGGGAGATGCCAAGAATTGCCTATGTGGCAGATTGAGCTCTGAGGTACCTACATGATGCTGGGCTAGGGAGATGCGGAACTTTTGCATGTGTAGTTTAAAGGAAAGTTTTATATCAAACCATTGTATGATAAAGGAGGAGTTAAACTTGAATTACCTACCACATAGATTTACTAATTGGCTTATAGTGACATGTAATTTATTTTCCTAAAAGAAGTCTACAGCAAATGCACCTATATCTTTTGTGAACATAAAAGCTACATTTTATTCTGCCTCCTGAGTCTGATCCTGATAAATGCTACACTGATTCCTTTAGCATCTAAAACAAAATGAATTATATACTATCTGGATTACTGTAGAGCAGAATTCTATAGCTTCGATTTTCTTTGAAGGCCAAGCAATTGGAAGATAAGATTTTTACATGTCCTATGCCAAATTCATTGTGAAGGATTTTGTTGTAGAGTTATATTTTCAATAAGGAGGAGAGAAAGATTAAAGAAAATTTGAAAATGATTAGTTAATATTAGTATTAGTTTATTAGGAGTATAGCATAAAAAAGAGTATAGCATGAGTTAAATATACCTCAGTGTATGAAATACAAATATGTTTTGGGGGTAATCACTCAGACGTATTTGTTATATATTCAAAATTCCAAATAATATATCTTAAAAATGTAATATAAGATATAAAAATATATTCTGTTTTAGATATTTAGAATTTGGAAACCGGAGTATACCATGCCATCTGAACATATGTGGCAGTATACTGAGGAGACGTGTTTAGCAGAAGCATTCTTTTCAAGCATTCAAGCATTCTTGAATATGTTCTATTCTAGGACATATTCAAAGATATATTTTCTAGCCTTCTGTATTTTTTTTTCCAAGATCAGTCCTTAAATAATGGCTGGAAGTTGGATCTGCGCTTATAATTTGCTAAATAAATTTCTGCTTTTGTTTCTTTGAAGTCAATACATTTTTAAACAGAGAAAAAAAAATGCTGTCCAGCAAATAGGTTGGGCCATTGGGAAGTTAGGCTGTGAGAGCTTATTAAATGGCTGTTTTAGGCAGGTAGTCTTTGCTTCTGTGTACAGAAGAATGTCACATGCTTAATGAAGACTCCAAATATTCATTAACATTTCCCCCTATTATTATAATCTGCCATACTAGACCTACCTACATGCATGGATTAATTCCTTTCTGGCTCTCACTTTTGAGCCAGCATGTCAGTGACTGATTAGAGACTGTATGTGTGGGTCAGGCATCAAGATGCCACTGTCCCAATATTAAGGCTATGTAGACTCTATCAGGGTGCATGAACATGGAATATATAGGTGAGGGCTTTAAAGGGAATTACAGCGGCAAGAAGTGAACCATATAGAAAGAGATGGTTCTGTGAGATGAGTTCTACTTGGATGTATGTAAAGCAGAAATTAGCAATATAGTATTTATTACACGATTGAGACAACTCACCACTTTAAAGCTTTTTATATACACTTCGGGTTATATCACTAAAAGAATACTCCAATGCCATGGCATGGTATCAAGTGTTGTACATTCTGCATTTGGTTTTTCATTCATTAGCTGGTTTTTCATTCATTATCATTTAAAAAATCCAAAGAAAACCTTACTAGTTTGGTTTAAAATTTATTTATTTACCAGATCCTTTACTTATTTCACAGTTATTTTGAGGTGATCTCTATGTGTCATGAACTTTACTGGATACTGAAATACAAAATTAATAATATACTTTTTGCTCACTATGAGAAACAGAAAATCTAGTGTAAAAGAGATACATACATACATATATATTCCTTGCATAGATATGTGTGTATACATATGTAACTATATATGTAAAATGTAGATATATATGAGTACGTATCGTTTAAACACATATACGCAACATGTAAATAAATGTGTAAGTATATATGCACATATATAATGTAGTACAAAATGATGAATATTATTAAAGTTTTCATAAAATCACTGAAATAATTTTCCAAACTGTCTATGCCAAGCCCTGTCCAATAGGACTTTCTATATTTATGGAAATGTTCTATAATATTCTGTAATTGCCGATAAATAGTATGGTACTCACTGGTCTCATGTAGCTGTGGAATACTTGAAATGTGACTAAATTAACTGCGGAACTGAATATTTTATTAAATTTAATTTTGATTAATTTAAATGTATATAGTCATATGTGCTTCATGGCTAGTGTGTTGGACAGCACAGGGAAAAGACAATGCCTTGGAGGAGAAAGGGATTCATGATTTTCAGCCTTTATGAATGAGTGAAGTATTTCCCAAGTAGATTATAATTTAGCAAGGTGAGATACACTCCAGAAAGAGAACAGTATGTTTTTATTTATTTATTTATTTTGAGATGAAGTCTCACTCTGTTGCCCAAGCTGGAGTGCAGTGGCATGATCTCAGCTGACTGCAACCTCCACCTCCCGGGTTTAAGTGATTCTCCTGCCTCAGCCTCCCAAGTAGCTGGAATTACAAGCATGCACCACCATGACTGGCTAATTTTGTATTTTCAGTAGAGACGAGGTTTCACTATGTTGGCCAAGCTGGTCTTGAACTCCTAACATCGTGATCCGCCCACCTCGGCCTTCCAAAGTGCTGGGATTACAGGCGTGAGCCACTGTGCCTGGCGCTTTCATTTATTTTGTTTATTCATTCATTCCTTAAAAAAAAAAACTAATAATACCAAACTTTGTTAAAATTTTATAATGTACTAATTTTCCCTTTACAAGTACCTTATGAAGCAAATATTAATATTAACCAATTTGCAATGAGGAAACTGAGGTATAAAATAATTAATTCAAAACCCAGCTAGTAGTAGCAGAGCCAGGATTTAAACTTAGGAAGTCTGACTCTAAAGCCCATATCTTAACCTTTGTGCCGCATGCTATACCAGCCACAAAGGATACCAAGTACTTTCATTTGAAGCTGTTACACTACCCTATGTTACAAACCAGGAAATTCAGTTAGTCAGCTCAATCAATGCATATTTTATGTTTTCTAAGTTCAGACCCTATTTCACGTCCTTGAAAGAAAAAGGCAAATAAAACACAAACTTACTGCTCAAGAACTTAGAGTCTTACTGAGGTAAAATTTATTGAACTACTAGGAGAAAAATTTTGCTGTGTCTGGGGATATTGTGCAGTACTCAGAAAAAGGAATCAGTGAGCAAAACTGCAGCAACATACTGTATAGAGAACTAGAAAAGGAGAAACTCTTCACAAACTAGATAAATGGACCATCTGAAAAAAGGTAAAGATGGATACAATTATTGGGAAAAAAATGGGATTGGAAAGCCATGAGCACAATCAATGAACTCCTCTAAATGAGTACCAAAGCTTGTCACTGGGAGAAGCTTGGGGTATGAGACCAGGTGAGAAAGTCATGGCAAGATCATAAGAGGATGCTGTACTGGGTAGGAAACATTAAAATTTTAAGCAGAAGAGATATTTAAAGAAACATAATTTGGAATTCTAGAAGTAATCTCAAAAAAGAATGCAATGTTTTCATTCCATGGTAAACAATAAGCAAAACCACCATGACCTAAGAAACTATTGTGGCCTATAGGGGCTTGGTACCAAATATCTACTTCTCTGCCCATGGCGTCTGTTGCAGAGAAGCGGAGTCCTAATTTTCTGCCCACACATATTCCCTGAAGTGATGAGACAATAGGTCATCTTCTCCCTGAGGGACTCATAAAGCTCAAGATGAGAGTAAATTCCAGTGAATTATTAAATATTATACAATCATAGGAGACACATATCTTTGTTAACAAAGGAAACTCTATAAACTCAAAAATATATCAGATTTGGGTTAATTTTAAATATTTATCCTTAGCAGCTTCAGTGCCGACTGGAAAATGCATCATTATTCGTTGTCTAAGACAATAAAATCAACAACAGTTTCAATGTTGTACTATCCATTTTCTGCACAGTAAAGTGGTAGGAAGGAGCCCATTTTATCAGGAATGAAGTAACATTTCCAGTCATGCATCCCATAATGTCAGGGATATTGTGAAGTACTTAGAAATGCATTTTCAGGCAATCTTGTTGTTGCACAACAGCATAGAGTGTACTTACACAAACCTAGATGGTATATATATAGCCTCTTACATACGTACTTTATATGACACAGCCTATTGCTCCTAGGCCACAACTCTGTACATCGTGTTACTGTACTGAATAGGGTAGGCAACTGTAACACAATGGGAAGTATTTGTGTATCTAAACATATCTAAACATAGAAAGAGCACAAGAAAAGTATGGTATTATAATTTTACAGGACCATCATCATATATGCAGTCTCTCATTGATCACAATGTCCTTATGTGGCACATGATTATATTTTGGTTTAGAAACTCACTTATTTGTTATGGCACCAGGAGAAGATAACTCTTGGGTCTGTCTTTCAACATATCAAATGGGGTCAATGACTCTTGACTGACTTACCTTGTCCAATAACTTTAAATATGAAATATTTAGCAGATAATGAATGAGATGTACAAACATAAATGTTATATTGCCAAATATCCACATATTAGACTACTTTTACACATAACCACAACCAACACAATTAGGGAGAGTTTCCTCTTATTTTCCTCTTGATTAGTTTTATATTTTTTTTTCTTTTTCAGATATCTGATTAATTTCAAATTACTTTTTATCAGGGAGCACAATTGTTGGACAACATCTTGTGGACATCAGAGGTCTGTTCATTTTAACTCCTCATCTTTTACAAAAAGGTTAGTAAAAACATTTCCCCATTGGGAACCTAGTGGGAGATTTTTTCAGATCAGTAATTTTACCTACCGTTCATGGAGCTAGAAAATAATTCAATGTGCTTCAAGTAGTCTTACAAACAGAACTAGGTACTCTTCTATTAGCAGAAACTAACGATTTATGGCATTAGCCTTTGTGTTGTATGTCAAGTTGATGTTTTTATAGCCTGTACATGGCTTCTGTCTGTACAGTCATGCATCCCTCAAGAAACGGATACATTCTGAGAAATGTACTGTTAGGCGATTTTGTCATTCTGCAAATATTATAGAGTGTACTGATACAAACACAGATAGGTATAGCCCATTGCTTCTAGGCTACAAACCTGTACCGCATGTTACCGTACCGAATACCATAGACGGTTGTAACACAGTGGTATTTATGTATCTAAACATATTGAAACATAGAAAAAGTATAGTAAAGATACAATTTCATAATCTTAGTTATGTAAGATTAGATCTATATAATCTACATCTTGTATATGTGGTTCATTGTTGACTGAAATGTTATGCAGCCTATGGCTTTGTGGCTTGCAAACAACAAAAATTTGTTTCTCATACCTCTGGAGGCAGAGCAGTCTAATATCAAGGTGCCAGCATGTCTGCTGTCTGGTGAGGCTTATTTCCCAGTTGAAAGTTGGCACCCTCTCACTGTTTCCTCACGCAGTGGAAAGAGCAAGGCAATCTCTGGGGCCTCTTTTTTAAGGTCACTAATACCATTAATGAGGGCTCTGCCCTCCCAAGGGTTTCACCTCTTAATGCAATCATATTTGTTATTAGGTTTCAATATATTAATTTTGGGGGGAGTGGGTCACAAATATTCACACCATAGTAATGGTGACTCTAATCCTTAGGAAGAAATGAATGAACAGGATTATTTCTTAAATAACAATGAATAACAGCTAGAAATATAATAACTATACCATAAATACTATACTATGTTATTTTAGTTTATATAACATAAATATCAATATGCCATAAATACTACACTATTATATTAAGACTTATATTGTTTCATAACCATTGTAGAATACTCTCACAATTGTATGATGAGCAGCTGCCAACTTGCCACAGACAGTGGTCACTGGAATAATTTCCCACTGATCACAACAAATCACCAGTTTCCCCTTAGTATCGATGTTCCTTGACTTACCGTGAGGCTATGTCCTGATAAACTCATTGTAAGTTGAAAATATTGTAAATCAAAAGTGTGTTTTTCACTTAGCAATATTGCCAACTTAAAAATGGGTGTATCTAGACATAACCCTATGATAAACAGAGTAGCTTACTGAATGTCTATCACTTTTGTACCATTGTCGTGTCAAAAACTCCTTAAATTTGAATTATCTGTATTTCAAAGGCCTGTATTACAGATTAGTTTTCTCCCAAAACAACATTCATTCAAGTGTCTTCCAGTAAAATGTCAATAAGTACGGAATAAGGAACTCTATTAACTCTTTAGCAGCCACTAATACTCCCAAAAAGCTTGCATCTAGGCAATCAAATTGTATGCCTCTCAGAAATGGGTGGACTCAGGATGGTTTTATCATCAGTTGTTTGTTTTGTTGTTTTGTTTCGCTATCTTCTAGTAAGTAGAGGTAGAAGAGAAAGGCCTGAAGTGCACTTCCCCATAGTAGTGCTATTCAAAGCAGTTTTATACCTTTAAGAACCCACAGGACAAATTCCAACCTGGAAAGCAAAAGGAAACCTTCCCTAGACATCTCTTTCCCCAGATATTCAAAAAGGGGCAGACATTATTTCAGCTGCCTAGGGAAGGACTACCTGATAACCTAGATTTAATACTTCAGGAAAATTCTCTAGAATCTGACTCTTTCTAGTCCTGTCAAGGCCTGTGAAATATATAAGCTGTTGAGATTGGAAGCACTGGATATTCCAAAGACTGTATAAGGACAATAGTGAGCTGATGGGCGGACATCATGGCTTGGCAATGCGAGAAGAAAGGAAAGTAAAAGGAAGCAGATAGAAAACTGCGAGATATATCTTCTATTTAATATACTTTGCTATTGCGGATACATAGTTCTTTGGGAATGGTGACTATTTAAGCAGGGTGTGTAATCTTCCCTTACCACAGCATGTTTTCCTTTAGTCAGCTGGTAGGTCTTCTGCCTTACATGAACGATGTTGACTATTTTTGGGTTACAGGGACCAAACAGAATTACTTGGCATAGGGTTTCTTAAAACTATTTCTGCAGAACATTAGTAAAGTTTAAATAAGGATCAGGCTACCAGGAATACAGTTAGGGAACATGTGGATGAATATTTCTTTAGTAGAGGACTTCTAAAAGGCTATAATATTTGGATACATTAGGCTCATTATGAATCTCAAAAGGAGCATGTAGTAGGGCATATCTAATATATTTAGGCATAGAAACAATTTTTTCAGAGACCCTTCGTAAACAATGGGCCACAGCTTCTCCATACCAACAACCTTCAATTGGGGCATATCTGAAGTCTTCCTTTTTTGTACTACATAGCTCCCACTCTGTCAACCTTTAGGTTTCTGCAAAAATGCAGATGATCGTGGCTGACCTGTTGTTATAGCAACCTCTGAATTAATAGCCTTTACTTGTTATCATTTGGTTGGTCTTCATGTGTTTCCACAGTCATCATGGAAATCCCACTGAGACCCAGTCTGCACTGCCCATCATGGGCCTCGGTCTTTGGCCAGGTGCAGTACTCATAGAGGCGCCTCATGTCTCGCTCCTCACAGCTTGTGGAACTGATGATTACATGATCATTTTTTGTTTGGCATGCAGAGGACTTCAGACAAAATCCTGAATCAAAATTCCTTCACTAAAAGTTTATTTTGTCAAATAAATGAGCAACTTCATAAAATTAAACAAGAACAAACTAGATACATTTGCCTAGTAAATCCTTCCTCTCCTTGCCCTCTTAAGTGTTTCCCTAAACTGAGCCCCTCCCTCTTCTCTTGTATCCTTCTGATCTCTCTCCTTCCATAACTGTGTCTGTCCCTTTCTCCTCTTTCCCTTGTCCAGACCAACTGCCATTTTTAAAACTATCTTAAAACCCCAAATTGGCAGTTTCCTCTATAAATGTATCCCTCCCATGAACCACGTATATAGGCAAATACAGAATGTAAGCTGTAGACCTGAGCTAAATTAAAAGCTATAATGAAAGATTTATCTTAACCCAAACAAGTCCAGCAAATATTCACAGAATAATTTAGAATTATTTTGAGAATTCTAAATATATGAACCTATATCCACTTGTACAAATGTTGGTTAGAACGTCAGATGCTAAATTCTCAATGGCAAAAGCTGATTGGACTGACCTGCAAAATGGACTACAATATTTTGCTTTCTACAGTTAATTTTAGGGTAAAAATTAAAAGGAAACAAGAATAGATCAAAGTTTCCTAAAAACCATACCTGAAACATTTCCAATAAAAATTAACTGAATCATAATTCAATAACACAAACAAAAATAGGAAAGTATAGATTTTTTGAACAGACTAGAATAACTTCTGAAAACAGCTGGAAGTTAAAGAATGTGTTAATGTATCAGCCGTCATTTTATCTCCTACTAAAAATGGAGTTAAGCCTAAAATTGGAGACCTAATTAAAAAACAGAAATTACAATCAGGAATAGCCCCATTAGCTGAACTGAAACCCCTGTCAAAGCATTTTGAATGGAGTTTATAGTGTCGAAATATCACACGTACTCACAAAATATGTACAACACTTAGGTATCCAGAAAAGAAACTGAAAAAGGCAAAAGAAAAGGAGACAGAACCGAAAGTAAAGCTGTGCCTCTGCAGATCAAACAGCTGAGCGGGCTACTTCCCAACCAACTTCCTACCAAAAATGACACTTGTTGATATTTTAAATAGAAGAGGCATACGGACAAAATTTGTTCCATCTTATGAAATAAAAACAAAGACAAAAATATCTTAATTCAACTCAATGAGTATTTTCCAAGGATGGAAAAAACATCCAATATACTGCCATACCCTTAAATACTCAAGGTGAATTAACGTTAAATATGGATGTTTACCCTTATCAGTTCCTGGCAGATATAAGTGCTATTCTTTCTGTATTAAATCTTGCCAACTTTGCTCAACTTCTTTCTTGTAGTAAATTTACCACACAGTTTGTCTGTATTTAATATAATACATGGATTTTTTTCTCTGTCTTCCATTTCTTAGACATAGCCCTTTCATTCCTTACTGAAACACATTATTTTCTGCTCTGCAATACTACTTCTTTAAATTCAACAGAGAGACACTCCCTTGGAAAATGGATTTGTAATTTTAAATGTATACCTGAGGGACTACTTTCTGAGGTTCCAGAAAACTACTCTGCTCATAATTAAGTTGTGTCTGCTCAGGATTTGACTTTGCCCTCTCCACCATATTAGATGCAAACCCCAGGTAAGGATCTTGGCACTGTACATGATACTCTAGGGGCTAAAAACTCCACTGACATAGGTAAAATGTTTGGAGCAAAATCTATTGATAGCTCCTTCCAAATTTTTACCCAAAATGTTCAGTATTCTTTGAAGCCTGAAGAAAAGGAGACACTCAAACCTATAGTTGAAAAACTTATATCCAAGGGTCATCTTGTAGCCTTCACTAGTACTCATAGCATTCCAATCCTATGATAAAGAAACAAAATAGATTTGTTTAAGACCTAAGGGCCATCAACAAATTCACTTCCTGGTAGTAACTAACCCCAACATCACCCTGTCATCAATTCCTCCTGAAGCCATTGGCTTCACTCTCATGGGTCTTTGCTTTGTCTTTTTTCAGTATGTGTCTAGACCAGAGAAGCAATATCTTTTGCTATCACTTGGGAGGGACAGCAGTATACCCAAATAATGATGTCACAGAGGTTCACTGAAGCCTCCTTTACATTTCCTAGACCCTCAATCAATTATTAAAGTTCTAAATTTCTGTTGTTGGGATAATAATATTGGAGTGTAAAAAAGACAATAAATATATTTGTATTGTGATTTAGTTCTGCTACAATTTGTATATTATCTCCTATTTTACTGAGAGAACAAGGAAGCCTGCAAAATGATTCCATTTACTGGCCCTCAGCAGTAGCAGAAAAAAAGACATATAATTTCAAAGATAAATTGCAACCATGAGAACATATTGTTTAGTACATGATGTATCTAAGAGGGAAAATGACCTCTTCTGATAGATTAAAGACTATCCAAACTTATTTTACATCCCATGTGAAATGATAATTAAGAAGACTCCTGGGTTTAACTGGATACTGCAGACCATGGCAACCAATTTTTTTCTGATTACAACACTTCTTTATGAATTGAATAAGTCTGCAGAAAGACACCCCCTGCTCTGGGATACCAAAGGTAAACATGCCTCTGTAATCTAAAGTAGGAATTCAATAGCCTCCCCTCCTTAGGCATCTGTTTTAGTTAGAATTCTCCAGAAAAATAGAACTAATAGTATATATGGCATATATATGGAAGAGAGGGAGAGAGACTTATTTATTATAAGGAATTAACTTACATGATTATGGAGGAGGTCTGGCAAGCCTAACATCTATAGAAGTGATGTCCAATTTTGAGTCCAAAGTCTGAAACTGTTGCAGAATAGGAAAAGCCAATGTCTCACTGTGAAGGCTATCAGGCAGAAAGAGGTGATGTTCCAGTTTGAAGAATGTCATACAGGATAATTCTATGTTACCTGGCAGAGGATCAGTCTTTTGCTTTGTTCAGGACTTCAAGTGATTGGATGAAGCTTACCCACATTATGGAGAATAATCTGCTTTACTCACTCTACTAATTTAAATGTCAGTCTTATCCAAAAGCACCTTGATATGGTTTGGCTGTGTCCCCACCCAAATCCTACATTGAATTATAATAATCCTTATGTGTCAAAGACAGGGCCAGTTGGAGATAATCGAATCATGGAGGCAGTTTCCCCCAGATTGTTCTCTTTCTTAGAAGCATTGGAACAGACTCATACAATAAATTTGTACTGGGTTGTGGGATGCTGCTGTAAAGATACCTGAAAATGTGGAAGCGACTTTGGAACTGGGTAACAAGCAGAGGTTTGAAGTTTGGAGGGCTCAGAAGAAGACAGGAAAATGTGGGAAGGTTTGGGACTTCCTAGAGACTTGTTGAATGGCTTTGACCAAAATACTGAGTGATATGGAATGAGGTCCAAGCTGAGGTGGTCTCAGATAGAGATGAAGAACTTGTTGGGAACTGGAATAAAGGTCACTCTTGCTATGTAAAGAGCCTGGAAGCATATTGCCCCTGCCCTAGAGATATGTGGAACTTTGAACTTGAGAGAGATGATTTAGGGTATCTGGGAGAAAAAATTTCTAAGTGGTGAAGTGTAGTGTTCAAGAAGAAGCAGAGCATTAAACTTTGGAAAATTTGTAACCTGACAATGTGATAGAAAGGAAAACCCCATTTTCTGGGGAGAAATTCATGCTGACTGTAGAAATTTGCATAGGTAATGAGGAGCCAAATGTTAATCACAAAGACAATGGTGAAAATGTCTCCAGGGCATGTCAGAGACCTTCACGACAGCCCCTCCAATCACAGACCAAGAAGCCTAGAAGGGAAAAAATGGTTTTGTGGGCCAGACCCAGGGCCTTGCTGCTTTGTGCAGTCTCAGGACTTGGTGCAGTCTCGGGACTTGGTGCAGTCTCGGGACTTGGTGCACTGCATTATAGTTATAGCTAAAAGGGACCAATATACAGTTCAGGCTGTTGCTTCAGAGGGTGCATGCCCCAACCTTGATGGCTTATATGTGGTGTTGAGCCTGTGCATGTACACAAGTCAAGAATCGATGTTTGGGAACCTCCGCCTAGATTTCAGAGGATGTATGGAAATGCCTGGATGTCCAGGCATAGGTGTGCTGTGGGATGGAGCCCTCATGGAGAACCTCTGCTAAGGCAGTGCAGAAGGGAAATGTGTGGTGGGAGCCCCCACAAGGAGTCCCTACTGGGGCACTGCCTACTGTAGCTGTGAGAAGAGGGGCACTGTCCTCCAGACCCCAGAATGGTATATCTGCCAACAGCTTGCACCATGCACCTGGAAAAGCTGCACTCAATGCAAGCCCATGAAAACAGCCAGAAGGGAGGCTTTACCCTGCAAAGCCACAGGGGTAAAACTGCCTAAGACCATGGGAACCCACCTCTTGCATCAGAATGACCTCACGTGACACATAGAGTCAAAGGAGATCATTTCATAGCTTTAAAATTTGACTGCCCCATTGGACTTTGGACGTGCATAAAGCCTGTAGCCCCTTTGTTTTGGCCACTCTCTCCCATTTGAAACAGGTGTATTTACCCAATGCCTGTACCCCCATTGTATCTAGGAAGTAATTAACTTGCTTTTGATTTTACAGGTTTATAGGAGGAAGGGGCTTGCCTTGTCACAGATGAGACTTTGGACTGTGGACTTTTGAGTTAATGCTGAAATAAGACTTTGATGGACTATAGGGAAGGCATGATTGGTTTTCAAATGGGAGGATATGAGATTTGGGAGGAGAAATGGGTGAAATGATATGGTTTGGCTGTGTTCCCACCCAAATCTCACCTTAAATTGTAATAATCCCCAAGCGTCAAGGGCAGAGTCAGTCAGAGACAACTGAATCATGGGGGTGGTTTTCCACATACTGTTCTCATGGTATTGAATAAATCTCGTGAGAACTGATGGTTTTATCAATAGGAGTCCCCCTGCACAAGCTCCCTGCCTATCATGTAAGATATGACTTTTCTCCTCATTTGTCTTCTGCCATGATTGTGAGGACTCCCTAGCCATGTGGAATTGTGAGTCAATTAAGCCTTTTTTCTTTATAAATTACCCAGTCTTGGGTATGTCTTTATTAGCAGCATGAGAACAGACTAATGCACACCCTCACAGAAATACCCAGAACAATATTTGATCAAATACCTGGGTACCTCATGGCACATACGTTTTTAAGTTGGCATGTAAAATTAACCATCACAGCATTCCTAACTACAAAGAGCTGTCTGTTAGTGCATAAGTGACTTACACAAGCCCTTGAGATTTTCACTCAATTTTATGGGAATCATCAAAAATCCATCACTTAATATAGCCTGCCTCTGATGCAGTTGCAAAGGATTATCCGTCTTGTCTTAGGGCAACAGCTGCCTCTGCAAAATGTATTAATAATCCTGATGACCTATTTCTAGGCTTCCCACTTGACCTCATGGATTCTCATGCAGTTCAGACATTACTGTTGATTTAGAAAACACAAATATTTTCAGCCAACCAATTAATCTCTTATGAGATTCTATTACTCACCTCCTCTCACATTACTATTCACCCTTACAAAATCCTGAATCCTGCCACTTTCCTGCCCATGCCAGAATAAGGAAAGCCTCATGATTGTCTTAGTTGGGGAATGCTCTGTGCCTTACTCTCCCTTCTTAAAGGCTCCTAATGAAACCCTGATCTAATGTTATTGATAGATCATATTTTAAATCTGAAACTGGAGATAATCAAGCAGTATATGCTATGACAAACCTGAGCTCTCTTTTACAATAATCTTCTACCTGTGGTAAAATGACTCAAAGTGGCAGAGGTTATTACATTCACTAAATCTTGTCAACTAGCCAAAGACTAGAGAGTAAACATACACACAGATAGCAGTTGTGCTTTTTGAGTAGTACATAACTTTGGGATTTTTTTTTTTGTAAACAAAGGGGATTTCTCACTTCTGTTGAAACCCACATTAAAAATGGAGAAGATAAGGGACATTTTGATGCACTGCTGCTTTTAGGGAAGCAGCTATTATAAAGGTTGAGGTTCATGTGAAAACAGACAACATGGAAACTAAAGGACATTCTTCATCATATCATTATGCCAAAAAAGTCACTTTAACAAAAATTATAATCCAATATAAGCCCTCAAGGATAAATCTGGAGGGACTTAAAGAGGCTATTCTTAAGCATTAACATTTAGTTTTGAAGAGGCTGAATGCTTCACTCAAAATACCTGCTTGGTGGCACAATATGATGCAAGTCAATATAAGTTAAGTTTCTCCATGAAATTACTCATCATGGAATAGACAATTTGATTAGTATCTTAAATCAAATTTGATAGGGAAACTTTAAAAACGATGCTGAGATTATTTTAGGGTCATATGTCACCTGTCAAGAACATAATTTTGAAAAAACTGAAAGTGGGACATGGCCAGGAACTGGGGCCCAAGAACCCTTTGAAATCCATCCTATTAATTTTATTCAACACCAACTGTATTAGTCAGGGTTCACCAGAAAAACAGAATCAACAGGATATTTATTGATATATAAGAGGACATTTTTAATGTGAATTGGCTCACACAATTACCAGGATAGGACTATGTGAGTATTCTCCAAAATAACTTTTTCTTACCTAGATCCTTAGAATGAAAGGAATCAATGTTACAGTCGGTGTGGAATACAGACCGGTTGCTCACCATTTCATTTTTGACCCTGTTTTTCTCTTTTAACATTTTTTTGAGAATTGATAAGCCAGGAGTTTATCATATAATGTGTGCTCAATATGTGTCCCAGTTCCCTTTATTTCTGACTTTTTGACAAGTCTCCAGGACCTTTCATATCCAGTAGTAAACATTTAACGATTACTTAATGCATGCTACACACTAAGTAAGCACTTTAAAAAAATCTTTAGAACAAAGCTGAGATATTTATGATATTATTGCCCCCAATTATGCAGACCAAAAACGTCCCATGATATGTGGTCTGCAAGCTGCAGAACCAGGGAAGTCACTTGCATAATTCGGCCCATGTCTGAAGACCTGAGAACCAAGGCAGTTGATGCTGTAATTTCCAGGCCAAAGGGCTGAGAATCAGGAGATCTGTTGGTGAAAGTCCTGAAGTTCAAAGGCCCAAGAACCAGAAGCCCTGTTGTCCAAAGGCAGGAGGAGATGGATGTCCCAGCTCAGGAGGAGATGGATGTCCCAGCTCAAGAAGAGAAAGCAAGTGTATTCTTCTTCTGCCTCTTCATTGTCTTTGGTCATGTCCTTAACAGATTGGATGATGCCCACCCACTTTGGTCAGGGCAGATCTTCTTTCTTCAGTCTACTGATTTAAATGTTAATATTTTCTAAAAACACCATCATAGATACACCCTAAAATGTTTTACTGCCTATCTGGGCACCTCTTATCTCAATCATGTTTACACATAAAATTAACCATTACATCCACCCTCTATTGGATTTGAATATTTTTTAGTTATTGTATGTCTATTTTCAGGATGGGTCAAAATACTGTATTGGAAAAAAGCCGCAACACATATAGACACTTAAAAAACTGTCTGGCTTTGTGCTTGCAACCTAGGACACCTAAACTTTTACAGTAAGTGAGGTTCACTCTTTAAAATGACCATTATAAAAGAATTCTGTCAGGTGTTATCCCTTAATCAAAAACCACACTTTCCTTATACTCTAATCCTCAAAAGTTTCAAAGGACCAATCGGATTCTTAAATTAAAATTAGCAAAACTTTTAGGAAGCCTTGAGCTCACTTGTCCAAAAGCTTCCCCCACTAGTCCTATGGGCATTTGGTTTATTCTCTTGAGGACAAACTAGTTATTCCTCTATGAATTGGTAATATGAAGGTTCACATGTCTAGAAATTTAAACTCTGGCCCTAAACTCTGCCCTACTTCATGCAGAGATAGCAAAATTTTGCCAGGTTAAAACCACCTTCCTACAACATATTTCTAAACAGCCTCTTTGTGATATTCAACTTTGTCTCTTGGAAGAGACATTACAGAAAAACTGTTCTTGAACTTCATTGGAAGGAACTTTACCAGGTATTATTAATAACACATACAACACTGAAACTCTGAGGAGTCAACCCTTGGATTCATGTTTTACAACTTAATGAAACAATTTAGAATTCCATACAATTGGAAGGCTATTCAAATAGAGAACTTCACACTGAAGATTCTCAGGGATCTCCCAGAAGCATCTGATCTGAGCTTCCACCCAGTATGTCAGACCAAGACCCCTATCTAATTCCTGGTTATTTATTTTATTTTTCACCTGTTTGCTTGTAATAATTATTCTTCTCACTTTCTATAGATCCCTTGCTATTGTGCACTCATAATGGCATTCTTTCCCTCCTTATTAAACCTGTTAGGTCAGAACATACTCATTCTAATGCCTCTTTATGTTGTCCTAAACAATTGTCACTTTTGTCAGTCTATGGACTGCTAGACATACCATCTGTCACTGGACCTCTATAATAAAAACCCCTGAACAATTCCAGTCTTATCAGTTGAAACCACAGAGGACTGTAGTTGATAGCATTTCCATTTGCACATATGTGGGCAACTGACCTTACAGAAACCAACATAGAACTCTAATAGTGTCCTTCTCCTCTGGGAAAAGAATAAATTATTACAATCTATTGATCAGACTCTATGTTTCTAAGCTTCAATTCATCAACCTTCATATTGTGTTGGGCCAAATAACACCTAGAAGAGACTAATAGAGATCCAAATATGTAACCCAAATAATGTAAAGCTAAAGTGCTGACCCCGTGGTATAAACAACTTATTTTTTTCTGGATCTCCATGTGCCCCCACTGAACACTGTTTTCTTTATGACCAGGATACCTGATCCTGCTTGCATCAGACTAATAGCTCATATATTTTAGGAACACATAGGAGTATCCTGAGATTTGTCTGTACACAGAGACTCTAATCTTAATTCCATAAATTAATAGTAATCCAAAATGCTGCTATTTTTGATTATTCAAACGCACTACCTGGTGGACCTAATGACTCATTATTTATATAAACAATCAGAGTAGTATTCAAATTGATGGGAATCACAAATAGAAAAGACTGTAAGAAACATAAAACTAATTCTGGCAAAAGTTATTAGTAACAACACCTCTACCCTAGATGGAATATAGATTAGTCTCAACTCATTGGCACAAATAGTGATGGACAAGTGCATTGCTCTAAAATTCTTGTTGGCTTATCATCACAGCATTTGTTCCATTGCCTTACTTCTTGCTGTACTTAGATCAATGAAATATGCAAGATGAAATAGGGTGAATATTCCTTAAGGAAAAAAAAAAGCTATTTTGCTTTTAAAGTTTGATTCTATGGCCCATGGCATTTGTTTGTTTGGCCTGTGTTGGTCAAATAGAGTTAAAAACACCTTACAAGGACTATTAATTGTTTTTGGTTCTGTTATAGTGTTTGTGATGCTGGTCCTCAGAATTCTATCCAGAGATTTAAATGCTTATACACAACTACTGTTTCATGAGATACTCACCATGATGATGCAACAAGAAAAAGGTCAAACAATCTTACAATGCAATTGACTATGAGGATTACTAAACAATCTCTGAGTGGTGAATATACGGATCTGAAGCATTCTCAGAACTGGTCAATCTCTCACAAGGGAGAGATTGATTTAAAAAGTGGACTGAGAGACTAAATATACAAATGGTCAATTGTCAGACTATATACGAAATGGAAATCTGACTCATGACCTGTAGCAGTCAACACAAAAAAGCAAACTATTGTTTACAGTAACCATAGCAGAAAGTCAGAATACTATCTGTGGCAACCAGTCCATGAAGCCAAAAAATAACCTATACAGCAATTAGCCCCAAATGGCCAGTATTTGATTAATAACTGACAATTTCTCCAATAATTGCCCCACTTCCAAGTTAGGACCAATTGGAGAAAGGAAAATATGCATGCCTAACTAATAACATAGTATGTCCTTACTTCTAGTTAGCCTGTCTACAGATTTCCCATGTCAATATCAGCCAAACACACCTAAAAAACTCTTCATTTTTTTACTCTAAAGCTTTATCACTCCTTTGCTTGTCTTTGAATCCCTACCAAAATGCAAGTGATGAAGGCTGACTTCCTTGGTATAGCAAGCTCTGAATAAATAGCTTTTGCTTATTTTCATTTGAGTAGTCTTCCCATCTATTTACATATCACTCAATATATGATTTCTTGAATTTATTTATCCATTGGGTGCTATAGGTTAGCAGTAGTATGTGTTCTATTGTTTTTGGAGAATTTTCTGAAGGCATAACATATCAAGGCAGTATAATATAGAAAAAGTAAGGAATGGAAGTCAGAAGACCTGAATTCCAGTCCTAATTCTCTCAGTGGCATTCCTTCAATTTTTCTCTGTAGACTTTTACCTCTGCAGTCTTTGGTTTTAAGTGCAATGCAAATGTTAGAATGAGCAATCTTAAAGGATAATTTTATAATGTCTCTGGAGTGGTGCCAGCTGCAAGTGCAACTCTTTTGATTTCTTGATTTAAGACTCATATCCTCAACATCCCCCCACCCCACAATGCACACACTTTTCTAGTTCTACAATTCCTATTATGGCTACAAATGGATTAAATAATTAACTAATTTTAAAATCTGCAGTTACTGACAAATAGAATTTTGAAATTGCCTCACAGTGGGTAGTTTTCATTAATTTATTTGACCTCAAATGTCCTTCCAGCCATACCTCTCAGATAACTTGACAAAGAATATAGGATTTGAATAAGTGTGGTTTGAATATAGGATTCTAAGTATTTAAATATAAGGATTGAATAATGTGGAACATTATCAAAAGGGATTTTGCATGATGAGAGTGTTTGTTTAATTTGTTTATTCTCTTTTCTCTGAGAAACTTGAGGCTGTTCAAGTTTCCCTAATACCCTGCCGAAAGGCTTTGATTTATTCAAACGCCATAATCCCAGCCGATGAACTCAGGCTGGTTCAATCATCATATTTTTCAATTCTTTCTATTTCTCGACTGTAAAAATCTAAGCCAGAGTAATATGGGTAGAAGCTGACGGTAGCATAGATAAGTGTTTCTCAAAGGATTATAGGGCTGGTATCCAGGAGGACGAATGTTGTAGAAAAAGAGTAGGAGGCCAGAGGCTAAAACTCTTGAGCTGAAGTTCTGTCTCTGCTGCTTCTTGGCTGGCTGACTTTGAGCATATCAATTTACATCTCTGGGTTTTAGTGTTTTTACCAATGAAATTAGACAAAGAAAGGCTAACAATAACTCCCCCTCTTGCTTCATGGCATTTTTTGAAACTAAAATAAAAGATAATACGGTACATAGAAGATACTGTAATTTGCAATATGTGATATGAATGTTAAGTGGTAGTTTTATTATTATTTTAATACAAGAAAGGAGATTAAATTATATCCACCCTTCTAATGGTAGGTTCATATTACTTTATGAAATAATTCAGTTGATGATGCAAAATTAGACATTTAAGAGAGCCACAAGATCTGATCCAACATAAACAAAGATACAGAATAAAACCCCAAACCAAACTTGTTGCAAGGCTTTTTTATCCATCAGAGACTTCAAAGCCTTAAAAATAATGATGGCCAGCATAGTTATAGCCCACTATGTTGTAGGCCTGAGGCTCATTATGACATCCCAAGTGTAAAACCTAAGAAGGAAAAAAAAATACAAAAAACTAAAGCCTCAAAAATATCTAACCAGGAAAGGGTGAGTGAAATATAAAAGCAATGCAAAGCTGCGGGCGGTGGCTCCAGCCTATAATCCCAGCACTTTGGGAGGCCGAGGCAGGTGGATTACCTGAGGTCAGGAGTTCAAGACCAGCCTGACCAACACAGTGAAACACTATCTGTACTGAAAATTCAAAAACTAGCTGGGCTTGGTGGCGGACGCCTAAAATCTCAGCTACTCAGGAGGCTGAGGCAGGAGAATCGCTTGAACCCGGGAGGTGGAGGTTGCAGTGAGTTGAGATTGATCATGCCATTGCACTCCAGCCTGGGTGATAAAGCGAGACTCTGTCTCCATAAATAAATAAATAAATAAATAAATAAATAAATAAATAAATAAATGCAATGCAATGCAAAATAACAGTGATCAATATCCAGGGGTTACAGAATTTTTGCATCAATAATAGGGCTACTGCAGACTTAAAGGGAAGAGAACCATTATAACAGAACAGAAGCAGTCAGGAAGGTCTAGGAATGAATTTAATTTCAAGAACACTACTTAAAGATAGGTAAAGAATCTCAATATCCGATAAATATGTGAATTTCATTAGAGTCAGTGTGGGTATCACATTTGTATCTATTTTCTTAGCAGCCAATATGCAATCAAACTAAGTATAATTTAACTGAAATTTGGAGTTGAGGGACTTCAAAAATCATGCTTGGATAAGCAGTGTATAATATCTAAATTACAAAGTTGAATGATTGCATAGTAATGAAATGAGAGAAGGAGAAAATAAGGACAAAATAAAAGGGGTTATATATCATATTAAATCATTCTTCTGCTTTACTACTTTTGTTATAAATAAAACCTATTTCTTCTAGTATGATATTTTGATATGTTTATTTATTTTAGTTTTCATTGCTTTTCAACATTTGTTGCTCTTTTGGCCATATCAATTGTGATGGTCAGAGACAGCAGCTACATAGTCAGTAACTAACATTTGTTTTTGTACATTGATCCTTTTTAAATCGGTTCTTTACCCACTACTATAGTTTGGCTTGTTTGACCCTTGCAAATCTCCTGTTGAAGTTTGATCCTCAGTGTTAGGGGTGGAGCCTAAAGGGAGATGTCTGGGTCTTGGGGGTGGATCTCTCATGAATGGCTTGGTGATACCCTCATGGTAATGAGTTCTTACTCTCTTCATTCCCAAGAGACCTGGTTGTTAAAAAGAGCCTCGTATCTTTTTTTCTCTCTCTTGCCATGTGATTTGTGCACATGCCAGCTCCCCTTCACTTTCTGCCAGGAGTGGAAGCAGCCTTAAGCCCTCACCAGAAGCAGATGTTGGTACCATGCTTCTTGTACAACCTCCAGAACCATGAGTCAAAAAAAGTCTTTTCTTTGCTAATTACCCAGCCTTAGCTATTCTTTAATAGCAATTCTAAATGGACTAAGACATTTTCATTTAATCATATCATCATTTACTATTCTTTTATCCTGTGATGTAAATGTTTCCATGTAAATTTACATGGAAACATTTTGTGACACAATGTCACAAAATCTCAAGATCATTTAGAGCCCCATAGCTTGATCTTGAAGCCAGTTCTCCCATACTGGGGGTCCCCAAACCCCAGGCCACAGACCAGTACTGCACAGCAGGAGGTGAGCAGCAGGTGAGTGAGCATTACCACCTGAGCTCTGCCTCCTGTCAGATCAGGCATGGCATTATATTCTCCTAGGAGTGTGAAATGTATTGTAAACTGCACACATGAGATCTAAGTTGCAAACTCCTTATGAGAATCTAATGCCTGATGATCTGAGGTGGAACAGTTTCATCCCAAAACCATTCCCTACCCCACCCCACCACGTAGTCCATGGAAAAATTATCTCCCATGAAACCAGTCTCTGGTGCCAAAAAGGCTGGGGACTGCTGTCCTATATCACATGACATTTGCAAAAAAAAAAAAATTGCAAAATTTCTTGTGACACTTCAGATTTCACTATGTGAAATGAAAGCATAATAATTTGTCTCAAGAAGTTAAAATTACAAGGAATTTCTTATACTGGCTCTTTAAGAGATGTGGAAAAATTAAGAAGCAAATCAGATCCTCACAAAAGAGTTTTTAAATTTTTTTTGCTGTCTACTTTTTTTAAGTATAACTCACTAAACTCTTGGTGGCTTGGACAATAAATTTTTAGAAGGCTTAACAATTTACCCCACATTTTGTCAGGAACAAGTTCTGTTTTCTACTCACACTGTAAACACACATCGTAGCTGCAGAAAAGAAATACGTAAACACATCAAAGAAAATAGCCTCCTCTACAATATGGGACCTCAACTTCTCTGGAACTCAGTGACACTCATGCTTTTGTTTTCTTTTTAATTACTTCTCCAAAGCAGAACACAAATCGGTTTTAGGATATTTTCTGAAACCGGTTAAAATCAGGAAAGCGTCTTTAGTTTTTGTCTGTTTGTTTTTGTGGTTGTAATTAAATATAAATATAAAATAAATTTCCCACAGTTTATCTGATGTGCAAAATGTATGATTCAAATCCCACAGTTGAACTCCTAGAAAAATAGAAGAATCCAGTTTTCCTGCATCCTAGAAGATTTTGGATTACAATGTGATTGTAAACAGACTAAAGAGACAGTCTTCATCAATGGGCAGGATGCTTCTATGAATTAGTGACTTTTGTCATTCATTCCTATGAATATTTGCTTTTTAAAAAATGATATAAAATTTACACCAGTTTCCACACCAGCCCATGTTTCTCGGTGTCAAAAGAAATCTCTTCTTTTCTGTAGCCACTGAATAGGTAGTAGATTAACAACCATCTGAACTGACCATTCTAAATATAGAAATGTCTGGTGCATGCGAACTGCTTTTGGGTTTGCCATCTCTCATGAATATTCTTATGAGAGTCCCAGTGTAACTTTCTCCTTTGTGTTATGCATATTCAGGTCTTCCCCTTGTCAGGGCCTTGTCACTAGAAGATAAATCCTGATTCATCCTCCAGTCACCTGATTGAACCTGCACTTCCATTTAGATATTATCAGTTCCTAAATCTCAAAGACATTTTGTTCTTATTTATTCTCCCTTAAAGTCAGTTGATAGAAGTGCATTTTTCTCCTGGCTTAAGGATTAGATGATTTCTTAGACTACAAAGAAATAAATTAAATATGCTATATTTCTCTTAAGACTTGGTTTTAAATATCTGACTCCTGGCCAGGCACGGTGGCTCACGCATGTAATCCCAGTACTTTGGCATCCTCCTGTTCAAGGCAGGAGCTTCAGGTGCTGGCGACCAGCCTGGACAATATAGTGAAACCTCTTTTCTACAAAAAATAAACGTAAAAATAAAAATTAGCCAGGCATGGTGATGCAGACCGGTAGTCCCAGCTATGTGGGAGGCTAAGGCATAAAGTAAATATTGCTTGACCAAAGAAGTTTGAGGCTGCAGTGAGCTGTGAATACACCACTGTACTTTAGCCTGGGAAAGAGACCCTGTCTCAAAACAAAAACAAAGCAAATTGACTCTTTAAAAAGACTCTACTTCCATTCTAACCTACACTCCACTATCATGCCTATGACTGTTCTTGAGATGTAAGAAACTCTAAATGCGTTGGGGGAGGGGGGTTGTTTTTGTTTTTTATGTTTGTTTCTTAATAAATTTTCCCTAAAGTGTGTGTGGGGGGCGCATTACTTTTATCTGGGAAGAAGGCAGCTACTAATACTTTAGATTTTGGAAATCATAAAATTATTTCTCATCTAATACTATATATATGTATTGTTTTCTACATTTCATATCCTACAAATTAGATAGAGAGTAGCTAGAATAGGAAACCTATTAAGTGTGATAGGAATGTTGTGTTAATGACTGTGAAATATAAACAGCATGTATACCATAGTGATTAAATGCATGGCATCTAGCAAAAAGCTGGCTTGCTTTAAATTTTGTTTTTTTTTAAATTAATCTCTTTATTTATGGTCAGTTATTTAACCTCTCTGTCCATGAGTTCATACTAATTGAACTCAGAAGAAAAGAGGAGAGAAGAGAGAAGGGAAAGAGAGGAGGAGAGGGAAAGGAGGGGAGGGGAAAGAAGAGAAGAGGGGGCAGGGGAGGAGATGGATCCTACATACCTAAGCCCTTATTAAGCAATCTACTATTAGATGATAAGCTTCATCTACCAAAGAAACAACTGGGAAAAATTTTAGTAAATGGACTGAGAGAGAGCTATTTAAAATTCAAAATATACACCTAAGACTAAAACTAAAATGGAAAAATAGGAAGACTAATGGAGCAACGAAAGACTGATATATAAATATTATATGTTGTAACAAAGGAGGAATAATGTAACTAAAAAATGGAATGACAAGGGAGTAGACAAGAGCAAAATAGAATAAATTCATTGCATGAGAAATAGGGGGTGTTAAAAGACAGTGATAAAAATTAATAAACCAGATAGTAAGATTAAAGAAGAAAACAAGGGTCAACAGTCATTTAAAATTATAAGATTAAATATGAAAACATAAACTTTTTAATACCAAAGGAATCTATAGTCAGTGCAATTTCTATCAAAATTCTGATGTCATTCTTCACAGAAACAGAAAAAAAAAATCCTAAAATTCTTATGGAATCACAAAAGACCCCAAATAGCCAAAGCAATCTTGAGCAAAAAGAGCAAAGTTGGAGGCAAAAGGTACAAAATTTATTTAATTAAAGGATATAAAGTTCAATTCAACAAGAAGAAGTTCTAATGATCTATTGCACAGCATTTTCACTATAGTTTATAATAATGTATATTTTATGCTAAAAAGATTTTTAAATGTTCTCACCACAAAGAAATAATAAGTATGTGAATGATAGATATGCTAATTACCCTGATTTAGTTATTCCGGAATATATACATGGATCTTAACATCACATTGCACCTCATAGGTATCAGGAAGAATAAGTCAGCAGAAGAGCTAAAAAATATAACCAATAAGCAAAATCTTATGGGTATACATCTAACTCTACATGTTGAAGATAAATTACTCATTCTTCTCAAGTGTCCATGACATATTCACAAAAATTAATTATATTTTAGTTAACAAAACCTCAGGAATTTCCATAATTTGAAAATATTACAAAGAACACTCCTGATGACAGTGCAATAAAACCAGAAATTATTAGGAAAAAAAAAAAACTTAAAGGCCTTTCTACCTGTAAGTATAAAAAAAATTCTATTAAACAGCTCTTGGGTAAAACAAAACATATAAACTTAATTTTTTTTAAATAATAATGCTGCCTATTAGAATCTATGACATATTTAAAGCAGTGATTAGCACTAAACACTTTTATCAAAATAAGTGAAAGTATAAAAATAAATGACTTTAATTTCGCTCATAAAACTAGCAAAACGACAACAAAGTAAATTAAAACAATATGCAGTAGTTCCCCTGATCTGCAGAAGATGTGTTCCAAGATCCTCAGTGGATCCCTGAAACCAAAGATAATATTGAACTCATTTACCATTAATTGGAGCACGTTTCTGTTCATGTATTCCATCAACAAATATAATGCCTTTTTCATCTTAACTTAGCGCTTATCTTGCACTGTGGCTGTAACATTTGAATTTTGAGGTGTGACAGCAACACTAGTGCAAATTTCTTTTTTTTCTTCACAGTTTCACAGATAGAAGATTTGTCTATGGATCTTCAGATCTTAGATAGATCTTAGTGAAAATTTACCTTAGATCTTAGCAATCTTAGTATATGATTTTTTTCTTAAGTCTAGAACTTTCACCTTTTTACTGAAAGGAAGCATTTACAGCTTCTCTTTGGCATATCCAAATCGCCAACCTCACTTCTCTTACACTTTGGGGCTGTAATTAAGTAAAATAAGGGTTATATAAACACAAGCACTGTGTTATGAAGACAGTGGATCTGATAACCAAGATAGCTACCAAGTGACTAATGGGTGGGTAGCATATGCAGTATGGACACACTGGACAAATGGATGGTTCACCTCCCAATAGGACAGAGAGGGATTGATGAGATTTCATCATGCTACTCAGAATGGCACAGCAATTTAAAACTTATAAATTGTTTACTTCTGAAATTTTTTATTTAATATTTTTGGGCAGAAGTTGACATCAAGTAACCAAAACCACAGAAAGTAAAACCATAAATGACGAGAGACTACTGCACCCAAAGTAGAGAAACCTAAAGACTCTAACAAAAATTTTATAACTGATGAACAGATTCAGTGAAGTTGCAGGATACAAAATCAATATACAAAAATCAGTAGCATGTCCGTACATGAGCAATAAAGTAGCTGAAAAAGAAATCAGGAAGGTAATCCCATTTACAATAGCTACAAAAAATAAAATACTAGGAATAATTTTAACCAATAAGATAAAAGACCTGTATAAGGAAAAGTTCAAAACACAAATGAAAGAAATGGAAGAGGATACAAACATATGGAAAGACATCCCATGCTCATGGATTAGAAGAATTAATATTGTTAAAATGACCATACGACCCAAAGCAATCTACAGATTTAATGCAATTCTTGTTGAAACACCAATGACATTCTTCAGACATAGAAAAAAAATCATAAAATTTTTATGAAATCACGTAAGTTCCTGAATAGCCAAAACAATCCTGAACAAAAAAAAATAAGGGAGCTTGAAGCATCACACTACGATATTCTAAACATCTTACAAAGCTATAGTAACCAGAAGAGCATGGTGTTGACATAAAAACAAACACAGAGACCAATGGAACTATAGAGAATAGAAAATCAAGAAATGAATCCATATACCTACAGCCAACTGATTTTTGACAAAGGTGCCACAAACACTCACTGGGGAAAGAACAATAAATATATAGCAATATAAAGCAATATATCATTATGTAACATATAAAGTAATAAATCATTCTTGGAAAACTGGATATCCACAGTCAGAAGAGACCTCTACCTCTCACCCTATACAAAAATCAAGTCAAAATGAATCAAACACCTAAATGTAATACTTGAAACTATAAAATTACTAAAAGAAAATATAGGGGAAATGCTTCAGGACATTGGTCAGGAAAAGATTGTAGGGATAAGACTTCAAAAGCAGAGGCAACAAAATCAAAAATAAACAAATTAAATTATATCAAACTATGAAGCTTCTGCACAGCAAAAGCAAGAAAACAACCAACAGAGTAAAATGACAGCTTACCAAATGGGAGGAAATATTTGCAGACTACTCATTTGAGAGCAGATTAATATCCAGAATATACAAAGAATTCAAACATCTCAACAGAAACAAAATCTGATTTAAAAAATGAGCAAATGGTCTGAAAAACATTTCTCAAAAGAATACATAAAAATGGCCAACAAATATATCTAAAAATGCTTAGCATCGCTAATCATCAGGGAAATGCAAATCCAAACCACAGTGAGATATCATCTCACCGCAGAAAGGATGGTTATTATCAAAAACACAACAATAAGAAATGCTGGCAAGGATGCAGAGAAAAGTGAACCCTTTTACATTACTGGTAGAGATATAAATTAGTATAGTCATTATGGATAACAGTAAGGAGCTTCCTCAAAAAACTACACATAGAACTACCATATGATCCAACAATCTCACTACTAGGCATTTATCCAAAGGAAGGAAATCAGTATATTGAAGACATCTGTACCTCCATGTTTATTGCAGCACTATTCATAATAGTCAAGAAGTGGAATCAACCTCGGAGACGGAGCTTGCAGTGAGCGGAGATCGAGCCACTGCACTCCAGCCTGGGCGACAGAGCGAGATTCCGTCACAAAAAAAAAAAAAAAAAAGAAAAAAAAAAGAAAAAGAAAATAATGTGGTATAGATACACAACTGCATATAGTTCAGAGATAAAAAAGAATGAAATCCTGTAATTTGCTGCAACATGGATGAAAGTGGAGGACATTATGTTGAATGAAATAAGCCAAATATAGAAAGTTAAATACCACATGTTCTCACTGGTATGAGGAAGCTTAAAAAGTTGATCTTATAGAAGTAAAAAGTAGAACAGAGGATACTAGAGGCTGGGAGGGGGAGGAAAGTATAGGGAGAAATTTGTTTTAAAGATACAAATTACAGCTACATAGGAGGAATAAGTTCTAGTGATCTGTACCACTTTAGGATGACTATAGATAATAATAATACATTATATAGGTTTCAAATAGCTAGAAGGAAGATGTTGAATGTTCCCAACACAAAGAAATGACAAGTGTTTGAGGTGATATATATATTAATTACCCTGATCTGATCACTATACATTATATGTATAGAAATATCACTATGTCCCCAATAAAAATATATGATTATAATGTCAATTTAAAAATAAAGTATAAAACATAAACAAAAAAGAAAAGAAGAAATAAAAAATTTGTGAGGTAAAAAAATATAAAGAATAGAGTATATTAATAATTGAATGGCTAATTGATTAGGGAAATACAGGTTAGAGAAAATGACCTTATAAGAATTGGAAAGCTTACTTTGGCCAATATTCATGTAAAAATAGAGAAAGTTATTAAAAGACTTCTCAGTTTAAAAGAACACTAGGACTAGAAGTTTTTATAGGAGAAGTCTACCAAATTTTTAAAGACCTGATGGTATCAATGGTATATAAATTGTTCCAAAGCATTGAAAGGAAAACAATAAACAGGAATGATAATGCAGATACTAATGAAATTGGTTGTCTACAGGAAATGGATAGGAAAAAGGTAGAATAAAAGGGGGAATGGAAATGGTATAATAGCGACGAGGGCGAAGTGACACTTCTCTGAATCAATTTTTTTTTTATGGCTCTGGCTATTGACCATAGTAATTCTTTATATACTCGAAAAATAAATGAACCATTATAATGAACCAGGATATGTGGAAACAAACTAAAATTTAAATTATAACAAATGAACCTAACTGCTGTGTATGGCTAGTAAAACCACACTGAAGTGAATGGGAGAGCAAGGAACTAACTTAGGTAACTTGGAAAGTATGATTTGACTCAATGTTGTAAAGCTAGACAAAATAAGCTGTAACAAACTCTGTTCTCTAAGTAGTAAATGTTTTTCTCCCAGGGTTATTGTGTAGCAATTCCGAAACTGATTTATATGTTTAGTAATACTGGAAAAATAAGTAAATACAATGTAATAAGACCCACTTTTCTCAGATTTGGACAGAAGCTGGTAATGACAAGAAAATGGGAAAATGTTGGACTCAAACCTGTGGTTTTGTATTTAAATTAGAGATAACAGTATGAACTCATAGTTTTTAATATATACATTAAAATATAGATACATGCATGTGTGACTTTGTCTATATATATATGAACATATATATTATGTATATGTGTATGTCTGTGTGTGGGTGTACATATTTTCTATCTCTGTTAATGGAACTGTGTGTGTGTGTGTATGTGTGTGTGTGTGTGTGTGTGTGTGTGTGTGTGTATTCTACCTCTGTCCATGGAAAGGCATAAAAAGGCATGTCACTCCAGAAACAATGAGCATACCTGGAGCCCAGATCCTGATTTCTCTGTACTATTCTTCAAATAAACGGAACAGGACTCCTCAGAGAATTGAGGCAAGAAAAATACATATGAATCAAAAATACCTTTCTAGGCCAGAAAGTAAAGAAGTACTGGAAAATAGATTATGGTGAGTTAGAGAACACAGATGAAAACCTGAAAGAGCTCCAAAAAGCCAAAGCTGGAATAATTGGAGAATTAAATAGTTAATGAACTATGGGGCTGTAACCCATAGAATAAAATAAATATCTAAAAGTTAATATTTATATAAATAAATAATTGAATAAAAACTGGATAAAGGGCAGTGATTCAATAATACAAATAGAAAGAATGAGGAAAACTGACTGGGTGCAGTGGCTCATTCCTGTCATCCCAGCATTTTGGGAGCCTGAGGCAGGCAGATCGCTTGAGCTCAAGATTTTGAGACCAGCCTGGGCAACAAGATGAAACCCTGTCTGTAGCAAAAATACAAAATTAGCCAGGCTTGGTGTCACACATCTGTGGTCGCAGCTACTTGGGAGGCTGAGGTGGGAGGATCACTTTAGCCAGGGAGGTGGAGGTTGCAGTGAGCCAAGATCAGGCCACTGCACTCCAGCCTAGGTGGCACAGTGAGACCTTGTCTCAAAAAAAAAAAAAAAAAAAAAAAGGAAAATATAAATATTTTATTGGGCAAATAACACAGTTTATTGTTATAGTAGGCAACATTCATATTCACTAATAATTTTTAATGGATTAAAGTTTGAGGAGACACAAAATATTTACATAGTCTCTCAAAGTATTAGCTCACAATATTGATAAATTAGAAAAAAGGAAAATACAGTAATTTTACAATAGAGGAAACTGGCATACACCCACTTGAATGATGAAAATTAAGATTACCAGTAATAAGACATATCAATGCCATCTACCCCTTGATATCTGTGCTAAGAGGAGCACATAATTTCTACAATATTGTTACAAAAAAAATCATAAGCTTCATCTAACTATAAGAAAACATCAGGCAAGTACAAATTGAGGAGCATTTTCCAAAATAAATGACTTATTGAAACGTATCAAAGTCAAAAAATACAAAGAGGGAATAAGAAGCTGTTACAAACTGGAAGAAACTGTGGTGATATGATGACTCCCTACAAGTGGGATCTGAAATAAATCTTGGACGGAAAATCTGGAGTTTTATTGATGGTATTGTACCCATGATAATTTCCTGGTTTTGATAATAGCACAATGGTGATGTAAGAGGTGAACATTAGGGAAACTGGGTGAAGAACATAGAAAACTCTACTATTTTTGCAACTTTTCTGTAACTTTTAAATTATTTTAAAATAAAAAGTTAGAAGATAGCAATAGGTGACCTATAGATTAAAATAAGACTTAAATCACATATAACTAGTTCACAATTGTTGAATTCTCAAAGAAACATTAAAATATGAGTCAATTGGATATCTCTGAACAGATATTTGATGGTAGAGCACAGATTGGATATTTGATTATATTTAAAAATAATTTTTATTGCATAATGGATTTTTAAAGAAATAGTTCTTATAATTAGAGTTATATTCTAAGATCTTTGAATAAAATTATATCATGCCTGGGATTTGATTTATCTTGATAAACAAAGGGAGAACTAAGTAAAGTATGCAAGAAGCAAGATTAGCCATGATTTAATATTATTTGTTGAATAAGTTTGATAGACTCATGGCATTTTTAAGAATTATTGTTTTTTATTTTATTTGTTGAATTTTCTATCATAAAACATTAAATACACAAAAACATAATTATTTAAGAAGTAGATTGAGTATAGCATTAAATGGTTCCTTTCTCTGCTTGATTGTGCTACATGATGCTCCCCTACGATGGTAGCGTGGATGTCTCGCTGAGAACTGAGCTTCTTGGATGTATCCTGTGCAGTCATGTCAATAGCCATTAACTAGCCAAATCATTGAGACAGGTCAGATTTATTTCTAAATAAACCAACTAAAAAAACCAATTAATAATAAACATGTATGCATATAACTGGTGTGTGCAGTTATGTGTAGACACTAGTTTGTCTCTCTTTATTTTGATATTTTATATTAAAAGATTAATATAATTTGAAGAATGAAAGCTCTCCTGGTACTCAATTTACTTCTACATTGTACTCGTCCCATACCCATAAAGCTTCAAATGTTCTTGCTAAAAATTTGATAATAAAAACTTATGGGACAGAAATCATAGATAAGACTTAATATACCACTTACCAAATAACAAACAGTGGTATGAATATTTAATTTATGTAATTGCCTCCAAAATTCTGAAAGGTATTTATTATATGCCTATTTCATAGCCAAGGAAGCTGAGACAGAGTTTAAGTAACTTAGATTTAGATTCAATAAATGGCACAACAGGGATAAACTCAGACAGAATTTGTAGTGGTTGTGCTCTTATTCACTTCTGTATATTGGTTCTCAAATAGGATATAAATATCCTAAACTAATATAATATTAGAGTAAAACATCAAAACTTAGAATCAGAGTCCAAAGAGACTATATTAATAAGAAAAAATTAGATAGTGTAGCATACTTTAAAATGTCAATCATCTCGAAGCAAACAAGAACAATGCAAGAGTAGCAACAACAAAATATAATTTAAAACAAAAATGTATAATATAGCTTAAATATGACTATTTTACACTGATGAGAAAAGTGCAATTTATTAACATATAGCAGTCCTCTGCTTTTGTGTATGAAATGACATAGTAAACAAACAAACAAAAATGTTCACTACAAGTATAATTTGACAGAACTGTAGTCCAGTGGGAAATCCTCTTAGAATATGACAGATCAAATACAAAACTTCAGTAACACAATTATTTGACTTTGTGAAACATATATGAATTTGTGCCCTCCCCTCTCTCTCAACACCAACTGTTTAGGGTAGGTGACATTAACTCAATGGTCTTTTTCTTGAAGAGTATTTTTTCAGGGTTTTATTTGTGTTCAGATTTAAGAGGAGGTGTCAGACAGAGCGGAATGCCAGTTAAGGGGATATTTCTTGAATAAAAGAGCCAGGTGAGGAGTGAAAATGCAGGGGGATAGCTGGGCATGATGGTATGCGCCTGTAATCCCAGCAACTTGGAGGCTAAGGAGGGAGGATAGCTTGAGCTCAAGAGGTAGAGGTCAGTGAGTCAAGGTTGCACAACTGCACTCCAGCCTTGGTGACAGAGCCAGATCCTGTCTCAAAAAAAAAAAAAAAAAAAAAAAAAGGCAGAGGGAAAGGAAAGAAGAAACACTAAGGTGGTATGTGAATGGGGAATTTAATTTTTAAAAAGGTCAAATAGAAATATGAAGTTGTAAATTCTCTTACTTAGCAGCATGTTATACACATTCCTCCCTGTATTTCTCTACAAGATCTACAAAATCTTTGGTAAAGTCTCCATGTCTCATTAATGCTTTTTATGTGAGTAGCTTCAAATAAAGCACAAGAGACTTTGCCTAAGTATTCCATAGGAGAATACACAAGAGATAGTAGCTGACTTCTCTCAATTTCCCCTGGAAATTCTAGAAGTCTAGAGAAGAAACGGTGCTTCCTAAGCCCACAGAATTAAGATTTGGAGCAATCTAACTGGATCCTACAGGACAGAAAGATACCAGTTGGCCTCTTGTGTTCTCACATAGTTAAAAGATTACATATATGAATACACATTAACATTTACATATGTATATGATTGGTTTGTGTGTATTTATATGCATTAATAGAAATGAATATGTGGTTGTGTTATATGAACATTGAAATTGACAGAATTCTAAACTCTGACAAATATCCACGAAATTTGTGGCAATAAATGAAGACCACCCAAATGAAAACAAGCAAAGGCTATTTATTCAGAGCTTGCTTTTACAGCAAGGAAGTCAGCTACTATCTCTTGTGTATGGCAGAGACTCAAAAGCAAACAGAAGAGTGGGAAAGCTTTATAGCAGAAAAAAGAATACTTCAGTCAAATAGTTGTCTTGAATAGAGGTTGTTGGCATGGGGAAGCTGGAGTGGGCCAACTGGAAGTGGAACATTATTTGTGATAGAAAACAGAAGCATTTTTGGCTTTGCCTGATTGGTCCTAGTTGGAACTGGATATGGAGTGCAAAGATTGTGGAAATTCTCAGTTATTGATCAAGTCCTGCCTATTTGGGACAATTGCTACATAAATTGTGCTACAGACTTTCTGGTCTGGTTGCTACAAATGTTGTGTGTGAGAGTTCCATTTTTATATACAGTATGACCAGGTCTGTTTGTATATTCAGGCTCTCATATTGTTAAAAAATATTGACATGTACTAGGCACAATAAAACGGATGAAATGTAGATCTTACCTAATCTCTGGTCATGATGTATTAATACTAGAAATTATTCATGAATACAGATGCTCCTCAACTTATCCTAGATTTATGTTCTGATAAACCCATCCTAAAGTCAAAAAATTGTAAGTCAAACCATTTTAAGTTGAGGGCCATCTGTACAGCAAAACAAACAAAAGAAACTGCAACCTCAAAAATATTAAAAGGAGAATGAATATCTAGTTATTATTAGATTATAATGAATATTTAAAAATTCGTAAACAATTACAATGGTATGCCAAAAGAAATCCAAATGAAAATTACTTCTTAGGGGAAAATATAAATAATAGACTCAGTAGCAGAAATTATTTACTGATTAATAAACATGAGAAAGCAAAATATGGTGAAAATTTAAACTTTAAAAATGTCCTGGGCAAAATGGATTTATTGGTAAGATCTGTGAAGACTTCAGTGAATAGATAATTATTATATTATTCAGTATGTATTTTAAGATAGAAACATTTTTTAAAGATGGAGGCACACACATGTATACAAACACACAAGAGATTGATAGACAAGGATGATCAAATTGCAGCCTGCAAGTCCAGTCCAGCCTGTTGCTTGTTTTAGTAAATAAAGTTTTATTAAATAGTTGCTGCAGCAACTCATATGCTGTAACAGTTGAGTAGTTGCAACTGAGAAGTTATGACTTGCAAAGTCTAAAATATATAATGTTTGGGCCTTTATTGAAAAAATTTGCCTATTATTGGGTATTTGTAAGTATTCCAAGTGTAATATAGATATATTTCAAGTGGAATTGAATATTTACAAATATCAAATAATATATTAACACATCAAATTCTACATTGTATTTTTTAGAAAAAGACTTTGACAAAAATAGGATGTATAAATGCAAAAATGTTTAATCCTTTGGCTATTGATGAGAAATACCACAACTCTTTTCTTCATTCTTGCTATCAGAATATTAGCTTTAATATTGATGCTATGGATTAAAGCAAGTGATATGACCAAAATCAGAGTTAAATTATTCTCCCCAAACTGTAGAGCCCTTGCTTCTCACTTTCACAACCACTCTACCACCTTTACCCTGCTGGTCGGGAACAAGTTTGCCCAGAAAAACTTAACTCATGAAGACTCAGATAATGTACATACTTGTGAATTAACTTCCCCAGTACTTTCTTGCAATCTTAGACATTCTATAACTCACTATGTTTTTCAGTTGCATAGAATTAAAGAATTTGATGATGGGGAAGTTCCAACTTTACGCAATGAGACGAAATGACTGGGAATAAACGAGAATGTTTCTTCTTTAAAGAATAAGAAAGATACAATGTAATTATTGTTAGTAACTTAAAAAGTAATTCTGACTACCTCAGTCAATAATAAATTTTATAAAATTAAACACACATTTGGAATCATAAAACCGTCTGTAACTTAGAAATAGAAAAGAAAAAATATGATCTGCAAATAGTAGATTGAATGGTGAGAGTCTTGGGCAACATCTTCCACAGTATATTGCATGGACAAAATATTCCTGAAGACAAAACAAAATTAAGTGTATTTTGTTGTTGTTTAAATAAGTTTAAAACACTCAAAACAATATCCAATCTTTAAGATATTTTTAATATACTTCTATGTATTAAAGGTTATGATATCTAAATTATATACTTACTAAATATTTAACTATAATTTATTTAAAAATTCCCAAACATATTTTAACAAGAAAATTTTATATTCAATATTTATTATTCTATCATAAATATATTGAAGGAGAAAGTTTCCAATTTTGATCCATATAAAACACCTATGCATTGTAAATTTGTATATACAGAAAGTAACAAAGTCAAGTAACATATTAACACTTGAAATACTGTTAATTACAAATGTGAAGAATTCTTGAAAAAATATGTACTTTTCTACAGATGTACTCAAGAGGATACTTAGTATAAAAGCTACCACATTTCATTTTCATGGATAGTAATATTTATTCTAACTGTCAATATTCTCCAATCTAACTCATAAATTCACTTCATTCTTTTCAGAATGAAGTGGTAGAGAATTTACACTGGAGACATTATCAGATTGATTATAAGCTTCCTTGGAAAAATAACAAATGTGTGAGAACTGTCAAGATTTGTACCATAAAGAAGAGGAGCATGATAAGCATACTTTTTCCAAAAAGATTACCCACATATTCGAGAGCCCTGCAATCATCTGTTTCAGCTGCTTACAAGGCCTTAAAACACTTGGAATTCTCTGCACCAAAAAAAAAAAAAAAAAAACTCGTAACTATTTGTAGAAGCTAGTTTAAATTGCAGTTTTTTTAGCTACAACTAATAGAGTCTGCAGTAGTCATCTACTACAAATTACCCCAAAGCTAGCAGCTTTAAACAATAACCTTTATTATTTAAATTTCTGTGGGTCAGGAGTTCAGGCATGCTTAGCTGGGTGCACCTGACTCAGCGTGGCTCACAAAACTGCATCAAAGGTGTTGGTGTCAGCTAGGGATACAGTCATCTTAAGGCTGGGCTGTAGCTGTTGGAAGACAGACTTGGCATGATGTAAGTAACAATTAAGAAAATATTAAGGGATATTTCTGCTTCCTGGTAAAATTCACCACAATGTTTTAAAAGACCTTAGACCCTGTAGTGGCAATAAGAAACACTGAGTGTGATACTGTAAAATATATATTTAGTCTATGACCTATTTCCCGGCATATGACTTCTGAAATCTTTAGCATCTCCAAAATGATATCTTTTGTGTGTTAATGAGTTGACTGATGGCCAGCAGCCCCCACGTAGCTTCATGATGGGAGCTGGTCACCAGAAAGACCAAGGTATGATAAGCGGATTGAGACTTTCACCCTCACTCCCAACCTGCAGGTGAGGGAGAAGGCGGAAGGTTAAGTTAATCTCCAGCGACTAATGATTTAATCAATCGTGCTTGCATACTGAAGCCTCCAAAAAACCTGAAAAACAGAGTTCTTAGAGCTTACAGATAGCTGAACATGTGGAGGTTCCTGGAGGGTGGTGAGCCTAAAGAGGGCAGGAAAGCTCCGCTCTCCTTCCTCCACACCTTCCCGTATGCATCTCTTCATCTGTATGCTTTCTAATATCTTATAATAAACCAATAAACATGTTTCCTTGAGTTCTGTGAGCCACTCTAGCAAATTAAATGCAAGGAGGGAGTCGTGGAAACCCTGATTTATAGCTCGTTCGTCATAAGCACAGAAAAAACAACCCAGGGTTTGCTCTTGGCATCGTAAGTGGGGGTTGGTCTTGTAGGACTGAGCCCCCAACCTGTGAGATGTGACAGTATCTTCAGGTACATGGTACCAGAATTGAATTGGTGGACACCCAGCTGATTCTCGCTACAAAACTGGTTGCTTGCTGGTGGAGAGAAATCCCCCATATGTGGAGTCACAGAAGTCTTGTGTGTCTGTCGTTGAGTGAGAGAATAAACAATTTTTTTCTTAGTTTGGGTTTCCACTGACTCAGGCTGAGACCCAATAAAATTCATACTTTTAAAAATGAAACTAGCCTAAAGTACTGGGTGAAAGGAAGCCTTATGAACTAAATCCCACAGCAATTTTGCCCTGTATATTTGAGTAGATAGCCTTGACAACAGCTATCAGTAGGAACACGTTCCTCCTCTGGATACTGGAGTCCTGATACTAGGAGATTGCTTACAAAATAAGGGAAAACCACCCAAGTTTCTGATGAAAGTTGCTGCATGACAGTTTGCTGTGTGAAAAGGCCCTAAAACAAGAACAGATTTATCTCGAGTTTCCTACCTGCTTCAGATTTTTGTTAAAAAGCGAAGGGAGATCTGTTAGAGAATTCAAAAGTATCTGTAATTGTACCAAACACATTGCACTTACGGCTCAAATACTGACAGAGTCACTGAGGCATCAGCTAACTCGCTTGAGGGTTGGGTTAATCACAGGTGAGTTTAATCAAATAAAGTTGACCCAGCCTCAGGTTAATTTAATAATGTAATAAAGTGTAACCCAGCCTCAGGCTAACTTAATTCTAGAGGAATCTAAATGCACAACCCCTCACCATAACTACTAAGCACAAGAAAATGATGTCAATTAAACTAAGCGAAGCAAATGTTTTTATATTAGTCCTCAATGTTCTCTAATACTCTAAATAAGAAAAAATTACAAGACACAAAAAGAAGCAGGATATATCAGCAGAGAAATGTGAATCCTAAAAATAAAAATAACAGTAATTATTGGAAATTTCAGAAATTAAAAATAAAATTTCTAAAATTTAAAAGCAAGAATTGATTAGGCTTACTAGCAGATTGGACATTACAGAAAAGAATAAAACAATAAACTGGAAAATAGGTAAATAAAACTATCTAAATTAAATGTAAGAGAAATATTTTGAAGAAAAAGATCTCAAATCACTTGAGTAAATATCATATGTTCTAAAATATGTATTTCCATAGAAACAGATAGAAAAGAGAGTGAGAATGGGGAAATGACATGTAAGATTAACGGCCAAATGTGGTGAAACTCTTAACCTACAGAGTGAAGAATATTGGCAGTCCTCAAGCAGGAACAATAAAACTCAAAATTTTTTGAGTGAGAGAGCAAGAGAGAGAACTAGAAAGAGAACCCATGCTTAAGCACATCAAAATTTCTGGTAGCCAATAATCAAGAGAAGAAGGTGACTGGAGGAAAAATAAATAACATCTTGACATATTTCATACAGGGAAACAACAATATTAAATATAGCTGTGTTTGTACCTAAACAAATAGAATGCAGAAGACAATGAATGTACATCTATAAGATGCTGATAGAAAAAATTAATGTCAATTTAGAACCATCCTTTAAAAATGAAGGCAAGCAAAAGACTTTTTAGCAAAGTAAAAGATATGAGGTTCTGTTGATGATGAATATTTTCTCAGAGATTCTTGAAGGCATTCTATGTAGGTCAAAAGTAAATGATACTCCTTTAAAACTCAGATCTGCAAAGAAGAATACATGGTAGCTATGTGGGTAATTAGAAAAGATTTTTTTCCTCTTAATTTCTGTATGAGACAAATGACTGTCAGGGAATGATTTAAAGCAGCTGACCTGCCATCTATTTACTCACTTTAACTGGGGAATACACTCAGAGAGAAATAGACGTCAGGTGACTTACTAAAATCTACATGTCAATTGGCCCGCTGGGTAAAGAGACTAAGGATATTCTCTAATAACTCCTTACTTATTAGATCGCATTAGAAAGATGTCTTTAGCTAAGAATTTATTTTGTAAGAAATAAGAAGGAGAGAGGGAAAGAGAAAGAAAGGAAGGAGTTTGTTCTTGGAGAATGTTTCATAAGATATTCATGTCTCCTCATATCTTATCTGCCTCTGCCTGAAATCCCAGGACTCTGGGAGGCTGAGGTGGCTGGATCACTTGAGGCCAGGCGTTCGAGGCCAGCCTGGCCAACATGGTGAAACCCTGTCTCTACTAAAAATACAAACTATTAGCCGGGTGTGGTGGCATGTCCCTGTAATCCCAGCTACTCATGGGACTGAGTCAGGAGAATCACTTGAACCTGGGAGGCAGAGATTGCAGTGAGCCCAGATCATGCCACTGCAGACTGGGCGACAGGACAAGACCCTGTCTCAAAAATATATATATATATATATATATATATATATATATATATATATATATGTCCAATGTGTCCAATATGGGAATGAAAAGTGGGTAGGTTGTAGTGGGAGGTCACATGAAATGTCTTGGCAAAATTCTGCTTTGTCTGAATCAAGGATTGACTATACTTGAAATCATTAGAAAAGCTTGATACTGATACAGTTCTTTAATTAGATCCAGTGTGATCTGACAATCGAATTATTTGTTAGTGCAACTGCATAAAGCAAAAATAATCATGCTCGTAACATATAGAAGTGAAATATTTGTTGAAAATAGCACAAAGAAGAGAGTGGTAAATTGAATACACTGTTATGTTATTTTTAGTATATGTGAATTAATATTCAAGATACACTGTGATAAGTTACGAATGCTTAAATGCAACATGCAAAAGTAAACACAGAGGAATAGCCAGAAAAGAGAAAATGTAATACTTATAAACATTCATTTAATTTAAAGGGAAGCCGTAAAAGAAAAAGCTAAAAATAGATGAATCAAATAGAAGAAAATAATCAAACAGCACATTTAAACACTCATATAAGTTAAATAACAATTGAAAAGCACAGATTGTCAGATGGGATTAAAAGAAAGCAAAACTCAACCACGTGTCCTATACAAGATATACATTTTAAATATTAAGGTATGTATACTTTTATGAACTCATTATTTTTCTTTATTTTTAAAAATATTTTAATTAGCAAATTAAAATTGCATGAATTGTATATATTGTGCACAAAATGCTGTTTTGAAATATGTGTTTATTGTGGAATCATTAAATTGAACTAATTAACATTAGTTAATTAACACTCCTTCATATACTTATCACTGATTTGTGATAATACTTAAAATTGACTCTTTTACCAATTTTCAAGAATACAATACGTTGTTATTAACAAGAGTCACCATGTTGTACAATACATCTCTTGGTCTAATTTTTCCTAACTAAAATTTTGTATCCTTTGACCAACCTTCCCTATACCGGCATCAACCAGCCCCTAGTAAATACCATTCTACTCTCTATTTCTGTAACTTCAGATTATTTTTTGTATTTCATGTGTAAAGATCATATAATATTTGTCTTTCTATATTGGCTTATTTCACTTCATAATTTCCACCAGATTCATCCATGTTGTTTCAAATGACAGCATTTTCCTCTTTTTAAAGTTTTAATAGTATTCTATTTTGCATACATATCACTTTTTAAAAATTATTCCCATTATATTTTATGTTGAAAATCCAAAGAAAGTATAAAAGGGAAAAATAGAACTTTGTTAAGTAAATTCAAAAATTGACTGCAAGTTCAGTATAAAAATTTAAAATGTATTCTAGCAATGAACAACCAGAAATACTGCAATAGAAATATAACTTACATTAGGCTAAAAATTAGAAAGATACTTAATAAAAGATATGTAAGAAATCTACATTGAAAAGTGTGAAATATTGCTGAGAGAAATAAAACATAAGATAGGAAATTTTCATGAATTGAAATAATCAACATTGTTTGAAAAATCCATTATCCTCCAATTGATATATAGTTATCAAAATACTGAACGAATACCCTATGCATGTATGTGTGTGTATTAATGAACACCACACACACACATACCATCACAAACATACATAGATGTATATACACATACATGTGCTAGATTCTAAAGCATACATGGAAATACAAAGAATAGCCAAAATATTCTGAAAAAAAGGACAATGTCAAGGTTTTAAATGACCTAATTTTATGATTTACATTGATGCTAAATTAATCAAGATAATGTGTTCTTGATTGAGGTAGAAAAATAAATAAGTAGGACACAGTAGAGGGTCCATAAATAGAATGACACTTTATAAGTCAACTGACTTTTGAGGTAGATCCCAAAATAACTCAAAGTGCATATGAAGCTCTTTTACAAATAGTGCTGAATTAACTAGATAATTATATGGATACATCTAACCTCATACCATACACACAAAGTCTGATATATACCCAAATTTTCACTTTAAATTTGTGATTCAAGCTGAGAGGATACTCCTCTCTCCATCTCTTTTCTTCTCTTCCTTTTCTTTCTTCCTTTACTCTTTGCCACCTTTTTATTTGTTCCTCCTTCTCTTTATTTCTCTCTTTTCCTTCTGCTTTTCCATCCCATCCTTTCCCCTTTCTTTCTTTTGGCTTTTTTCAACTTTATTTATTCCTTTTTTTTCATTCTGCATTTTCTAGTATTTTTGGCCTTTTACAGTCACCATGAATTACTTAATATTACAAAAATAAATAACACAAATTTTATGTTTCGTTTCACATTAACCATTCTTCAAAATAATTATAGAACTTAAACACACAGAGGGATATGCCAGGGATAGTCTAATTGCTATCAAAACATTGTACTGTACTATCAATTTTTTCACCGTTTTCAACAACCTTGAAACATTGTTGAAACATTTAAAGATGGCAACATAAATTAGAGAGCATTTATCCAGTTGGATTTTCATTTCCTCAAAAGCAAATAGATTATATGATTGACAACAATTCCTTTACAAAGTCTAAAATACAGACTAGCACTAACATAATCATGCACAAATTTTAGGATCAGAACAATATTGTCATTTCAAATTCAGAGACATAATTAAAAACAAGATTTGTTTTACAGAAATGACATGAAATAATGAGTATTTTCTGGCATTGTTTTATTTTGTCTTTACCTATCCTTAAATTTGTCAACTGGCTAAATAAACCTTATTCATTGTTTCATATATTTTACACAGTTTTTCTTATTTTTATTTCAATCTTTATTTCAGATACAGGGGGGTACATGTGCAAATTTGTTACATGGGAATATTGCATGATGCTGAGGTTTGGAGTATAGATCCTGTCACTCTGGTAGTGAGTATAGTATCTGATACTCACTAACCTTCCTCCAACCTCCAGTAGCCTGAATCACACAGTGATTCAGTCCACAGTGTCTACTATTCCCATATCTACGTCCATATGTGTTCAATGCTTAGCTCCCACTTATAAGTGGTAGCATCAGGTATTTGGTTTTCTGTTCCTGCATTAATTTGTTTAGGATTATGGCATCTAGCTGCATCCATGTTGATGCAAAACATGATTTCATTCTCTCTTATGGTGGTATAGTATTCCATGGTTGTTATGTACCACATTTTCTTTATCCAATCAACTATTGATGGGCACCTGGATTGATTCCATGTCTTTGCTAGTATAAATAGTGCAGCACTGAACATATTTGTGCATATGTCTTTTTGGTAAAATAATTTATTTTCTCTCGAGTATATACCCAATATTGAGATTGCTGGGTCAAATATTAGTTCCGTTTTTAGTTCTTTTGGAAATTTCCAGATGGCTTTTCACGGTGACTGGACAAATTTAAATTCCCACGAAGGGTATATAAGCATTCCCTTATCTCTACAGCCTTGCCAACATCTGTTCTATGTTTACTTTTTTTACTAGCCATTCTGACTGGTGCTAGATGGTATCTTATGCATTTCTCTGATGATTAGTGGTACTAAATATTTTTTCATATGTTTGTTGGTCACTTGTATGTCTTCTTTTGAGAAGTGCCTGTTTATGTCCTTTGCTCATTTTTAATGTTTTTTTTTTGCTTGTTAAGTTCCTTTTAGATTCTCAATATTAGACCTTGTTGGATGCACAGTTTACACATATCTTCTCTCATTCTGTAGGCTGTCTGTTTACTCTATTGATAGTTCCTTTTGCTAAACAGAAACTCTATATTTTAATTATGTCCCACTTGTCAATTTTTGTCTTTGTTGCAATTGCTTTTGAGGACTTAGTCATAAGCTATTTCCCAAGGCTGATTCCAGAATGATATTTCCTAGGTATTCTTCTAGGATTCTTGTAGTTTGAGATCGTACATTTAAATATTCAATCTGTCTTGAGTTAACTTCTGTATATAGTGAAAAGTAAGGGTCCAGTTCCATTTCTCTGCACATGGTCAGCCAGCTATTCCAGCATAATTCATTGAATAGGGAGTCCTTTGTCAGATCCATAGTTTGTGAATATATTCTCCCATTCTGTAGTTTTTTCTTGCTCTGTTGATAGTTTATTTTGCAGTATAGAAGCTCTTTAGTTTAATTTGGTCCTATTTGTCTATTTTTATTTTTGCTGCAATTGCTTTTCGGGACTCAGCCAAAAATTCTTTGCCAAAATTATTGTCAAGAAGAGTATTTCCTAGGTTTTCTTCCAAGATTTTTATAGTTTGAGGTCTTACATGTAAATCTTTAATTCACTTTGCATTACTTTTTGTATGTGGTGCAAGTTAGGGTCCAGCTTCTATCATCTGCATATGGCTAGACAGTTATCCCAGTAACATTTATTGAATAGGGAGTCTTTTTCCGGTTGCTTGTTTTTGTTGGACTTGTTGAAGATCAGGTGGTTGTAGTTGTGCAGCTTTACTTCTGAGTTTTTCATTTATTTTCTTTCAAAAATAATTTATTCCATTGGTCTATGTGCCTGTTTTTGTAACAGTACCAAGCTGTTTTGGTTACTGTGGCTTTATGACATAGTTTGAAGTTAGGTAGTATGATGCCTCCAGCTCTGTGTGTGTGTGTGTGTGTGTGTGTGTGTGTGTGTGTGTGTAGAATTGCTTTGGCTATTCAGGCTCTTTTTTGTTCCATATGAATTTTAGAACAGTTTTTTTTCTAATTCTGTGAAGAATGACCTTGGTAATTTGATAGAAATCACATTTTTACAATATTTATTTTTCTAATTCATGAACATGGAATATTTTTCCATTTTTGTGTGTCATCTCTGATTTATTTCAGCAATTTTTTATAGTTCTTCTTATAGAGATCTCTCACTTCATTGGTTATTTGTATTTCTAAGTATTTCATTTTCTTTGAGGCTATTGTAAGTGGGATTGTGTTCTTGATTTCATTCTCAGCCTGGACATTGCAGGTGTATAAAAATATTACTGATTTTTTACCTTGATTTTGTATCCTGAAACTTTACTAAAGCTGTTTATCAATTCTAGGATCCTTTTGGCAGAGTAGTTAGGATTTTCTACGTATATAATCATATCATCAGCAAAGAGATAGTTTCACTTCTTTTCCTATTTGGATAGCTTTTATTTCTTTCTCTTGCCTGATTGCTCCAGTTAGAACTTGCAATACTATGCTGATGCAGACTGGTGAGTGTGGGCATCCTTGTTCCAGTTGTCAAGATAAATGACTTGAGCTTTATTTTATTCAGTATGATGTTGGCTGTGGGTTTGTTATAGATGGCTCTTATTATTTGGAGCTATGTTCCTTTGATTGCTAGTGTGTTGAAGGTTTTTATCATAAAGGAACATCGGATTTTATTTAAAAATTTTCTGAATATATTGAGATGTCATGTGGTTTTTCTTTTAAATGACACAGAATAGGAGTCTGAATAAAAAGCCAAGGCCCAATCATCTGTTGTTTCCAAGAGACCCATCTCACAAAAATGACATGCACAGTCTTAAAGCAAATGAGTGGAGTAAGATACCACATAAATGAAAAATAAAAAAGGAGAGGAGTCACTATTCTTATATCAGATAAAACAGGCTTTAAACCAATAAAAATTTAGAAGGGCAATGAAAGGAATTATGTAATGATAAGGAATAAAATTCCTCGAGAAGCCTTAACTATCCTAAATAAATACACAGTCAACTTTGGAGCACCCAGATTCATAAAACTTCTTGTTGGCCTACAAACACATGTAGAAAACCACACAATAATAGCAGTAGACTTAAACACTGCACTCACAACATTAGATTGTTGAGGCAAAAAGCTAACAAAAAAACTCTAACTTAAATTTGACACTTGATTAGTTGAACTTAATAGACGTCTACACAACACTTCACCCAGCAACCACAAAATATGTATTTTTCTCATCTGCACATGAAACATATTCTAAAATAACCACATGCTTAGTCATAAAGCAAGCCTCAATGAATTAAAAAAATTGAAATCATACTAGCAAATTCTTGGACCACAGTGCAATAAAAATAGAAACCAATACCAAGAAGATCTCTCAAAACTACAAAAGTACATGGAAATTCAACATCTTACTCCTGAATAACTCCTGGGTAAACATCAAAATTAAGACAGAAATAAAATAAATTCTTAGAAATTAATGAACATGTGGATACAACTTACCAAAATCGCTGAGATTCAGCCAAAGCAGTGTTGAGAGGAACATTTTTACCCCTAAATATCTTCATCAATAAGTTACAAAGGTCTCAAATTAACAATCTAACTTTGCACCTAACTGAACAACAACAACAAAACCCAAAAGCTAACAGAAAACAAGAAGTAACTGAAATTAGAGAACTTAATAAAATGGAGATGCAAAAAATCCATACAAATGGAAAATGAAAATGGGAGTTTGTTATTTGAAATAATAAATACAATTGATAAATCTCTAGTTAGATTAACAAAAAAAGAAGATCCAAATAAGTGCAATTAGAAAGGACAAAGGTGATATTACAACTGATCCCACAGGAACACAAGAGATCCTGAAATTACTGTGAACAGCTCCATGCACACAAATTTAAAAACTAAAGGAAATTGATAAATTCCTGGAAGCACACAATCTCTCAAGATTGAATCAGGAAAAGATTGAAACCCTCAACAGACCAATATTAACTTCAGAAATTGAATCAGTAATAAAAAAAAAAAACCTACCAACCAAAAGAAGCCCTGAACCAGATGCATTCCCAGTCAAATTCCACCAGATATACAAAGAAGAGCTGACATCAATCTTACTGAAACCCTTCAAAAAAAATTGAGGATGAGGTGCTTCACCCTAACATCAGCCTGATATCCAAAGCTGGCAGACACACCCACACACACACACACACACACACACACTGAGAGAGAGAGAGAGAGAGAGAGAGAGAGAGAGAGAGAGAGAGAGATGCAAAAATCCTCAATAAAATACTAGCAAATTGAATCCACCTGCACATAAAAAAAGTTAAAACACCATGATCGAATAGGCTTTATTTCTGGGATGCTAGGCTGGTTCAACATAGGCAAATCAATACATGTGATTGACCACATATTTTACACTTTTTGAACAAAGATTAAAATATTCAACTAAATGTGAAATATTCAAGAACACACTAATTTGCCCATTTCTTCTTTCCTTTCATACCTGAATACATCTTTGCAGTCTGAAAACAAATACATTTTGGTAATCGCCACAGTGTAAGTCTATGCTATGTTGGCTCTAGGGAAACATTCTTAGAATTTAAATATCACTTAAAAATATTGTAAATTTGCAGGAACATTATCAAGACAAAAAAATCATCTTATATTTTTCATGCTTCCTTCTTGATTCACATTTCTTCATTTTAAATGGTTTCCTTGTGCTTTTTCACCCTCTATGGTAAAAATTATAGTGTGATTCCCAAATGCATTTGATATGCTAACTGTGAGTACTTCAGGATTTTAAAACCAAATACCTCCTAAAGACCACTGCTCACAATATGTTGGCATTTGACATTTAGAGATTAGAAAGAGAAAAAGGATTTATTAGTTATTAAGGTGATCCGTGTCTGTTGCAAATGAAAAAATTACTTTTTTCAGCATGAAAATTGTATGTTTGTTTTGATACAGACAAGCATAATATTACACAGGCAAAAGAACAGAAATGTATTTTTATCTAAGTTCTGTAACTGTGTGGCCCTCAGTTATACTACAAAGCTAGAATTTTGTTTTATTAAAATAGGATTGCCATATTTTTAATGTATATGTATGTTTATTGTAAAAACCTCATAACTCTGTCAACCTGTCTACCGTATCCACTTGTGTTAATGTGTATCTTCCTAATAATCAGTCTCGGAATATTCAGACTGTCTGTCCTTAAGGCCTTATCTCACATGGAGCAAATACAGCTACCCCCACCTCCAGCTTTACAGCTCTAGGACCTGATCAATTATGACTTAGGTAGGGAGTGCCATACATATCAGTTTATGGGAAAAGTCACATTGTGTGCCCATGATCATGGTGCAGTTACTAATAACATCCCCTTTTATTCTTAAAGACCATAATATCAGTAGCAGAATCCAAACATTAAATCACGCTGGCTGCAAGTCTGAATTAGGCTCTGTTTTTTACTTATGAGCCTTATGCATTTCCCTAGAGATCTGAAATTATCTTTGAAGACTGGCTTAAGCAACTATATAACTACATATATTTATATAGTTATATATAATAAGTTTTATATATATATATATCTTATTCTCAGTACTAGGCCTTTTTCCTTTACATTGGACCAATATATTAGTTTCTATGAAGTTGAGGCTCTATTTTTTTATTAGCTATTCATTTTCAGCAAGTGTGTTCCTACCCCTGAAACACAATGCACTGATATACACAACATAGTGACAAGCTTACCTGATATACACTGTCTTAGCTGTTCTTACATTCCTTTCATGGCTCATTTTTGCATAAAGACAGGTGTGATACCACAGTTCATAACCTCCTGGATGCCTACTGCTTTCTTGGAACAGCAAAATTGTTTCAGTTTTTCAACTGATAAACTAGAATCTTTACAGAAAATTGCCATAGAATCTATACTCCTGGTACTTACCTTACTTTAATTTGTATCCTTTAAAGTCCTAGCACTTTTCAGTATCTTTTGTGTCCTAAGATATAAAAATGGGTGAATGAGAAAAAGTTGACTTTATCTGCAGTGTCTTTTATAAAAGAATAGAGAGTCACATAAATTGAATTTGTACTTCAACTTCTTCCCAGGAAAATAATTGCTCTTGGAGTATATATTATTTGCTATGACTATGTTAGGTCCTTTACCTACATTTTTGCTTTTCTTTTTTTATAACCCTGATGAATAGGTATATCACATTCAGTTTTTTAAATGGTGAAATTGAGTTGCAGAAAGATTGTCACTTACCTTATAAGTGGTAAAATCAGGAATGGAAAGCCAGTCATCTTTCTACTCTACAATGTTGCCTCTAAGCAGAGATAATAAAGGGTTTATCCTTTTCTCACTACCTCCTAGTAACTGCTTCTGACTTCTTCAACCTACCTGATCTTTTTTTTAATATATATATATTTTATTATACTTTAAGTTCTAGGGCACATGTGCACAATGTGCAGGTGGCACATATACACCATGGAATACTATACAGCCGTAAAAAATGATGAGTTCATGTCGTTTGTAGGGACATGGATGAAGTTGGAAACCATCATTCTCAGCAAACTATTGCAAGGACAAAAAATCAACCTACCTGATCTTACTTCTCCATCATGTTCCTATCAATCCTGCATGCTGTTATGATCAGATAGGATATTTAATCTGATATTGCCTTGGATTGATAACTGTTTCATATGTATATATATTTTCTCCACAATTATATTTTAAGCTCTGTGAGGGCAAAAGCACTTTCATTATTTTACGTGGCACCTGGAACAATGAAAATACATGCAGTAAGTTTGTGCAGAACTGAATTTAGAAGAATAAATGTATTCAGTTCTTTAGGGGAAAGTCTCTATGCAAATCAAAGCACCTTCATAAATATTTAGCATCTATTTTCAATGCGAATGTCAGGTACTTGTGATAATTGCAGTACGAAGGCAGACAACATGATTTTTTTTCTATTACTAGGCTTAAACATGAAATTCAATGTATGAAGAAGCCTTAATTTATATTCAAACTCTTATACTTAATTCTATTCATTCAAAATATGTAAGTAAAATATAGGAAACAACTGCTACAATCACAATAGCAACTAAATCAATAGTAAAACATGTTCAAGTTGAGTTCTTTTTTTTAATTGACAGATAAAATTGTATGTATTTATTGTATATAACACGATGTTTTGAAGAATATATTCATTGCAAAATGGTTAAATCAAGTGAATTAACAAATGCATTACCTCACATAGTTATCATTTTGTAGTTAAAATACTTAATGTCTACTCTCTTTGGATTTTTCAAGAATACAAAGATCATAATTAACTCTTGTCATTATGCTATACAATAGATCTCTTGAACTTATTCTTCCTGTCTAATTATAATTATGTACCCTTTGACTAACATCTCCCTGGCCCCTCCTCTCCACTAACCACCCAGCCTCTGGTAAACACTATTCTGCTCTCTACTTCTATGAGATCAACTTTATTAGATTTCACATATGTGTGAGATCATGCGATATTTATCTTTCTGTGCCTGGATTATTTCGCTTTACATAATGCCCTCCACAGTCATCCATGCAACATCCATAAATGACAGAAATTTTTAAAATAGCTGAATAGTATTCCATTGTGTATACAGTCATCCTTCCATATCCATGGGGAATTAGTTCCAGGACCCCTGTGTATATCAAAATGAGCCAATGCTCATGGAACTTTGATATACAAAGTCCCATGTATTAAGTAAAGTAGTATTTGTGTGTAATTTGTGCATATCCTCCTATGTATTTTAAGTCATCTCTAGATTATTTATGACATGTAATAAGATATAAATACTACATAAATGCTTGTTATAATGTTTTTTGGATTTTTTGTTTTATTATTTTTCTTCAACTATTTTCTATAGAATATTTTCACTTTTGGTTGAGTCCACAAATGCAGAATTTACAGATACAAAGGGTGTCTGTATATACCACATTTTCTGTATCCACTAATTTGCTGATGGACACTTAGGTTAATTCCATATCTTGGCTATTGTGAATAAAGCTACAATAAACATGGGAGTATAAATATCTCTTTGACATACTGATTTCATTCCTGTATGATACATACCAAGCAGTGGAATTGCTGTATCATATGGTGGTTCTATTCTTTAATTTTTTTAGGAACCTCCATAATGTTTCCCATAATGCCTGTACTAATTTATATTTTCACCAATAGTGTGTAAATGTGCCTTTTTCTCCACATCCTTGCCAACATTTTTTATCTTTTGTGTTTTTGATAATAGCCATTTCAACAAGAGTGAGGAGATATCTCAATGTGGTTTTGGTTTACATTTTCAAGATGACTAGTCATATTGAGGATTTTAAATAATATACCTGCCGGCCACTAGTATGTATTCTTTTAAGCAATGTCTATTCAGGTCTTGTGCCCATTTTTAAATTGAGTTATTTGTGTTCTTGCTATTGAGTTGTTTGTGTTGAATTGAGCTCTTAGATATTAACCACTTATCAGATGTATGATTTGCAAATACTTTCTTCCATTCTGTAGGTTGTCTCTTATTGATTATTTCCTTTGCTGTGCAGAAGCATTTCAGTTTCATTAATCCCATTTGTCTATTTTTTATTTTGTTGTCTATGCTTTTAAGATCATATCCAAAGAAACCATTGCCCAGCACCACGTCATAGAGCTTCTTCTCTGTTTTCCTGTAGTAGTTCTATAGTTTCATGTCTGAAATTTAAATGTTTAATCCATTTTGAGATAATATTTGATATGTTGAAAAATAAGGATCTAATTTCATTCTCCTGCATGTATCCAGTTTTGTTTTTTTTAGGTTTAACATGTTCATTTATTTCATAGAGATGAAATTTATATAATGCATCCAACTATATAACATGTTTATTATTTAAAAATTGAAATTCATGTAAACAGTTAAAATAAAAAGCATATTTTACTATATGATAATATAATATACCTTGTAACATTATTTTATTTTATTTTACTTTAAGTTCCAGAATACATGTGTAGAATATGTAGGTTCGTTACATAGGTATACATGTGCCATGGTGGTTTACTGCACCTATCAACCTGTCATCTAGGTTTTAAGCCCCACATGCATTAGTAATTTGTCCTAATGCTCTCCCTCCTCTTCCACCCCATCCACCAACAGGCCCCAGTGTGTGTTGTTCCCCTCCCTGTGTCTATGTGTTCTCATTGTCTAACTCCCACTTATGACTGAGAACATGCAGTGTTTGATTTTCTGTTCCTGCATTAGTTTGCTGAAGATGATGGCTTCCGGCTTCATCAATGTCCCTGCAAATGACATAATCTCATTCTTTGTTATTGCTGCATAGTATTCCATGGTATATATGTACCATATTTTCTTTATCCAGTCTATCATTGATGGGCATTTTGGTTGGTTCCATGTCTTTGCTATTGTGAATAGTGCTGCAGTAAACATATGTGTGCATGTGTCTTTATAGTAGAATGATTTATATTCCTTAGGGTATATACCCAGTAATAGGATTGCTGAGTCAAATGATATTTCTGGTTCTAGATCCTTGAGGAATCGCCACACTGTCTTCCACAATGGTTGAACTAATTTACATTCCCACCAACAGTGTAAAAGTGTTCCTATTTCTCCACAGCCTCGCCAGCATTTATTGTTTCTCAACTTTCTAATAATTGCCATTCTGAGTGGCGTGAGATGGTATCTCATTGCGGTTTTGATTTGCATTTCTCTAATGATTAGTGATGAGCTTTTTTTTGTATGTTTATTGGCCACAGAAATGCCTTCTCTTGATAACTGTTTATGTTCTTTGCCCACTGTTTGATAGGGTTGTTGGCTTTTTTTTTCTTGTAAATTTATTTAAGTGCCCTGTAGATTCTGGATATTAGACCTTCGTCAAATGGGTAGATTGCAAAAATTGTCTCCCATTCTGTAGGTCATCTGTTCATTCTGATGCTAGTTTCTTTTGCTGTGCAGAACTCTTTAGTTTAATTAGATCCATTTGTGATTCTAGCTTTTGTTGCAATTGCTTTTGGTGTTTTCATCATGAAGTCTTTGCCTATGACTATATACTGAATTATTATTGCCTAGGTTTTCCTCTAGAGTTTTTATGGTTTTGGGTTTTACATTTAAGTCTTTAATCTATCTTGAGTTAATTTTTGTATAAGGTGTAAGGAAGGGATCCAGTTTCAGTTTTCTGCATATGGCTAACCAGTTTTTGCAGCACCATTTATTAAATAGGGAATCGTTTCCCCATTTCTTTTTTGTCAGGTTTGTGGAAGATCAGATGGTTGTAGATGTGTGGTGTTATTTCTGAGGTCTCTGTTCTGTTCCATCAGTCTATATGTCTGTTTCGGTACCAGTACCATGATGTTTTGGTTACTGTAGCCTTGTAGTATAGTTTGAAGTCAGGTAGTGTGAGGCCTCCAGCTCTGTTCTCTTTGCTTAGGATTTTCTTGGCTATGAAGACTCTTTTTTTTGTTCCATATAAAATTTAAAGTAGTTTTTTTTCTAATTTTGTGAAGAATGTCAATGGTATTTTGAATTGAATAGCATTAAATTTATAAATTACTTTGGGCAGTATAGCCATTTTCATGATATTGATTATTCCTATCGATGAGGATGGAATCTTTTTCCATTTGTTTTTGTCCTCTCTTATTTCCTTGAGTGGTGGTGTCCAGTTTTCTAGACAACATTTATTGAAGGCAGTATCTTTTCCCCCCATATATGTTCTTGAAACCTTTGACAAAAATCAGTTGACTGTAAATGTGTGGATTTATTTCTGGGCTCCCTAGTGTATTCCACTGGACTATGAGTCTGTTTTTATACCAGTATCATGCTGTTTTGATTACTATAGCTTTGTGGTATACTTTGAAGCCAGATAATGACATGACCACAACTTTGTTCTTTTTAATCACCATTGTTTTGGCTATTCAGAGAAATTTGTGATTTCATATGAATTCTAGAATTTTTTCTATTTCTGTGAAAAATGCCTTTTTATATTCATAGCGAATACATTGAATCTGTAGATCATTTTGGGTAGTCTGAACATTTTAACAACTGTAATTCTTGTAATTTATGAGCAAGAGTTATCTTACCATTGATGTGTCTTCTTTAACATCTTTTATCAATGTTTTATAGTTTTCAGTGTAGACATCAATCACTTATTTGGTTAAATTTATTAAGTATTTTATTTTCTTATCCGTTTTGTAGCTATGATAAATGGGATTGTTTCTCAAGTTGTTTTTCAGATACTTTACTGTGAGTGTATAGAAACCCTGCTGATTTTTGTATGTTGATTTTGTATTTGATAACTGTTGAATTTTTTCATTGGTTCTAATCTTTTTTTTTTTTAATAGAGTCTTTATGGTCCTCTGTATATAACATTGTATCGTTTACAACAGGAGCAATTTAACTTCTTCCTTTCCTGTTTGGATGCCTTTTATTTTTTCTCTTGCAATATTGCTCTGTATAGAACATCTAATAATATGTTGAATAGAACTGGTAAACATGGACATCCTTATTTTTGTTCCTGATGTTCGAGGAAAAGCTTTCAACTTTTACTCACTCAGTATGACTTTATCTGTGGGTTTGCTGTGTATAGCATTTATTATGTTTACGTTCATATTTTCTATACCTAATGTTCAAAAGTTTTTATTATAAAGGGATGTTGAATTTTGTCAAATGCCTTTTCTGAATCTATTAAGATGATCATATGGTTTTTTTATTTGATCTCTTAATGTGATATATTATGTTTATCGGTTTGCATATTTTGAATCATCCCTGTATCTGTGGGATGACTCCCACTTGATCATGCTGTATATTTTGTAATGTGCTATCAAATTTGATTTGCTAATGCTTTGTCAAGGATTTTTACATTTTTGTTCATCAGGGATATTGGCCTGCAGTTTTCTTTTTCTGTTGTGACTTTAGTCTGGTTTTGGTATCAGGTAATGCTGGCCTCACAGAATGAGTTTGGAAATATCTTCTCCTACTCAATTTTCTGAAATAGTTTGAAAATAATTGGTGTTAGTGTTTTCTTTAAATGTTTGGGAGAATTCATCAGTGAAGCTATCACTTCATGAGCTATGTTTTGATGGGAGACTTTTTATTACTGATTTAGTCTCCTTTCTCATTATTGATCTGTTCAGATGTTTTATTTCTTGATAATTCAATTTTGGTAGGTTGTATGTGCTCAGGAAACTTTCCATTTCTTCTTGGTTACATGATTTGTTGGTATCTAATTGTTCTTAAAAGTATTTTATGTTTCTTTGTGGGTTTTTTTTGTTTTTGTTTTTTTTTGCTATCAGTTAAAATGATGCAGGATTTTTTTGGTGCTGCTTTGCCAGCCAGAGACCTCTGCAGCTGGTGACACCCCTGTCCAGGGCCTCACTTCACCCTGGGCTCACTGCATAAGGTACCCTGCAGACCAGTGGGGCTGCACTTGGCTTGCACTCTGGTCTGGATCCTGTCCTCACCATGGTAACAATGCTCAGCTTGTGGCTGGGCAAGTGTCTGGATGAGGGGAATGTGGTGGTGCCTGAAAAACTTGGAGACACCAGCGACCCCAAATCCTCAAAGGGGTGTTACAGCATGTCACAGCCCTGGCTTTGGGTGCCCCTAGGCCTGGGATCCCAGAAGGGCTGCGGCTCTTCTCTAGGCATTGTGGGAAGAGGGGTATGTTTCAGCCCATTTGTGTTACAACTCTTTCAGTCCCACCACCCCACTTCAGCCTGTGGTGCCTAGGCTGGCCTAGCCCCACCATTGCTTTCTGTTGCATGGGACAGCCACCTGGTGCTGGCAGAGAGCAGGGGGCAGCCACCTGGCACTGGCAGAGGGCAGGAGGCTATAGTGCTACAGCTCTGGATAGGGAAACCCAAAGTATGCTTCCTGCCAAGAAAGGTTGCCACTCTTCAATTTTGCATTCCAGGGGCATGTCACTGCCTTCAGTTTCCGAGGCTGGCCAGAAAGCATTACAGTTCATTTCATTCCTGCAGTTCAGCAGGTCCCTAGTTCTTGTCCTGCATCAGGAAGAATGAGGGTATGTGGACAACTGGAGGGCAAGCAAGATGGATGGGAGCTTTATCAAGTATCAGAACAGCTCTCAGGAGACCCAAAGTGGGTAGCTCCTTCCCGCAGGCAGGTTGTCCTGATTAGTGTGCCTCTCAGTGAAAAAGAGACCCAGAGTGGGCAGCTCCTATCCACAGGCAGATAGTCCCATCAAGTGTGGCTCTCAGTGGAGAGAAGACGTGGATTGGGTAGCTGCTATCTGCAGGCAGGTTATCCTGCTCAGTGTGTCTCTTAGCAGAGAGAAGACCCAGAGGGGGTAGCTCCTATTTACAGGCAGGTTGTCCTGTGGAGTGTGTGAGTCTGGAGTTTTTATGTGCTTAGAATGGAGGAAGTGTGTGCTGATTGGTCCCTGGGCAGCCACGGGCAGACCTGGAAAAAGCACCATCTGATTGGCCAAATGGTCATCAATGAAGTTCTCATTCCCGGCTTCACCTGTAAATGGCAGCCCAGCCCCCAGGCTTCAGGTTCTCTTTGGCTTGAAGTTTGGTTTCACTGAAGACTTGCCACTTCCTGCCTAGGAACCTGCCTGCATCCCTGTGCCATCAACCTGCCATCCATGGTGCCCAGGTTGTATGTGTTCAAGGGCACCAGCAGGCCCATGCCAAACCATGCTCAGTCCCTGAGCCCCCTCCCAGGCTTATCAGCACCCAACGTTTGTAGGGAGTGTAGGTGGCAGGGGACTGGCATGTCAGTGCTGCCCTGAGCATGTACACACCTGGCTAGGTTGCTACAGCACTCAGGCTCAGCCACAACTTTGCTCCACACCAGAGTGGGTGCTGACAGCAGGAAGAGGCCAGAAAGCAGGAACAGGCACTTTTGAGTCTGCAAGGGCAGGGTCTTCCTGGGCCCCTGACTGCACAGGGATGCTCAGGTATGAAGCTGCTGCTGGATGGCTGCAGCTGTGCCTGGAAGTGTGGGGCTCCTGCCCCATCAACTTGGTTGGGTGCATGGCTCCCACCTGCTCTTAGTCCCTGTGAATGGCTTTCACCTGCTCTTAGTCCCTGCCAGCTCCAGGGAGTGCACAGCCCCAGCTGCACCTCCCCTGCTGCAGCTGGTGTCCTTACAGTGGCTGCTTCAGATGGGTTGCTGCTGCCATCAGTAAGATTTCCTCTCTTCTCTTATTTTACTTATTTGGATCTTCTCTTTTTCTCTTAGTTACTCTAACTCAAGGTTTGCTGATTTTATCTTTTCAAAAAATGCACCGCACTGTTTATGCTGTCTATTTAATTTTTTCACTTTATTAGTTGCATTTTTCAGCTCCAGAATTTCTGTTCAATTTTTTAAAAAATATTTTAATATCTCTGTTAAGTTTCTTATTCTGGTAAGTTATTGCTTTCCTCATTTTACTATTTACCTGTGTATTCTTGAAGTTTTTTGAAGATCTTTAAAACAGCTATTTTGAATTCTTTTCCAGAAAGGTTATACCTCTCCATCTTCTTAGAGTCAGTCACTGGCACCTTTTTATTGTCCAATTTAAGGAATTATATTTCCCTGATTTTTCTTGGTTATTGTGGTTGTACATTGATGTTTGCACATTAAAGGAGTATGTACTGACTTCATTCTTTGCAGTCTGACTTATTTTGGGGCATGTCACTCAACAGTAAGGCTGCACAGAGATCCTTAGCCTGTTGTCTTGTGTGGTCCCTAAGCCAGTGACTGTTGCAGCTCTGGAAGTACTAGGAAGTACCCTTTACCCAAATGTCATGACTTTAGCAGCACTGAGTTCAAAAATCGTGGCCACCAAGGCTGATGCAGCATTAAAGCACACCGGAAGCTCACAAACCCTGAGGACTGCCTGTCACTGTAGGTTATTTGGAGCCCAGCATTGCTGTATTTGACTGGCTGTGATGCGGGCCAGAATTTGAATCTGACTTGAAAGAGCTACAGGTTCCCATGTGGTGCTAGGGCAGGTCCAGAAGCTCAGTTTGCAGGTACCGGCCCGGAGTCAGAGGCTACAGGATTTAGCCCAGTTTTGAGTTTTGCTATGGTAGGCCCCATATTGGGATTCAAATAAGAGTCTTAGGCTTACATCTCTCTATTTCCTCCAAGAAGGCAGTATGTTATTCTGCACTGTGCTGCCTAGGGTTGAGAGAGTGGTGATGTGGGTAATGTAAAACTTTTATTTCCACTCTCTCCAGTGCATCTTTTCTTATTGTTATGCTATAACCGGGTGCTGTGAGCTGTCATCTGGTTTCTTTAGAGCTTTAAAGGTATTTTTTGTGTGTGAGTAGTTGTTCAAGCTGATATTTCTGTGGGGGTATGATTGCTGGAGAGTCCTAGTCCATCATCTTTCTCTGCCTTGTCCTTCAATCCCATGTTGAGTATTTAATTGTAGATTGTTTCTACAATCAAAATGATATATCACACTTTGATTATAATCCATAGATTATAGAATGTATTCAGGAACATTCACCAATGGAAGTAAATATAATTCAAATTATTTGAAATTTCACAGGTAAATCTGTTCATGATAGTGACTTCAGTCTTCAAAAAAGAAGCCTCCAATTTAATTTTATTTCAAATTTTACTATTTCCATAATGATGGATAAATATGTCTTGTGATGAACTGAACTCAAAAGGCTGAGGTAAGATCACTTAAGCTCAGAAGTTAGAGACCAGCCATGGCAATATAGTGAGAAATTGCGCTATACATGTATATATATATATAACTTTATATTATGTATATATATTTATTGCTATGCACCTAATCACAATTTCAGTATTTAAAACCCACAAGAATCAGCTTATGTATTAGTTACAATGATAAAAAGCCCTAAATATTCACAAGAAGTTAAAACAAGTTTGCATAAACAATTATTTAATTAATAATTTAAAATACTTATTTAATTAATAAAAATAATTTTAAAAAATTGGTTAAACATCGTACTGGATCAAAGTGGCTTCTACTTACTCATGGTAATAGTATTAATACTCTTCAATGAATGAGCATAAATCAAGCTCCCAGTCATCTTTTAGAAAATCAGAGAAACCAATTTTCAAACCTCTGTAACTATCCATACTTTTGCATTTTACCTCATTGCCAGAGTGTTACAGGAGTTAATAGAAACTTAACACTCTTGATAACAGGAACTGTAAGTAATGGAAAAGCAAGACAACAAAATCCTTTGTCTAACTTATTAGCTAAATGTAATAAATTGGAAGGCATTCTTTAATCACCTAAGGGACGTTCCAGCTTTACTTGCTATCTTTTGGTTTTGACTTTGATTGTAATTAAAATTTAGATATGTTATCTTCAATTTAAATCACGAAAGGTAGGTGTTGTTTCAAGATTACCAGACTTTTGCCTCATCAGTCATTAGTAATTAGGCATATTTGGTTAATATCCTCTCTATATTCCCTTTGAATATATACTGATAGGTGCTATGCAGTGGATAAGCACATTTTGCTTGTTCTCAGGAATTTGTAAATCAACCAAATTAGAAAGCTTGTTAATGGATGAAATGACTTTGACAAATTTGATCCAAGGAAATGTAAAAAGTGCCATTTTCTTCACAGAATCAATATTAATTTTTATATACTTTTCTCCAGGGGTGGTGGTGGGGTGGGAGCACATAAGGATTCATGTTTGACTGAAAGCTCCAGAGTAAAAGATTCCAATGTCCATTTGGCATGAAAATTAGTCCAAGAGAAAAAAATAAGAACCAGAAAAATCTTTCCAAACCTCAATCATATCATATTTACTCCCTTGATTAAAATTTTCCTGAATTTCTATGACATTTAAACGCCACTTTTGTTTATTGATCTTATATCCTGCTACCCTTCATGACTTACCTTTTATTTCTGTGTTCTGTGAATTTTTTCATAGATTTCCTGTGAAGATGTTCAGGTTATCTGTGAATAGGGATATTTTTACTTCCCACTTGCAAATATAAATGACTTTTATTTCTTTTCTTGAGTTATTGCAGTGGTTAGAATTTCCAATACTATATTTAATAAAAATGGTGAATGTAGACATCCTGGCCTTATTCCTGATCTTAGGGGAAAAACATTCAATTTTTCATCATTAAGTATGATATTAGATGTTAGCTGAAGGCAGTTTTTTGTAATGTTTTTATCAAATTGAGGTAATTCCCACTATTCCTAAATTTCTTTCTGAGTGTTTTCATATGAATGGATTTTGGATTTTGTCAAATTATTTTACTATGTAAATCGATATAACCATATGATTTTTTCATCTTTAGCTTATTGATATCGAGGTTTACATTGATTGATTTTTGAATGGTGAACCAGCTTGGCATACCCGGAATAAATCTGATATTTGCATGTTACATAATCATTTTAATATAACATGGAATTAGATTTGCTAATCTTTTACTGAAGATTTTTGTGTCTAAGCTTATAGGAGATGTTGATGTGCTGTTTTCTTTTTCTTACTGTCCTTTTTGTTTTTTATAATGTTGGCATCATAAAATGAGTTGGAAAATATTTTCTCCTTTTCTATTTCCTGGAATTTATTATGTAAAATGAGTAATTATCTATTATGTGCTGGGAGTATTCTTCATTGAAATATTCTGGCTCTGGAGATTTCTATTAATGGGAGGTTTCCAATTATAGATATTATTTATTTCATAGATATATGTATATTATATTGTATATTTCATCTTTGCTGAGTTTTCATCATTTGTGATTTACAAGGAATTTTTGTATTTCTTCTAAATATTGAATTTGTGAGTATAAAGTTGTTATTGTACATTTTAATTTTTATTTTAATAACTGCACCATATGTATAGGCATGTGCTATCTCATTCCTGATTTATGTCTTTAAATTTTTATCAGTCATGATAGAGTTTTATCATTCCTATTAATTTTCAAAAAAACAATTTTGTTTCATTGATTTGTAGTATTGTTTTTATTTTCACTGATTGCTTCTCTGATCTTTATTATTTCATTTCTTCTGTTTGCTTTGAGTTTGTGATCTTCTCTTTCTAGTGATATGGTTTGGCTCTGTTTCCTCACCCAAATCTTATTTGAATTGAAATCCCCAATGTTGGGGGAGGGACCTAGTGGAAGGTGATTGGATCATGAGGGCAGATTTCTCCCTGGATGTTCTCATGATACTGACTGAATTATCACAAGATCTGGTTGTTTAAAAAGTGTGTAGCACTTCCTCCTTTGCTCTCTCTCTCTCTCCTGCCACCATGTGAAGACATGTTTGCTTCCCCTTTGCTCTTCTGCCATGATTGTAAGTTTCCTGAAGTCTCACAGCCATGCTTCCTGTACAGCCAGCAGAACTGTGACTCAATTAAACCTCTATTCTTCATAAATTACCCAGTCTCAGATAATTTTTTATAGCAGTGTGAGAATGGACTAATACAGAAAATTGGTACTGGGAGTGGGGCATTGCTATGAAGATACCTGAAAATGTCAAAGTGGCTTTGGAACTGGGTAGCAGACAGAGGTTGGAACAGTTTGGAGGGCTCAGAAGACAGGAAGATGAGGGAAGAAAGTTTGGCACTTTCTAGAGACTTGTTAAATTGTTGTAACCAAAATGCTGATAGTAATATGGATAATGAAGTCCAGGGTGAGGTTGTCTCAGATAGAGATGAGAAACTTATTGAAAACTGAAATAAAGGTCACTCTTGCTATGCTTTCACAAAGAGATTGGCAGCATTGTGCCCCTGCTCTAGAGATCCATGGAATTTTGGACTTGAGAGAGATGATTTAGGGTATCTGGTGGAAGAAATTTCCAAGCAGCAAAGCATTCAAAATGTGTCCTTGCTGTTTCTAAAAACCTATGCTCAATTGCATAAACAAAAAAATTATCTGAATCTAGAATTTACATTTAAAAGGGAAGCAGAGCATAAAATTTTGGAAAATTTGTAGTCCAACCATGTAGTAAGAAAGAAAAACCCATTTTCTGGAAAGGTATTCAAGGCTGAAGAAATTTGCCTAGGTAAAGAGGAGCCAAATGTTAAAAGCCAAGAAAAGAGAGAAAATGCCTCTAGGGCATTTCAGAGACCTTTATTGCAGCTCCTCTCAACCCATCACAGGCCTGTCTCTTTCTATTGTTTCTTCTTTCATCCCGATGCTCCAAGATAAATTTTTTTATTATCACCCTTGATGTTTGAATAAATTACTTTAGCTAATCTTTAAATGTAGATATATTTGTGACTTTTTTTTTTTTAGCTTTTCTTCATCTGAGAATGTCTTTGTTTTTCTTAAAATCCAGAAGAATAAGTCTGGCATTTATAGAATTTGTAGATAGTAGTTCTTTTTTAAGTACAAGAAAAGTGCTTCCTTTATGCTTTCATGGTTGCAGATGAGAAATCTACCATCATTCCTATTGGTATTTCCCTAAAGGTATTTTATCTTTTTACTCTGTTGACAGAATATTTTCCTTATCTTTAATTCTTAATAGTTTACCTATAATGTGTTTGGTTATAAATTTCTTTATATTTATCATATCTGAAATGTGTTCAGCTTCTTGACCTATAGTTTAATGTCTAGCAAAATTAAGAAGTTTTCAGCCATTATTTTTTAATACATTGTCTTTCCATTTTCTTTAGTCTCTTCCTTTCGGAAATACAATTATATGAATGTTAACTCTATTGTCTTATAGGTTCTTGAGGCAGTGTTCTTTTTTTTCAGCTTATTTTCTCTGTTCTTCAGATTGGGATAATTCTATACTTATGTCCTTAAAGTCACTGATTCTATCCTGTGTCGTGTCTAGTTTATCACTGAATTCAGTAATTTTTTCTGATCAGTAAAAATTTTCCTGATAATTTTTTAATTTTAATTTTTTTGTTGTGTTTTTCAGTTCTATAATATTCTTTTTAGAATCTTTTTTCATATTTTATTTGCTTTAACTAAATTTTTATTTGACTGTTAAATAATTTTTATGACAGCTTCCTTGAAATGATTTTCATGTAATTCTAATATCATGTTTACCTTTGTGTTTGTATCAGTTAATTGTCATTTCTCATTCAAGTTGTGATTCTTCTGGTTCCTGGTATGATGGGTGATAGATTGCATATGAGTTGGAAGAGGTTTCCCAAGGCCAGGTAACTCTTGGTGAATTTCCTGCTAAGAGTATAAGGGATTTACCAAGAGTTGCCCTCGATGTTCCAGTGTCTTTGAGTGTGGGATTCAACCAGTGGGAAAAATAGGCTTCCTAGACTGGGCCACTTAAGCTGGTTGTGTCATTTTGCATTTTACTTGACCTGCTTACTGTAATCAACTCCCTTTTTCTAGTTACCCCCTCCAGTTTTGTGTCTCTGAGGGGCAGAATCCTAGGCCCGTGGATAAGAAGAGATTTCCTGTACCAGGCCAAGTGGTATAGCTGGTTCTCTCTTGCTGGCTTTGCCTAGCCACCTCAACTCTCTTGGTAGAAAGAATAGTCTTATGCCCAGCAGAGAATAGGAGTGCCTCCTCTGTCTGCTTATTTTTGGAAAGCCTTCCAATGATCTCTCTTACATGTTGTAAGGCTTATCTGATATTGTCTAAGTACTTCCATTCAGGGCAAAAATAATCATATCTGGAGTTTCTTCTTTTGCTAGATTGGAGGTCAGTAGATGTTAGGCAAGAGAAGCCATCTTCTATTCATTGGGTGGGGGGCAGGTAATACATTTTGCTGCTATACTGTTCCTCCAGTGCTGAGGTCCCAAACTGGCTATCCTTCTTTTATCATGTTTCAAGATTCTTCTTTAGTTAATTCTTACACAATTTTCAAAGTTTATAGATGTGTATAACGGGTAAGAGCAGAGAAAATGGTTGTATGTCATCTTCTCTGGACCAGAAGCCCCTTGTGTATTTCTTCCTGAAAAGGTAAATGTGAAGGTTTGTAATCATTTTATTGAATTACAATCCTCAGGTAGAGCTTGAAAGTCTAAATACTTAGAAAAATCCTCTTGGTTATTCTGATTAGGAGATAAGCAAACAGTACACATAAACTGCAACTTTTAACACAGATAACTACTAAACATGGCATGTTTATTTAACCTAAATTATTTAACTATTATTTATATTTTAATAAATATTTGGCTTACATGTGCACTTTGCAGTGTGTGCCATAGCTTTGAAAGGAAAGAAATTTACCAACGGTAATTATGTTATTCTCAGGAATTTATTAAATCTTTAGAGTTAGCTATTTCTAAATGTATCCCTATAAATTTCAAAGCAGTTAAGGATTGGTGATAAGATGTTTCTCTGAGGTTAGTTTCACTAAATTATGGCTGAAAAAGAGAAGAGAATGATCAATGTTCAGGTTTAAATTATCAAATTAACAAGACAGACTTGATATTTAACTATGGTTTTTTGTATACTAACGTGAGGATGTTGTCTCTTGACTATAAATGGTAAATTAACCTGCATGTGGTAGAGATAATCAATACTGTGTAGTTTTTCTCCATAAGAAGTTTCTGTGGTCTAATCTGGTGAGTTTCAGCTAAGTTTAGGATGCTAAAACTAACATGGAAACATAGCTCAACATACTTTGTCCTTGATTAATAACAATTCTAGTTTTTATGATTACTCTGATAGAATTGAAGATTATACTTACTATAATGGTGCTTTTATTCTGCTTGCTTCTCCATTTCATTGTGAATAAAAGAAAAATCAGTTCCTTTTTTTCCCAACAAAAGAATCTTTTGTAAGAATTAGAAATGATTGCCCTCTTAAAAAATGAAAAGAAAAAAAGAAGGGTTTCAATTCAGAAAAAGAAATAACAACCTGCTTGTAACTTTTTATTCTCTTCCTCAGTGTGATTTTCTTAACTGGGGAGACATAGAATCACAGCATAGAAATTCAGAGGCTAGCACCCCATTTCTCATCTCTATCGATTTTCTGTTCTATTCAAAGTGACAACAGCTTGTAAATTTACATTAATAAAACCTACCTCTTATAAAATAATAGATCACTCTTCTCTACCCCCTACCCCCCAAAAAGTTTCAGTCAATGGATATTGTAGAGCAAAAAAAACAGAATGAAAGAAATATTAAATAAGCACATTCTTGGCAAGGTATTTATTTTTTTTAAAAAAGTGAAATCAAAAGAAAACAAACAAACAACTATGGTGTTTAATAAATTACTGGATCTATGTGTAGAAAACACTAAAACATTTATATTGAGCATATAAAAAGGATTGAAATAAATTTCAAACATCAAGCATGGCTTTATGAATAAAAAACTAAAACTAACTCTTTTCTAACTCAGGATATTGTGCAAATTGTTCACAAACATTAGCATACCCAAATAATATATACTTAGCCTCTCACATTCATATATACCTCACATAAATTTTACAGAATACAATCCCTCTCATGATCACTATCCTGTTGGAAATGGGCCCCCAAATCTGGCCATAAACAGGCTCCAAAACTGGCCATAAACAAAGCTCTGCAGCACTGTGACATGCTCATGATGGCTATGACACCCATGCTGAAGGTTGTTGGTTTACCAGAATGAGGGCAAGGATCACCTGGCCCACCCAAGGTGGAAAACCGCTTAAGGCGTTCCTGAACCACAAACAATAGCAAGAGCGATCTGTGCCTTAAGGACATGTTCCTGCTGCAGATAACTAGCCAGAGCCCATCCCTTTGTTTCCCATTTTAGTTAATCTATAATCTGTAGAAAAAATGCTTATCACTGTCTTGCTATCAATAAATATGTGGGTAAAACTCCGTTTGTAGCTCTCAGCTCTGAAGGCTGTCAGCCCCTTGATTCCCACTCCACACTCTATAATTCTGTGTGTGGGTCTTTAATTCCTCTAGCACCGCTGGGTTAGGGTCTCCACCACCAAGCTGGTCTCTGCAATCCTGTTTGACAGTTCTTAACTATGTTTTTTCAATGTTTTTTTTTCTTTCCAACACATCTGAAACTACATCACATACACTATTTCAATAATCTTTAGATGGGAATCAAAGACCAAGAACTGCATATTCTAAGAAAACCTTGCCATAACACTCATCCTCCTTCCCACTTACAGTTTCACACATATAATACAGATCCTTCTCACTCCAAATTGAAGATGACAGATATGAGCAAAGAGAAAAGAAGTCTCTATATTCTTTGAAAATACTAATCATTTTTAAAGGGTCTAGTTTTGACTTCATTCAAATAACTTTGTGTTTTTGTGTCTTAGAGGAAGCCAAATTCTTGCTAAGTTTCCATTTTCTTTAACATTACACACACAGACACACACACAATACTCTGTCTCTCTCACACTCATTCAGACTCATAAACACACCCTTTTAATAACTGCATGGTTGGATTTGGCTATTGGGATGTTAAGACTGGTTAAACATGGTTTAAAAATGGAAAGAAACAACTGCCTCACAGTAAATGTTTGTGGGGCTAAGTCAACTTCTACAGGGCTACTTCAAAACAACTGTGTCAAATATGAAACTTGGTCAATTCCTTTTCTTCATTCATTGTTTCAATACATATTAAGAGCTTTTTAGACACCAGACATTGTTCTCTGTGCTGGTGATAACATGGTGGCAACAATAAAAATAACTGAAGACATGAAAACCAAGCAAACCATAACCCTGTAGATCCTACCTTTATAAAATATTTAATTTAGTTGAGGATGGATACATTAAATATTAATGACCTAAATATTGAAAATTATCCTTGTCATAAGCGCTAAAGGTACATATAGTAATTTGAACAATCCTGGAAAGTCAGACAAATCTTCTGTGATAAAAGTGACACTTTATTTTAGATTTAATAAATAGTGTTAACTAATTTGGAAGTGTATAGAAAAAATTATTCTTATGTTTCTCAACATTTAGGTCTTGTGTATTAATTTTAATAAAATTACATTACTAGGATAAAACCAAGCATGAGAATGCAATTCACTATTAATTGGAAATTCACTACCAGAATATGGCAGTGTAAGGAGCTCCATAGAACTACTCCCCCAAAAAATAACTGGTGAAAATATTAAAATATATATGGTCAGGTGCCACATTATAATGTTTTTAGCCAATGATGAACTTCATGTATGAGCATAGTGCCATAAGATTATAATGGAGCTGAAAATTTCCTATTTCCTCGTGATTTCATAGCCCTTGCAATATTGTAGAACAATATATTACTCACAGGTTTGTGGTGATGCTGATATAAACAAGTCTGTGCTACCAGTCCTATGAAAATCGAGTACCTATAGTTATGCACAATATATAATACTTGATAATGATTATAAACTACTATGTTGCAGGTTTGGGTATTTACTATAATGAAAAAATATTTTAATTTTGGTTATTGATGCATAATAATTGTACAAATTTTTGGTGTACATGTGGTATTTTGTGCATGTGCATATAATGTGTAAGATCTAACCAGGGCAATTGAGCCATCCATTACCCCCAAACATTCATACCATTTTTATACTGAGAACATTCCATTTTCTCTCCTTCAGCAATTTTGAACTACACAGATTATTGGGAACTAGAGTTGCTCTAATGACTACCAAATATTAGCTCTTATTCCTATCTAACTGAATTTTTGTACCCATTAACTAAATTCTCACCCTCTCCCCTGTATCTTTCCCAGCCTCTGGTAACCATCAATTAACTTTCTACCTCCATAAGATCTAATTTTTCAGCATCCACATTTATATGGTTTGGCTGTGTCCCCACACAAATCTCATCTTGAATTGTAACTCCCACAATTCACATGTGTCATGGGAGGAACCCAGTGGGAGGTGATTGAATCATGGGGGCAGGTCTTTCCTGTGGTGTTCTCATGATAGTGAATAAACCTCAAGAAATCTGATGGTTTGAAAAATGGGAGTTTCCTTGCACAAGCTCTCTTTGCCTGCTGCCTTTCAACTTCCACCATGATTGTGAGGCCTCCCAAGCCACATGGAACTGTAAATCCATTCAACCATTTTTTTTTTTTTTTTTTTTTTGTAAATTGCCCAGTCTCAGTTATGTCTTTACCAGCAGCATGAAAATCAACTAATACAGTAAATCAGTACCAGTAGAGTGGGGCACTGCTGAAAAGATACAGAAAAGTGTGGAAGTGACTTTGGAACTGGGCAACACGCAGAGGTTGGAACAGTTTGGAGGGCTCAAAAGAAGATAGGAAAATGTGGGAAAGTTTGGAACTCCCTAGAGATTTGTTGAATGGCTTTGACCAAAATGCTGATAATGATATGGACAATGAAATCCATGCTGAGGTTGTCTCAGATGGAGATAAGGAACTTTTTGGGAACTGGATCAAAGGTGACTCATGTTATGTTTTAGCAAGGAGCCTGGAAGCATTTTGCCCCAGCCCTAGAGATTTGTGGAACTTTGAACTTGAACGAGATTTAGGACATCTGGTCAAAGAAATTTCTAAGCAGCAAAGTATTCAGGAGGTGACTTGGGTGCTTTTAAAGGCATTCAGTTTCAAAAGGGAAACAGAGCATAAAAGTTTGAAAAATTTGCAGCCTAACAAGGCAATAGAAAAGAAAATCCCATTTTCTGAGGAGAAATTCAAGCCAGCTGCAGAAATTTGCATAAATAATGTTGGGGAAACCAGCTCCACTCCACCCAGTGGGTACCCTGAGTCTGGCAGAGTCAAAGGAGTTAGAAAGAGACAGAATAAACATTTAAAAGGTGGATCCAGGGGACTGGAGCATTGAAGACTTGCTCACAGCCCAGAGCTCTTGGGCTCCACCCAATTTATTGGTTTGCAAAATCTTTGTTCTTTGGGCAGATGGGAGGGGGAGGAAGGGATGAGGAAAAGGATTAATCAGTGAAGGAGAACTCCTGAGTCATTTGATAAGATGTATAACAGTGGCGATTCCTGTGAATTTCCTTGAGCAAAAGTGTGAGTCTAAACTACTTAAGATCTTTAACTTATCAGGACTGAAACGGGTGGGAGCGGGTATCAGGAGGAGCCAAGATGTTTGATTATACTCCACTGCTTCAAGGGAGTGTTATCTCCCTGAGCAACCTGTGGAATGCTGTTGAGTGGTTATGCTCTCGGGACATAAAGACATGAAGGCAATCAGGAGACTTTTCAGAGGCTGCCCATGGCTTCCCATGGGTGTCTCACCCAGGGGAGACCAACTCAACTGGCACCCCAGAAATTATCTTTCCCACATGTCCCCCTTTTTATCTTTATTAATTTTTTTTTTATTATTATTAACTGCCATTGCTATCATGGCCCATTCACGGTGTCTGGCTTCTCTCCCAAGGTGCCATGCGCATCTGTAGACTAAAAACAAACAGCATAAACAGACACAAACCAAAATAAAATTTGCAATTGTTGATCCACCCATGGTTTTTATCCACTTTAAAGGATTGGTATTAGAAAGGCCATCAGTGGCTCCAGCAAGAATATCAGCTCCAGGCAGCAGGGTGAGATGAGCCTGAGATGCCTCAAAACCTCGTTTTTTCAGTTTAGCAATATCTACTGTTAAATTATCTTCTTTTCCTTGTAGGTGAAGTCTAATAATCTCCCAATGGTGTTCAGTGGCATTATAAGAGCTAGGAGTAATACAAAAATCAGAAGTATTCCAATCACATTGCATTTGAATTCTATGCTCCAAGTTCATAATTCGATCCCCCATCCAAATTACTGTTTGACAGAGATTATTAATTTGATTTGCCAATTTTTCATCTATTTGGCTTTTGGAATTCCAAAGGTTAGAAGAATTTTTCTGCCAACTATCTACAAAGCCTGCAGTTTGAATAGACGAGTGCAAAGCAACAACAGCAGCAGCAGCAGTAGCTATGACAGCTATAAGGCCCATGATCACAGCTATTAAAGTAAATATGAATCTCTTTGATCTATTAAGTATTCCTTTTAGTACTTCAGTGATAATATGTATAGAGGGAGAGGCCTCCCAACGCCTATTGAGGGAAACAGGTATCCAAACTCCTTCTTGGGCCCTAACCAGTAAAATGCTATTATTTTTATTAAAGGTAGAATTAATGTAGGTAAAAAGATGACAGTTGAGGCACGATATGGTTTGAGAGTCAGATAGGATACTAATTTTTCCCACTGCCAGCATAAAAGGAGGTTTAACACAACTCTGCAATGGGGCCATCCGATTAGAGGTTATGGCTACAACAAATCGAAGTTTTTTACTATGGGTCTCTGTTTTATATTCTCCTTTCCAAATCCAAATTGGGGTTTGAGCCATCATTAATTTTCACAATTCTGGATGTTCTGGACTTATAATTGGATCAATCATTTTTGGGCTTGGAGGAGCCATATTGTTCTCCTCCCACTTAACAGGATAATTTGTTTCAATTCTTCTATATAATTTTGGTGCATTATCTGGGTAATCATTTGCAATAGGAGTCTCTCTACAATCTTTGTGCTGTCCACTACAATTTACTGCAAAGCGTCCCCTAGGGGCCCAATGAATGATGATTCCATAGGATTTATTTTGCAGTACAGCAGCGCTGTTTGCAATACAATCTTCCCAGGTTAGCACCTCTAGCTTTCCAGATCATTTAATGGCCTGCCTAGGGCAGGGCTTCTTATTAGGTTTAAATTTATTAATCTGGCGATGTGTCATAACATAGCTGTGCTCACGGTATTTAATAGTGTCCAAAGATTGAAATGTTCTTCCACTGACTGCATGAATAGAGGCTTTTGATCCATTATGTGTAGGGACATAAACCATCCAACTTTGTTTATCACAATTTAAACATCCTGCATCTGGCCCTAGGCAGATGGGAGGAAAGCGATAACCAATGGAAACATTCGTTAACATTCCTTCCTCCTCTGGATGAGTAGGACCTCAGTTATCTCTTGGTCCAGGCATCCAGACACTATCATTAACATAAACCTCCACCAGGGGGTCTAACCATGTAACAGGCCTCATCAGTGGTGGGAATGGAGTGTAGGCCCAATAAGGGTAATTTTGATCTGCCTCAGCTATCGGGAGACTCACCGCCAGGGAGGTTACTGCCATCATAGCTACCATTAGATTACTGGTGGTCAGCAGCTTGTTCTGAGACCTCAGGTTGTCTTTTGCAATGTGAGCTAGTCTCTTCATTTGCCCCCAGGTCAGTGGAGTTCCATGGGGAGTTTTACCGTTTCCATCTGCTCGACAGAGATGTTCATCTGAGCCATCTGACAAACTGGGGGTGCAGGGACGTTCTGAGGTTTTTACCTCTTCCTTGGATTCTGGCTCATGGCACAGCTTAAGATGTCTTGTGGGTACCCAGACGGGAAGCTGATTACCTTCTGGTGAGATACAAGCAAACCCTTGATCCCATGTAATGATTTTGCCTTTTCCCAGGTTTTGGTTCTGACGTCCTTCCACCACACATGTTTTCCTTCATGAGGATTTATTCTTTGCCCTGTCAAATGCTGCTCTGCTTCCGTTGTAACCTGATCTCTAGACAAATTCAAAAAATTTAAAGTTATGTGAGCCAATTGTAGCTGCATATGGGGAGTAGAGTATTCTGTTTCCCCACTCTGTGTTTTGTTTTTGTCATTGAGAATTTAAGGTTTGATTAGCCTGTTCAACAATGGCTTGGCCTTGAGAATTATAGGGTATTCCAGTACTGTGCTCAATGTGCCATTGTTGAAGGAATGCTTGTAAAGATTTACTACAGTAGCCTGGGCCATTGTGTGTTTTAATCTTTTGTAGGATGCCCATGGCAGCGAAACAGGAAAGTAAATGTCTTTTAATATGAGCAGCTGCCTCTCCTGTTTGGCAAGTTGCCAATACAAGATGAGAAAAGGTATCTATAGTAACATGGATGTATGAAAGTTCCCCAAATGAAGGTACATGGGTTACATCCATTTTCCACAGCATATTCGGGGTTAATCCCCATGGGTTAACACCAGCCCCTTCATGTGGCAGTTGTAGTACCTGGCACTGAGGGCAATGTTGCACAATGTCTTTGCCTGTCTCCAAGTAATCTAATATTTTTGTTAAGTCCTGCTGCATTAACATGTGTTAGGGAGTGAAAATCTTGGGCATTAGTAAGCACAGTGGAAACTAGTAAATCAGCTTGATCGTTAGCCCTTACAAGGGGCCCAGGAATATTAGTACGTGCTCAAATGTGCGTAATATAGAAAGGAAAACAGTGATCACACACTGCCTTTTGTAAAGAAGAAAACAGCTGATAGAGTTGTTCATCCACAAGATATTTAATGAGTACAGTTTCTGTGTATTGAGTGGCTTGAACAACATAAGCTGAATCAGGGACAATATTTACAGGTTGCTTAAAGTCTTCTAACACAGCTATAACTGCCTGTAATTCAGCCCTCTGTGCCGATCGAAAGTCAGTTTGAATAATTCTGTTTTTAGGTCCTACATAAGCTGCTTTTCTATTGCTAGAGACATCTGTAAACACAGTCACTGCTTCTTCCAATGGAGCACTACGGGTAATTTTTGGAAGAACCCATGTAGTTAGCTTTAAAAACTGAAAAATTTTGTTTTTTGGATAATGATTGTCAAAAACTCCAGTGAAGACAACTAAATTTATTTGCCAATTGACTGAACTAACAAAGGCTTGCCGAATCTGATTTTTATTCATTAGTATAATCTTACCTGGATCTGAGCCACAAAGTTTAACAACTCTAAGGTGAGCTTGCCCAATCAAGATTGCCATCTGATCCAAGTATACTGTGAGTGTTCTAATAGTATTGTGAGGCAGAAAAGACCATTCAACTAAGTCCTCATGCTGAACTATAACCCCTGTAGGAGAATGGAGAGTAGGGAACACAATGAACTGTAATGGTAAACTGGAGTCTATTCTATTAACCTTTGCCTGTTATGTTTTTGCTTCAATCATTTGTAATTCTTTGGCAGCCTCAGGAGTCAGTTCTTGTTTACTATTGAGAGCAGGGTCTCCTCTTAAAATAGAGAACAGATTTGACATAGCATAGGTAGGGATTCCCAAAGTAGGTCGAATCCAATTTATATCCCCTAATAATTTTTGAAAATAATTTAAAGTTTTCAGAGAGTCTTTTTGAATTTGAACCTTTTGGGGTTTAATTGCCCTTTCCTGAACCTGCATTTCCAAATATTGGAAAGGAGTGGCTGTTTGAATTTTATCTGGTGCTATGAGCAATCCAGCATTGGCTACCACCTCCTGTAAATATGAATAACACTGGCTAAGTCGGTCTCGATTTTTGGCTGCACACAATATGTCATCCATATAATGGATGATATACGAATCGGGAAACTGATCTCTCTCAGGTTGAATAGTCTTCCCCACAAAAGTTTGACAAATTGTAGAAATACTCAACATACCCTGAGGCAGGACTTTCCAATGATATCTGACTGCTGGTTCCTTGTTGTTCATAGCAAGAATAGTAAAAGCAAATTTCTCAAAATCAGACTCTGCTAGAGGAATATTAAAAAAGGAATCCTTCAAATCTATAATTATTTATGGCCAGTCTCTAGGAATCGTGGGGGATGGAAGCTGGGGCTTCAGGACCCCCATTGGTTGGATGACTGCATTCACCGCTCGTAAGTCGGTTAGCATGCGCTATCTGCCTGATTTTTTATTTATTACAAATACTGGCAAATTCCATGGAGAAAATGTGGGCTCACTGTTTCCTTTGTTTAATTGCTCTTTGACTAATTCCTGTAAGGCCCCCAGTTTTTCCTGAGAAAGTGGCCACTGATTGACCCAAACAGAATTTTGGGTCTTCCATTTTAAGGGAATAGGACTTGGAGGCTCAACAGTAACCACCCGTAAATATGATAACCTAATCCTTTTCAGTCATTTTTTTTACAGTAACCTGTATAGGTTCAATGATGCCCATCTCCTGTTTTCCTAGGCCTTTTCTGGGAACATAGCCCATGTTTGACATTATTTTTTGACTAGCTTGACCATACTGGGGAGAAGGGATTGAAATTTCTGTGCTCCATTGCAGAAGCAGATCTCTCCCCTATAAGCTGACGGAAATGGGCATAATTAGAAGTTGTATTGTGACTTCCTGTTCTTCTGGACCAAGACATGCTAAGATAAAAGTATTTTGGAAAACTTCTGCAGCAGTTCTGACCCCAGCAAGACCCATGGGGCCTTTTGTTTGGGCCAGTTTTTTAGCCATTGATAAAGAGCTATGATCAACATCTCTGCTCCTGTGTTGACCAGACCCTCAAATTGTTTTCCTTGAAAAGTGACCATACGAATAGGTCTATTGTCAGAGACTTGATTTACCCAATAGGCAACCTTGCCTGCTGAATTTGTGCTTCCAAATCCTCCTGTTCTTTTTTCTGAGCTTTCTCCTAACTTAACATATAGTAAAAGCAACAGTTAAGCTATTCTGTCACCTGGATTAGCACTCCAGGGAAGAGTGGAGGAGATAACAATTTGAATTTCTCCCTGGCAATCAGAGTCCACTACTCCAATATGTACTTGAATTCCCTTTAAGTTTAAGCTGGCCCTTCCCAGTATAAGTCCCACCATGCCATTTGGCAATGGGCCGTAAACTCCCACTGGGACCTTCCTAGGAGGCTCCCCAGGAAGGAGGAATAAGGCTTCTGTACAGCATAAGACTACTGCCACCCTTTTAGCTATGGAGGGGGACAACTGCTGTACATTTGTACAGGGATACTCTGGGCTGGGAACACTCCGTTTGGAGTTGGGGACATCCCGTCCTGAATTAGGAATGCCCAGTATTGAATCAGGGCCCAGGGCTGGCCCCTCTCTCTGTTTCCCAGCAAGGGCCGTCCATGGTTATCAAACTTTGAATGACATTGATTAGCCCAGTGTTTTCCTTTTTTACATCTAGGACAGGTACCTGGTTCCCTGCTTTTTCCTCCTGAGTTTTGCCTTTTTTGGCTCTCTGTACACTCTCTTTTTGTATGTCCTATCTGTCCACAATTATAGCAAGATCCAGGGAACACTCCTGTGTTTTTTTTTTTTTTACGCTTAGTCCTGCCATTGCCTGAGCAAGGAGGCTGGCCTTATATAAGTGTCCCACAATGCCATCACAGGCTTTAATGTATTCACTTAAAGTTTTTTCCTCATTTAGATCTGCCTTTCCCTTAATAGGTGTAATTACTGCCTGACATTCTGTATTAGCATTTTCATAAACAAGCAGCTAAACAATCACTTTCCTGGCATGAGAATCCGAAATAGCCTTTTGAGCTGCATCTTGCAAATGGGTGATAAAATCTGGATAAGGCTCCCTTGGACCCTGACGAACTGAGTTAAAAGAAGGTTAAGTAGTATCAGGGTCATGATTTTTTTCCCAGGCTCTTAGGCATATAGTTCTGAGCTGATCAACAACCTCATCACCCATTACCATCTGTTGATTTAGAGTACCCCATGTCTGTCCGATTCCAAGCAATTGATCAGTTGTGATATTAATGAGAGGTTGGGCTTGAGCATTTCTGCATGCCTGATTTGTTGCTTCATCTGTCCACCAGGTTTTAAATTGGAGAAATTGAGAGGGGGACAGGATGGATCAGGCTAATGACTCTCAATCCATAGGTATTAAACGCTGGTTATAAGCCACAGATTGTAACAAGGAATGAACATAAGGAGAATTTGGCCCATATTGTCCAATTTCTTGCTTCAAGTCTTTTAATATTTTAAAAGGAAATGTCTCCCAGCATGCTTGAGCATGTCCTCTGGGCTCCTCAGCTGGTGAAATAATTACCAGAAACTGCCAAGCATCCAAATCCCCCATTTCTTGTGCCTGGCAAATGGATGCCTGGATTGTATTTGCCTGCACCATAATTTGTATTTGGGCTGGCTCACAGCATTCCTCTACCATAATTAACAGGTGGACAAGCCTGGATCATTCTCTCACCGTAATTGGCTGTTGGGCAAGCCTGAAGGTTTGCTTTGCCATAGTTAATGGCATGACATGCAACAATGGGAGAGCAAGCCGTGTCTCAGGCTCCCATTCCAAAAATTCATAACGCTGAAGTTGGGGTGGCCGCTACGGACCTTCCCCTAAAGGCGCAGTAGGTGGCACTGTTTCTGCAGTAGGTGGAACTGTTTCTTTCATAAGTTTTTGGAGGTCAGCATATATAGTTTCCTGTTTCTCTCCCTTTTTTAAATTAGACTGTGATGGTTCACTTTGCTGATTATCAGACTCTTGGTTATTAAACTTTCTATATCATCCTGAAACTCCTCCTCCTCCTCCTCAGTGTGGAAGGGCTCCAGTGCTGTTTTAACTGCCGACCACACAGACCAAGCAGAAAAGGGAATATTGTGGCCCTCTTGTTGTGCTCGTTTTAAGTCTGATCCGACCTTGTCCCAATCTTTTACATTCATGGTTCCATATTCTGGGAACCAAGAATACTTTTCTACAAGACAGAACAAAGATGTGAGATTTTGGGTACTCACAATTACACCCCGCCCCCCGCGGCACAAGAACTGCCATGCCAGGCTTAAGTAATTAGCAAACTTACTTTCAGCCTGACCCATATTTTCCACGAGGTTACCCTGGAATTCTCCAAGTGCCCTACTTACCTGTGGAGCCTGAAGTAAAAACGTACTCGGGCGTCCTTCGTCAGTCGTCCTGCACTGTCCATGCTCTGGTGTTTCTTCACTGGTGTAATCTTCTGGTGTAATCTTCACTTTGTAGAGATTATGGGGGGCCCCACATTGGGCACCAGGTGTTGGGCAAAACAGCCCCACACCACCCAGTGGGTACCCTGAGTCTGGCGGAGACAAAGGAGTTAGACAGAATAAGCGTTTAAAAGGCGGGTCCAGGGGACCGGAGCATCGGAGGCTTGCTCACAGCCCAGAGCTCTCGGGCTCCACCCAATTTATTGGTTTACAAGATCTTTGTTCTTAGGGCTGATGGGACGGGGAGGAAGGGATGAGGAAAAGGATTAATCAGTGAAGGAGAACTTGTGAGTCATTCGATAAGATGTATATAACAGTGGCGATTTCTGTGAATTTCCTTGAGCAAAGGTGTGTGTCTAAACTACTTAAGATCTTTAACTTATCAGGACTAAAACGGGTGGGAGCGGGTATCAGGAGGAGCCAAGATGTTTGGTTATACTCCACTGCTTCAAGGGAGTGTTATCTCCCTGAGCAACCTGTGGAATGCCACTGAGCGGTTATGCTCTTGGGGCATAAAGACATGAAGGCAATCAGGAGACTTTTCTCCTCAGAGGCTGCCCATGGCTTCCCATGGGTGTCTCACACAGGGGAGACCAACTCAACTGGCACCCCAGAAACCCTCTTTCCCACAGCAATGTGGAGCTGAATGCTGATCACCAAGACAAGGAGGAAAGTGTCTGCAGGAAATGTCAGAGGTCTTCACAGCAGGCCTAGGAAAAAAAAAATTGTTTTGTGAGCTGGGCCCAGGGTCCCCATGTTGTATGCAGCCTAGGAACTTGGTGCCCTGTGTCCCACCCGCTCCAGCCATGGCTGAAAGGGGCCAACACAGGGCTTGGGCCATGGCTTTAAAGGGTGCAAGCCTCGAGTCTTGGCAGCTTCCATGTGGTGTTGAGCCTGCGAGTGCACAGAAGTCAAGAACTGAGGTTTGGGAACCTCCTCCTAGATTTCAGAAGATGTATGGAAAGGCCTGGATACCCAGGCAGAAATTTGCTATAGGTGCAGGGTCCTCATGGAGAACCTCTGCTAGGGCAGTACAGAAGGGAAATGTGGGGTGGGAGCCCCCAAACAGAGACCACCACCTAGTGAAGCTGTGAGAAGAGAGCCACTCTTCTTCAGACGCCAGAATGATGGATCCACTGACAGCTTGCACTGCATGCCTGGAAAAGCCACAGACAATACCAGTCCATGGAAGCAGCCGGGAGGGAGGCTGTCCCTTGCAAAGTCACATGGACAGTGCTGCCCAAGACTATGGGAACCTACCTCTTGCATCAGCGTGACCTAGATGTGAGACATGGAATCAAAGGAGATCATTTTGGAGCTTTAATATTTGACTGCCCCACTGGCTTTCAGACTGTCATGAGGCTTGTAGCCCTTTTGTTTTGGCCAATCTCTCCCATTTGTGATAGCTATATTTACAAAATACCTGTACCCTCATTTTATCTAGGAAATAACTAACTTGCTTTTGAATTTACAGGCTCATAGACAGAAGGGACATGCTTTGTCTCAGACAAGACTTTGGACTGTGGACTTCTGAGTTAATGCTGAAATGAGTTAAGACTTTGGGGGATTCTTGGGAAGGCATGATTGGTTTTGAAATGTGAAGACATGAAATTTAGGAAGGGACAAAGGTAGAATAATATGGTTTGGCTGTGTCCCCACCCAAATCTCATCTTGAATTGTAACTCCCACATTCCCATGTGTCATAGGAGGAACCTGTTTTGAGGTGATTGAATCATGGGGGTTGGTCTTTCCTTTGGTGTTCTTGTGATAGTGAATAAATCTCATGAGATCTGATGATTTTAAAAATGGAAATTTCCTTGCACAAGCTCTCTCTTTTTCTGCTGCTGTCTATGCATGACGTGACTTGCCTTTCACCTTCCACCATGATTATGAGGCCTCCCCAACCACATGGAACTGTAAGTCTATTAAACATTTTTTTTTTTTTTGTAAATTGCCCAGTCTTGTGTATGTCTATCAGCAATATGAATGAAACTAATACATATATAAGTGAGTATGTGCAATACTTGTCTTTCTCTGCATGGCTTATTAACTTAAGCCATTAACATAATGACCTCCAGTTTCATCCATGTTTCTGGAAATGACAGGATTTCCTTGTTTTTATGGATGAAAAATATTCCATAGTGTATATGTAACACATTTTTGTTATCCTTTCATCCATTGAACATATAGTTTGACTCTGTATATTTGCTATTGTGAATAGTGCTGCAATAAACATGAGAGTACAGATATCTATTTCACACGATGATTTTATTTTCTTTGGCTATATAGCCAGTAGTAGGATTACTAGATCAAACGGTAGTTCTATTTTTAATTTTTTCAGGAATCTTGCTTATTGTTTTTCTTATTGTCTATACTAATTTGCATTCCCATCAACAGTGTATGAGAATTCTCCTTTTGCTACATCCTCACTAGCATATGTTATTTTTTCTCTTTAATAAAAGTAATTTTGACAGGGATGGGATCATATCTTAGTGTGGTTTTGATTTGCATTTTCCTGATGATTAGTGATTTTGAACTTTTTAAAATGTACTTCTTGGCCATTTGTATGTCTTCTTTGAGAAATGTCTATTGAGATATTTTATCCTTTAACAGTTCAGATTATTTGTTTTGTTTTTTGCTATTGAGTTTTTTGAGATCCTCCTGTATTGCGGTTATTAAGCCCTTTTAGGGTGAATAGTTTTCAAATATTTTCTCCCATTCTGGAGATTCTCTCTTCACTTTGTTGATGGTTTCCTTTGCTTTGCAGCTTTTTAGCTTAATATGATCCCATTTGTCTATTTGTATTTTTATTGCCTGAACTTTTGTGTTCTTACCCCAAAAATCTTCATGCAAACCAGTATCCTGAAGCATTTCCCTAATACTGTATTTTAGCAGTTTAAAGTCTCATGTCTTACATTTAATACATTTTGATTTAATTGTTGTATATAATGAGATTTATGGCTCTAGCTTAATCCTTCTGCATTTGGTTATCCAGTTTTCCCGGAAGAATTTACTGAGGAAACTCTCCTTTCTCAACGTATGTTCTTCACGTGTTAAAAATGAGTTGGCTGTAAATACGTGAATTTATTTCTGTACTCTCTATTATGTTCCATTGGTCAATGTGTCTTTTTACTGGTAGAATCATATTGTTTTGGTTACTATGGATTTCTTGTATATTCTGAAGTCAGCTAGTATGATGCCTCCAGATTTCCCCCTCCCCCCTCAGGATTGCTTTGGCTATTCAGGTTTTTTTATGGTTCCATACAAATTTTAGACTTTTTTTCTATTTTTGAAATAATGTCAATTGTGTTTTTATAGTGATTGCATTGAATCTGTAAATTGTTTTGAGTAGAATTGAGATTTTAATTATGTTAATTATTTGTTTTTGTTTTGAGTAGAATTGAGATTTTAATTATATGAATTTTCTTTCTTTCTATTTATATATTAATTTTTTGAGTCACAGTTTCAATTTGTTTCCCTGACTGGAGTATAGAGGCTTGATCTCGGCTTGATCTCGGCTCACTGCAACCTCCAGCTCCCAGGTTCAAGCGATTCTTGTGCCTCAACTTTCTGAGTAGCTGGGATTACAGGTGCATACCACAACGCCTGGCCAATTTTTGTATTATTAGTAGAGACAGGGTTTTGCCATGTTGGCCAGGCTGATCTTGAACTCCTGACCTCAAATGATTCACCCACCTCAGCCTCCCAAAGTTCTGAGATTGCAGGTGTGGGCAACCGTGCCTGGCTTTAATTATATTAATTATTCTAAACCATGAGTATGAGCTATCTATCCATTTTTTGGTGTCCTTTTCAATTTTTTTCATCATTGTCTTATGGTTTTCTTGTATAGATCTTTCACTTCTTTGGTTAAATTTATTCCTAAGCATTATCTATCTATCTTTCTAGTGGCTATTGTAAATGGAATTGTTTTAATGATTTCTTTTTCAGATATTTGTTGTTTACATATATAAATGCTACTAATTTTTATATGTTGACTTTGTATCCCATAAGGTAACTGAATTTTTTTTTATTCTAACAGTTTTATTTGGTGGAGGTTTTTTGTAATGGTTTTTCAAAATATAATAGCATGGTATGTCTTCTGTGAACAAGAATAATTTAACTTCTTCCTTTCAAATTTGGATGCCCTTTATTTCTTTCTCTTGTCTAATTGCTTTATATAGGACATCTCAGTAGTACATGTAATAAAAATTGTGAAAGTGGACATCTTTGTCTTGTTCTAAATCTGACAAATTTTCAGTTATATTTCTATGTGCTGTAATGTTAGCTATGTTTTTGTCAACTATGAGCCTGAAAAACTACCCCTTCAAATTTTTAATTAAGTTAGACTGTGGAGCAATTTATACCCCAGGTCATAAGAGTAAATCAATTAGTTATCAATTAGCAAAGCCCAAGAGTTGGTATGATACCAGTAGAACCAGGCAGAGGACAACATTAAGTTCTCAAATATACATATACTGGGAGTATCAGGAGAGAGGAGAGAAAATAAGAAGCAGGAAAATGAATCCAAGAAATAATAGCTGAAAATTCCACAAATTTAGTGACAAGCTTTCATTTACATATCCAAGAAGCTCAACAAACTCTAAGGAACATAAACACAAAAAGTTCCAAATAAACACATCATAGTAAAATGTCAAAAACCAAAGGGAAAAAAAAACTCTTGAAAACAGCAAGAAAAAAAAGATTTCTCATATAAAAAGTAACTCCAATAAATTTAGAAGAAATAGGAGAAGTCAGAAGGAAGTGAAAGGACATATTGAAAAGTACTAAAAATAAGCCCCACCCCCCAGCCCCACAAAAAACAACTGTCAAACAAGAATCTTAAATTCTGCAATGGTATATTTTAAAATGAAGGTAAAATAAATACTCTTATAGATAAACAAAACTTGAAAGAATTCATTGCTAGTAGACCTTCCTTGCAAGATATAATAAGGAAAGTTCTTTAGGCTGAAAGGAAGTGATCTAAGACAGTAATTCAAATCCACATATACAAACAGTAAGCATGGGTAAAAATGGTTATGTAATGACTAATGTACATGTATGTGTATATTTCTTCTCTTTTCTTAATTGATTTCAAAGCATTTTTATTAATCAATATCTACATAGTTGTATTGATGGGCTATAATATATACTAGTATAATATGTTTGGCATAAGACCTCAAAAGTTGTGGGTAGGAGCACAGATCAATTGAAATAAAAAAATTAACATTAGTTGGGAACCCAAATTAATATAACTAAGTGAAGAGAATTAGAAGAGGTAAATAAGAATGTTAATACACCAAACCCTGTAAGTATATAGTTATTCTTTCTTCCCTTACCATCTTAAAAATATACCAAATTATAGACAGTAACAGTTAAAGCAATTTATTATTGGGTTTGTAACACTTACAATCTGTATAATACTAATAGTTCAAAATGGGAGAAAAGAAAATAATGCTTCTATATCTCTCTAGAATTTATGTTAATGTAAATCAGTATCAGAATATAAGTTGATATATGGTAAGCCCTAGAGAAGCCACTAACACCACAATGAACAACAAAAAAAGATAAAAAAATTTAGTAACAGAATAAACATGTTGCACTAGAAAATACTCATTCACAATGAAAAAGTAATAGTGGAGAAATAGGGGAGTAAAAAAGATGAGATATACAGAAAAAGTAAAATGAGTAAATTCAATGGTAAAAATAAAATTGAATGTGAAACAACTAAACAATTGAGTCAAAAGGCAGAGATTGTCAGACTGGAGAAAAAATCCTACTTCATGTTATCTACAGGAGATACACTTTAGATTTAAAGATAAAATTAGTTCAAAGTAAGATAATGAAAAAAAATCATGAGTCCAGCAAACACAAGAAAGCTACAATTACTATATTAGTATCAAACAATGAATAATTTAAAACAAATAAAGTTACTAGAGATCAAGAGAGACATTTTATAATAATAAAAAATTTATCCAGCAGAAACATGCAACAATTATAAACATATATGCAGCTAATAACAGACCCCAAAATTACATGAAGGAAGAACTGGCAGAATTGAAGAGAGTAACAGACAACCCAACAATAATTGCTGGGGATTTTGATATGCCATTTTCAATAATGTATGGAAAAAACAGGAAGAAGATCAACAAGAAAATTGCACACTTGACTATTAGTATAAATCAATTAGATGTAATAACATCTATAAAATACTCCACCTAAAAACAGCAGAATACACCATCTTCTCAAATGCACATGGAAAATTCTTCAGCATACTGTATATGATAGACCATAAAAAAAATTCTCTAAATTTTAAAGGATTGCAATCACACAAAGTATGTTTTCCAGTCACAATATAATGAAATTATAAATAAATATATAATATATTCACAAATATGTAAAAATTAAGCCATTTAATTCTAACTACCAAATGGATCAAAGGACAAATCACAAGGGAAATTAGAAAAATTCTTTGAGATAAATGAAAATGAGGACAATCGCATTCCAAAACTTCTGGGTTGCAGTAGAATAGTACTTCAAGACAAATGTAGAGCGAGCTGTAAATCTTGTATTAATAAAGAAGAAAGATCTCAAATCAAGTATATAGACACATTAGAAAAGAGGAAAAAACTAAATCCAAAGCAATTAGAAGAAAGTCACTAATAAATATTAGAGGAGAAATTAATGAACTAGATGAATGAAAATACAAAAAAAGAATTAATGAAACAAAATTAATTGAAAAATAGATTTTTCTTTAAAAAGATCAACAAAGTTGACAATACTTTAGCTAAGCTGAACAATAAAAAATAGGAAATACTCAAATTACTAAATTTAAGAATAAAAGAGGGGACATTACTACTTAACTCACAGAAATAATAGCAATTTTAAGGGTATATTATAATCAAATGTATGCTATTTATTTGATTACTTAAACACATTTTTAGGAAGACTCAAAACATCAAAATAATTAAAGAAGAAAGAGAAAATATGAATATACCTATAACAAATAAAGTGATTGAATTTGTAATTAAAACACTTCCCACAAAGGAAATTCAGAAGTAGATGGCTTCACTAGTGAATATCACCAAATGTTAAAGAGAAATTAATATGGATTTGTCATGTCTCTTCCAAAACATAGAAGGGAAGGGTGAGAATCCCAACTCATTCTATGAAGCCAATTTTACCCTAATACTAAAACCAGATAAAGACAACATAATAAAGCTACTAATATCTCCTATGAATATAGATATAAAAATTCTCAAAAAAGAGTAGCAAATCAAAACCAACAACATATAAAAATGATTAGATACAATATCACGTTTGATCACTCTCAGGAATGTAACATAGGTTCAACTTATGAAAATCAATATAGTATACCATATCAATAAAATAAAGGGGAAAAACTTGATTTCTGCACCCTAGGAATAAAGGGGAGCATTCTCAACCTGATAAAAGCATCTATGAAAGATCCAGAAACAACATCATTAATGGTGAAAAAGATATGATTTCCCTCAAAAAAACATTTTTAAAGGCAAAAATATTTTTGCTTGACATTTCTGTTCAACATTATATGGGAATTTCTTCTCAGTGCAGTTAGGCAAGTAAAGAAAATAAAGGGCATCTGAATTGGAAAGAGTAAAGCTATCTCTATTGACAGATGATATGTTCTTATTTAAAGAAAATCCAAAGAAATTCACTAAACACCTATTACAACTAATTTAATGAGTTTACCAAGGGTATAGGACACAAGATCAATATACAAGAATGCTATATTATACACTAGTAATAAACAACCTCAAATGGAATTAAGAAAAAATTTTCTATTATTATAAAACTGAAATAGTAATAAACATAAGAAGAGAAATGCAAACATTCCGGGAGCAAGTTCAAAGAACTAAAACAGAAAGACTATATTTATGGATCAGAAGATACTTCTATGAAGAAGGCATACTTCCCAAATTTATCTGTTGATTGATCTTTATTAATTATCTAATTATCATTTATCTAACCCCAGCTGACTTTTTTGGAGAAATGGACAAGCTGATTCCAGAATTCATATGGAAATTTAAAGGATTCATAATCTTGAATAAATGGAACAAAGTTGGACGTTTTATACTTACAGATTTCAAAACTTACTATAAAGCTACAGTAATCAAGGCTGCATGGTACTGGCCAAAGTAGAGACATAAAGATCAATAGAATAGAATGAGAATTCAGGCCGGGCATGGTGGCTCACACCTGTAATCCCAGCACTTTGGGAGGCTGAGGTGGGCAGATCACAAGGTCAAGAGTTCGAGACCAGCCTGACCAACATGGTGAAACCCCATCTCTACTAAAAATACAAAAATCAGCCAGGTGTGGTGGTGTATGCCTGTAATCCCAGCTACTCAGGAGGCTGAGGCAGGAGAATCACTTGACCCTGGGAGGCGGAGGTTGCAGGCGCCCCTGCACCCTAGCCTGGGTGACAGAGCGAGATTCCATCTCAAAAAAAAAAAAAAAAAAAAAAAAAAGAGAGTCCAAAAAACTTTTCTCACATGCACAATCAATTGATTTTTGTTAAGGTTCCATGATAATTCAAAGATGTTCATCTTTCTTGACTATCAAGAAATACAGATCAAAACTGCAATCATCATAACTGCTAGGATGATTGTAGTAAAAAGGGCAGAAATACAAGTACTGGTAAGGGCGTGAAGACATTTGACCCCTCACCCATGGCTGATGAAAATGGAAAATGGTGCAGCTAGTTTTCATCTGGCAGTTCCTCAAACTAAAAATTACCATATGACCCAGTCATTCCATATACCCAGTCCTAGGTATATATGTATCTACATATATTTTAATGTAAACATGTCCATACAAAGGTTTGTACATGGATGTTCACAGTAGCAGAATTTATAGTAGCCAAAAGTGGAAACAATTCACATATCTATTATCTGATATTGGATAAGTAAAATATTGTATATTCAAATAATGGAAAGTTATTCTACCATAAAAAAGCATGAACTATCAATACACGCTTCCACATAGATAAATCTTGAAAACATGCTTCTACTTGCAAGAAGCCAACAGAAGACTACATACTGAATTATTCATTTCATAAAATGATACAGAATATCCAGAATAGGCAAATTCATAGAGATGGAATGTAGGAGATCAGTCAGGGTGGTGCAAGAAATCATAGGAAAAACGCAAACCTTCTTGGAAGGCCAGGAGGTTTTGCAAAAGGTTCGAAAGATAATTTGGCTGAAGGCAGTCAAATTCTCTTATTTGGAGCCTGAGAGCAAAAGGTAGATAACAAAAAATAATGTAAAGGGATTGATCTAGATAAGTTAGTTTACTTAGGCCTCAGAACCTGCCTTTAAATCATCCACACAAAGGACAGCCCTCTCCGGGGGGCGACCATGTTAATTACCCACAAGTGTGTTGATTCGAAGCCTTTGTCATTAATTCTTCACTAAGTAAATGCCCGCAGCACTGGCTTGTCTGGGCTACAGCTGCTGGGACACTTTATGGCACCTTCCTTGGTGTCTGTGGTGGCCCGGTCCCCTAGCCATGCAGTCAGGCAAAAAAACCTGTGTCTACGTACAATTTTTCATCTGTCACTTGGCCAGGATCTGCAGGTCAGACCCAGCAGTGGAGAGTAAGTTACTGATTGCCTAGGGTTTGGGAAGTTGGGAGGAAAATAGAGAGTACTGCAAATGGATAGGGGATTTGTTTTGGGGGCGATTAAAATGTTCTAAAATCAACTTTGGTGATGTTAGAACAAGCTGTGAATATATTAAAATGATTGATTTATATACTCTAAATTGATAAATTGTATGGTATTTAAAATATATCTTAACATACAGTTATTAAAAATTGCAACTAATTAGAGAACTTGAGAGAGATTTTCTTATCTCAGGAGATATATGTTTAATTTTTAAAGGTGGTACTGAAGACTAAATCCTAGAAAATTTTTTCCCCCGACTGGAGACACTCAGATTGTCTTTTCCCTAGAGAGATGTATTCAAATACCAAAGAAGTAGAGTAAGGTATTTCAATACTCTCTCCAAGTAAATCCTCTTGTAAGGTAAGGAAAGGCTCTTCATCTCCTTTAATTATAGAGAAAATTCATATTTTCTCTCTCTCAGCCTTAGACTAGGCTGATGCTCAGAAGAGAGGTCTCAGTTGCTGATTAACATTTGGGAGTCATCTTTATTATTCTATGTAAGATAGCTGTTGGGAGATTTTAATGTGATAAGTTGAAGAAAAGACCTAAAATGAAATAGTTATTTATGCCAGAAATCTAAAAGAATCAACTGAGAAATTATTAAAACTAAAGAAGAGTTCAGCAAGTTTCTGCATGAAAGAAAATTGTATAGCCTTTTCCTAAACCAACAATAACAAAAATAAAATTAAATATGACTCCATTAAGAATAGCAACAAGAAACATAAAGTATATAGTAGTACATTAACAGCGAACCTGTAAGATCTCTGCCTTAGTCTGTTCGGGATGCCGTAAAAAACTATGGTAAACTTGGTATTCTTATAAACAAAAGAAATTTATTTCTTACAGTTCTGGAGGCTGGGAAGTCCAGGTCAAACAGCCGGCAAATTCAGCTGTCTGATGAGGACTAGCTTTCTAATTCATAGACGGCCTTTTTTTTTTTTTTTTTTTTTTTTTTTTTATATCCTCACATTGTGGAAGAGAAAGTAGTATCTCACCAGCTTCTTTTATAAGGACACTAGTTTCATTCAGAAGGGCCCCATCCCCAAGACCTAAACATCTCCCAAATGCCCCACCCTAATATCATCACATTGGGGGTTAGAATTTCAACATGTGAATTTTAAGAGGACACAAACATTCATGTCATGGCAATCCTTTGAAGAAAACTTTAAACCTTTAGTCAAGAGCATTGAAAACAATTTAAAAATTATATCTCCGTGTTTTTTCATGCATGACTAACTATTGTAACAATGTCAGTTCTTCACAATTTCATTTAGAAAAATTCTGCATATATATATGGGAAGGTAATGTAGAGTCCTGTAATTCAATTGGAATGGGGCAGATTATTTAATAAATGGCATTGTAAAAACTGATTTACTATATGGAGATAAGTGAAGCTGGATTTCTGCCTAAAACCACCTACAAGAATGAAACTCAAAAGGATTAGGACTATTAAAAGCATAGTGACTTAAGATTGGATAAGGGCTTCTTAAATAAAATTTTAGAACCATGAAGCATATGGCAAAAAGTGGGTAAGCTTTGTTACATAGAAGTTAAAGACTTCCGTTGAACAGTTAAAGCTAAAACTCTGGACAAACTTAACATACTAATGACAAAATGAGAGAAGGTATTTGCAAAACCTAAAACTAATATGGAGTTACTATCAAAGAGAGCACACGCACACACACACACACATACACACACACACAAATCCTACAACTTTCATAGAAAAACAACAATCCTAACCAAAAAAGTAAACAAAAAAAAGTTGGGATAATAACAGATCTAGGTTCCTAAAAGGCTAATTAATATATATAGAAATTATGATACCCACAAGTAATCAGTTAAATACCCATTAAAAAACAATGTGATATCAGTTTACAACCACTCTATTGGCAAATATTAGAAAACTAAATAACACCAAAATTTGAATTAGGATGTTGTGAAAAATTTGGGCACAAGAATAGAAAATAATGCAGCCATTCTGAAGACCAGTTTGGGGCTACTTATTTCAGTTTATTGTAGGGATACCCTATGACTCAACCACATATTCTCCTAGTGCCTCACACACACACACACAATTTTCACATAGGTATGTGGGTGGACTTGTGTGAAAATGCCCAGGTGACATTATTTGAGGTTGCCATGAATTAGTGGAATCTGGAGTTCTTCACTGGGCTAATGAATAGGTAAAATGTGGACTGCCCTGAGATTCACAGTGTCAGAATACCATGAGAATACACTGGAGACTTAGAGGAGGATAGAGAACTATGATGCAGTTAGAAGCCCAGGTCTAGACATGCACACATAGTTATTAAAAATGTAGAAAATATATTTTAATTAAAAAAATAAGACCTAGAATCCACTATCAGTTGAAATAGAAAGCAGGCACAAAAATCAACAATGTACATTTTGCAACAACATATAAACAAAAGATGCACATTAAACACATTAATGGATGTACATAAAGGAGGGAGGGAACAGGAGTGTGGAATTAAGACAAAGGAAATCAATAAATTGATAAATTAACAAAGGGGCTCTTCAAGAACCAATGTCTATAATGTACCATGAAACAGAGTGTGATTTAATCCAACCCTCTGCTTGTGGAAGGAACGGAGGGAGGGATATGTAAACGCATACCCTGGAGACATTTCACATAAAAATTTATGAATCACTTGTTCTAATCCTTTAGAACTTTAATGCAGAAGTACATAATTTTGAATTAGGTGTGTGTGCGTATAAATTTGTAGCACATTTTATTTTAGATAGCATAATTTTTATGTATTTTCTTGCCTGCAATTTTGAAAATTTTGTGAAGTATTCTCCCATTGGTGAACAATATGAGGCTCAGAAAGATTGAATGATTTGCCTAATAAGGTCCTTCATCTAGGAGTGGTAGAGCTGAGAATAAATCTAGGCCTTCTTTCTAGGTCTTTGAATTATCCCTTGGTAGGAATTAGCAGTGAGGATTCAATGTGTTATAGCTTCCATTTAACTTCAGGAAAGTATCTCTGGTGCTTTGCTGGAAGGAAGAAAAAATTGGAAGAGTAAGGAGGAAATTCTGTCAAGGTATTGAGATCAATGCAAAAACTTTTTTTAATAAATGTTAATTTATTTGGTGTCCACAGAATTTCAGAATCCTCAAAGCTGCCTTAGTCTGCCTATTCCTAGGGCCAGTTCTTCTTTAAGTTACCTGCTTTCAAATATAAAACCTAGCCTATTTAATCAGGTTTCTTCACCTGTAGAACAAAGGATGTATAAGGAGGCAGGACACTCATCTGGAAATGCAGTATTTGCTATAACATACAAAAAATATTGACAGAAAATAAAAGTATTTGGGAACAGCTTCTGTTCAGTACAAACACAATGCAGTACAAACACAATGATCTCCTCGTTTATTTTAGTAACAATTATTCTTATTTGATGTGGCCTCAAGTAGAATGTGAGCCTAGGAGAGAAGTGAAGCTGGCCTCCATGGCAATGAACGTCCATTATCTCACCAACACATGCCCAAGTATTTTCAATTCTAAGCATTACATGAAACCAGAGGACAGTTGTTGTGCTTATGTTCATTTATTCATAACTTTATTCACTCCATAAATATTTAGTAAATCCCTACTTCATGCTGGATACTAATTGTGCTAATTGTTGTGGATGCATTGGGGAATAACATTACATAGTTAGTTCCATTATGGAACCTACAGCCTATCATGAAAGACAAACATTAATGAAATGGTATAAGGTTTTTTTGATAGAAGTACAAAGCACTATGGAGTACCAGTAGGAGAAGCTAAATTGATGAATTGTTTAATATAATATTTTCCCTTTTCATTATGGAGAATTTTGAACATATATAAAAAGTAGAAAGAATACAACATCCCATCCAAACCTCCATTCACTTCTGTGTTGTTTTGAAGAAAATTAGACATTATGAAGAAATTAGACATTTTGAAGAAAATATTAGACATTATGTAATTTTAAACATAAACATTTTAGTATATATTTGTAATATATAGGGTCATAAAATAAACCCACAACTATTTGTGTAAATCTGGAAAGATTTAATAATGCTACGAATGTTCACACAGTCTCAGACAGCTAGTGGCACTGGCCAATGGCTAGACTATAGATTTTTGACTTGACTGGCATCTAATAAACTTGGAAAATTATTCTATATTTTCAAATATCTACAGCTACATCAAAAAGCAACTCATATTTTTATTGGTGCTTTATTACTTTGTTTACAAGCTCATTGGTTAAGCATAATGTTATCTCGTTGGAAATTATTAGGTTTAAATTTTCTATTGTAAAAATAATAATGTAATCACTTCTGAAGGAGAAAATCTTCAGCTGAAAGTGTGAAATATATGTACACAAAGCATTATTTAATAATGAGAACATACAGTGAAATATTCATATGATCTATGTTTTTTTCTAGGATTAGACATTATTGCTAGCTTCTATCATCTTGCATGTCTTTACCTGTTAAAGTTTTTAAAAAATAATAACTCATACCTTTTTTTTAATTTTTTTATTTTTATTTTTTGGAAATGCAGTTTCGCTCTTATTGCCCAGGCTGGAGTACAATGGTGCAATCTCGGCACACTGCAACTTCCGCCTCCCGGGTTCAAGCGATTCTCCTGCCTCAGCCTCCCGAGTACCTGGGATTACAGGCACCCACCATCACGCCCGGCTAATTTTTGTATTTTTAGTAGAGACGGGCTTTCGCCATGTTAGCCAGGCTGGTCTCGAACTCCTGACCTCAGATGATCCACCCACCTCAGCCTCCCAAAATGCTGGGATTACAGGTGTGAGCCACCGTGCCCAGCCAGTATTACCTAACTTTTATACAGAACTTGTCACTTGCTCTTCATCCACATGATGTATGGGTAGTAGTACTGGTGCTAACCATAGTGGAGGCTGCAATGCTCAGCTTTATCAAAAATGTTTCCAAATCTCATAGATAATGTCAGTCTATCATGTGATGCTGAAAATACACCAGAAGACAAAATCTCTAAAACTAAATTTGGAGTAAAGTTGTTTTCCCGTCACTACTGATAATACTGCTGTCTGTCATGGCATTTCTGGTAAGAGCAGAAAATGTAAAGGACTGTGAAATATTTCACTAATAAATGTGTTTATTATGTAACTATTGGCCAAATGTATCCCTTGAAACATTCTGGAACCATCATTAACCTTATATGGCAAGTAGGATAATATTTGGAAAATCCCCTATAAATCTATGCATTAAATTTGCATCTGTATTCCATACTTAGTGCAAGATTCAAAAGCTCTGGCTATTGGAATAGCAGTCCCCAAATTGAGAACAATAAAAATAACAGAAGAAATTTTAAAAAAGAAACAAAACAAAACAATTCACATTGTTCCCATCCTAACAAATCCAGTCTCTCACCCTCCTTGGATATTTTTATATAGCAATAATAATTTTATTTATAGCACATTATATTCTGCCTTTTGTTACTTATGTTGTAAACCAAAAGACAGTAATGTCCTCTATAAATATGTGCAAACATAACCACATTTTTATTAACTTTTGGGTTACCAGAAATGTCTATCTTTGGTAAATATGTTAGTTAACAATAAAAACAATAATTATGTTTCTGTAATGCACTTCATTGTTCCTTTCTAATATCATTCTTAGTGTTTTCTATCATGAATTTGCACTAATTGGTCTAATCTTACTGTTGCTAATTCTGTTTGTCTTTAACTCACCCCAAAATGTCCCTTTTATATCAAACCTTCTCCTGATGAATCCAGCTCACATGAATAACATTTATTCTCTAATCTTTGATTATCACATAATTCCTCAATTGTTTATAAGTTTATGTGTTGGTAAGATATGTCTTTTCACCCAAATTGCAGCTCTAAAACAAAAAAGTTTATAGATTAGAGTCCTTTGTTGTGCCCTATTATAGCTTTGGTACTGAAAAAAATGTCATTCTAGAAGCAGCTAAATGGGCATCACCTCGTGATTTGTTAGACATGAGCTGTCTCAGGACTCTCCAAGAACCAGTGAATCAGAATCTGCAGTTTAACAGTGATTCAAATGAACATTATAGTTTAAAGCAATGCCCTAACATGTATCAGACCTCTGTAAATGCTGACTAAGTGGTTAAGAGTTTATCAGCTGTTACAGTAGATTCTTACAACTACCATAACAAATTATCATAAACTTTATGGCTTAAAATAGCAGAAATGTCTTCTTTCACAGTAGGAGAGCTAAAGTATTAAATCAATTTGTCTGCGAGGTTGGTTCTTCTGTAGGCTCTGAGAGAGAACTATCCAAAGTCTCCCTAATAGTTTTCCTGGTGTTTCCTGGTGTTTTCTGGCAATTCTTGGCATTCCTTGGTTTGTAGATCACTCCAACCATTGCCTCCATTTTCACATCGCCTTCATCTCTATGTCTCTGTTTCCTCTCCTCTTCTTATAAGGCTAGCAGTCACTCATTTTAGAGAGATTCCTAAATCCAGGCTGAATCCATATCAAAATCTGGAACTAATTATATCTGTAGACCCAAATGCGGTCACATTCTGATGTTCCATGTGGACATAAATTGAGGGGTTGGGGGGCATTATTTAACTCATGACAACTATGTAAAACAAAGATGTAAGTCTTTTTTATTTATTTATTTTTTCATTGCAGATAAGGTGATGATGACAACTCTTTTATTCCAGAATTCAGACATGGTGAGAGATCTTTGTTGATGAAGACAGGAATTTTAGCTTTTGTTTTGGCTATCATGCCCCCATTTAAACACATGCAAAGCCTAAAGTGATGGGTTTCTTTCTTTCTTTCTCTCCATCTCTCTCTCTCTCTCTCTGTCTCTCCCTCTCTTCCACACAAACACACACACACACACACACACACACACACATAGGCCTTTCTAACTGTAAAACTTGGTTGTGGAATCCCTATAAGCTTTTCTTAAGATTTATCCTTCTCATTAAATAACTATGAAACCAATCATCTTTCTCATATGCATGTTTATAGTTACTTTCAGAAAACATAATGCTGTTGCTAACATTCTCTGTACCTACTGTATTTGTTTTCATGGCTACTATAGAAGTAACTGGGTATCTATAATGAGTTTCTTTTTTTCCATCTGAAAGTCCATTTTCTTTACAGCTTATAGCTAAATGATCAACTGATGTTTTTTTTTTTCTGTGAGCTGTTTACAGATGTTTCCCTTAATGTTGTTCAGTTAACATCTCTACAGCATGCATTTTCCCTCTCAAAAAGTTACTTAATGGTATATGTTAATGCATTCATGCCTAGAAGCTTTTAAAGTAACAGGAGCAAATGTTAAAAAAAAAAAAGAATAAATAGACATATGTAAATAAGCGTGCCTATCTATAAGTGATGATCTTGGAATTTTTAAATGTTGCTTCCCTTTCCCATTTGCTAAAAATGTCTCATGTGAGAACAACTGACAATCACTTTGCTGACTCCACTCAGAATACATTAAATGGCAGTAAGAGGGTTTTTTCACTCACGTCTGTGTGAAGAGACCACCAAACAGGCTTTGTGTGAGCCATAAAGCTTTTTAATCACCTGGGTGTAGGTGGACGGAGTCTGAAAAGACAGTCAGCAAAGGGAGATAGGGGTGGGGCCGTTTTATAAGATTTGGGTACGTAAAGGAAAATTACAGTCAAAGGGGGTTGTTCTCTGGCTGGCAAGGGTGGGGGTCACAAGGTGCTCAGTGGGGGAGCTTTTGAGCCAGGATGAGCCAGGAGAAGGAATTTCACAAGGTAATGTCATCAGTTAAGGCAGGGACTGGCCATTTTCACTTCTTTTGTGGTGGAATGTAATCAGTTAAGGCAGGAACAGGCCATTTTCACTTCTTTTGTGATTCTTCAGTTACTTCAGGCCATCTGGATGTATACCTGCAGGTCACAGGGGATATGATGGCTTAGCTTGGGCTCAGAGGCTGGACAGGTTTATTCAAAATTATGAGGGATTCATTTAATATCTGAATTGTTCAAGATAATGATTGGTGTGACAATGAGGTAAGAAACATTTTTGTTTAATCCTCAAAACAGCAAAGATTATTTTCACCCTCTTTGTATCTTGTATTTTTAAAAATACTTCTTTTCAAGGTCAAAACATTTAATAGATCTTTGTTTAATCAGCTGAAACTAAGGACTGATTTTGCCATTTCAGGATTGTAAAATAAGTGGAATTTGCCTTTTGGCAACTAGGTAGGTAGTCTTAGTGTTTCCCTGCTGCTGATAAATTCTTATTTTGTTACTCAACTAGTAACTGTTTTATGGACAGCATCCTATGCTTGGGAAAGGAATGGGAAAAAGTACTTTCTTTGGGTGGAAAATTTAGGGGTTTGCAAAATTAACAGGGTGCCAAAGAATTTTAAATGAAAACAAATAGTATTTTTATTAGGGTTGCCAGATAAAATATAAGATAAGCAGTTAAATATGATTTTCAGATAAAAAATAGATACTTTTTTATTAAAAGAATGCTTCACACAATAGTTTATCTAAAACTTAAATATTGCTTGGGACATACTTACACCAAAAACTTTCTTGCTGTTTATCTAGTATTCAAATTTAACTGTGTGTCCTATATTTTTACTTGCTAAATGTGGAAATTCTAACTTTATGCACTATTTTTTTAAAGTTAAAATTAATGCAAAAAAATCCATAATGAAAATAACATGACTTTTTAAATAAAGCTAAGTCTTACTGATTTTTTTCTTTTCCCTAAGGCTTGAATAGGCTCAGTACAGGATGGCAACTGATTCTATCCAACTTTTAAAAATATGGCATTGCCAGGTGCAGTGGCATGCACCTGGGCAACATCATGAGACCCCCATCTCAAAAAAAAGAAAAGAAATATGGGATGAAATAAATCTTGCATTAAAATATTATTTATCTCAATTACTGAGTAAGGAGGGCCACTTTAATTTTGTCCCTTGGGCAAATGCCTCATTTTTCTTGGGAGAGTTTGAACATTGCCTGGATCCTTCCTTAGCTCCTTACACTTTGCACTCACCACAGGAGCTGATTTTTATTGGGGACTATTGTGATAATAGCTGTAGTGAGAAAGTTTACACTTAAATGATTCTTAAACATTACCCAGTGTCATCGTTATGTTTGACAGAAGGAGAAATTAAAGCCCTGGGCTGTGATTTGACACAAACTCTAGTAACATGGGAAATTCCTAGCAAATTTGAACACAGAAAGCAGATTACCTAACAGCCCAACGCTACATAGTTATTTACACACACGCACACACACACACACACAGACACACAATTTTTCAGCAAATTTCAGAGAAGAATAATTATCATGTAGTAGCATCAAGATACTTAAGAACCTTGAAGAGATTATAAATGAGGCCACAGTCTGTCCAATCCCACCTAAAATCGCAACTACAAGTACTAAGATAATAAAAAAATTATATCATTTACGTATTTCACACGTATGTGTAGAGCTGCTTCTAATGTTAGGCATTATTCTTAGTACTGAGCTTATAGCAATGCATATGAAGGACAAAGTCCTTTTTCTCTTGGACTTCTGTCTTATTGGGTTAGAACCAGTATAAACAAATAGAGCAAATAAACAAATTTTGTTTTGCAAAATGCTAAAAATGAAATAAAGCAGGATAATAAGAAGTATGTTCCTGGGTATGAAGGGCTGTATTAGATAGTGATGGCAGGAAATGTTTCTTTGAGAAAAGCACAATTGAGATGGAAGATGAAGGTTGAAAGAGACAATTCAAGTTCTGGATAAACAAAATTCCAGGCAGAGAGAAGAGCAAAGATATAACATAGAAAAGGGATCCACCTGGCCCTATGTAAGGAACATGGTCCATGCATAATACCCATCTGCCTTTACTTAACACTGTATTTTAATAAGCAGCTGGAAATACTTTTTCATGGCTATTTAAATTATGTATCAGTGTTTGTGGAACCATCCAGCTACCCACAATTTGAAAACTACAAGTACCAAAAAACATGGTAACCAGCTACATATGGCTATTCAAATTTAAGTTAATAAAATAAAAAGTTCAGTCTTTCAGTGGCACTAGCTCTATTAAAATGCTTAAAAGGCACATGTGTTCTATAGCTATTGTATTGGACAGTGCAGATAGAGAGCCTTTGTTTCACCAATGACATTTGGTGCTACCAGCTTGGCACTAGTCTAGAGGAAAAGACAAACACATAACATTATGTGTGTGTGTGTGTGTGTGTGTGTGTGTGTGTAGTTTTTGGGAAAATAATTAACCCTTTGCATGTATTCATATATTCAGCAATATTGTGTGATTGCATACTGTATAACAGATGACAGGATCTATTATAAGAAATTGGAATTCAGCAATAAATGAACCAGAGGCAAAAATCTTTCTATTTACAAAGTTTATATTTTATTGATAAATAAGTAGGAAAATAAATAAATAGTTTAATATTGATACATGCTCAGGAGAAAAAAATAAATTGGGATAGAAGAATTGAAGTGTTGGCAGGAGATAGTTCTGAGGTTTTTACAAAATATATAGGGAAATTAAAGAAAGCCTTACTGAGAAGATGATGTTCGGAGAATAGCCTGAAGTAAGTAAGAGGATAAAGGAGATACCTGTAGCCAGAAGGAAAGGAAAACACAAAGGGCCTGAGATGGGAGCAGGCCAACCTGTCAGAGAAACAAAGAAGACATCAGCACAACTGAGGCAGAGCAGAAGGAGAATTAGGGCAGAGGAGGAGCTAGCCAGGGACTTACTGGGGCCAAATTATTTAAGGACTTGTGGATCACTGTAAGGCATTTGTATTCAAAGTCAGTATTTCAAAGAAAGCGTAGCATTTTTGTTCCACAGGATGCCAGATGAAAAGGAACAAGTTGTTATTCTAGATTCCTTTTCAAAATGGCTTGCAGTGTCCCTATACAGAAGTGAAGCACAATGGTAAAACATGGGGATGGATATCTGGCTTTGAATTACAGCTTAAAATCTTTGCTAGTGACTGTATAGACTTGGTCAGGTTACTTATCTGCTTTAAGGTAGGAACTGGCTGACACCTATGGAGTTTAATCTGTGTATTGGACATGGTACTTATCACTTAAAAGCATGCCATTTAGGCCAGGCGTGGTGGCTCACACCTGTAATCCCAGTACTTTTGGAGGCGGAGGCGGGCGGATCACAGGTCAGGAGATTGAGAACATCCTGGCCCACGTGGTAAAACCCCGCCTCTATTAAAATACAAAAAATTAGCAGGGCATGGTGGCACAGGCCTGTTGTCCCAGCTACTTGGGAGGCAGAGGCAGGGGAATCACTTGAACCCGGTAGGCGGAGGTTGCAGTGAGCCAAGATCGTGCCAGCCTGGCAACAGAGCAAGACTCTGTCTCAAAAGAAAAAAAGAAAAAGCATGCCATTTAATCATCACGGCAGCCCTACGAAGTGGTATAGTTGTCGCCCCTTATCCACGGGGGATATATTCCAAGACCCCCAGTGGATGCCTGAAGCTATAGATAGTACCTAATCTTATATACATTCTATTGGACATTTGATCTGATAAATGAGATGACTGCTAAGTGGCTAATGGGCAGATAATGTGTACAGGAAAGGATGATTTTCATTCCTGGCTGGATGGAGTAGGACAGGTGAGATTTCATCAGGTTACTCAAAATGGTGCACAGTTTCAAACTTATGAATTGTATACTTCTGAAATTATCCATTAAATGTTTTTGAACTGCGGTTGACTACTTGCGTCTGAAATCACAGAAAGTGAAACCGTGAATAAGGGGACCTGGTTTTTCGAATCTTAAAGTTAAGGAAATGAAATCAGTGACATAGTAACTTACCAGTTCACATAGCAAATATGATCAGCCTCATATATTTGAAGTATTTTAAATATAGAAATTCATGTAAATCACTTAGCATCTGTTGCATTATAATTATTATTACTATTATTATTTCCTTATCTCCTATGCAGCAGGCCCATCATAAACTTGACATCGAACTACACATACTCCCACAGCAAAATTATTTCTGATAAGAGCTTGAAATGTGCCTCAGGTAAAATTTTTTAAAATGGGCAAAAAAGATCACTATTTGAGCAGGCATTCATAAACACACAATTTGCTAGGTTTCTCATCAATTAACATAACATTGTGTATTCCAAGAACTACAGAATTAAAAATTGAATATCATCTCAAGAGGCACATTAACCATCTCCTCCAAACAAAGGAATAACAAAGCCAATGGGAATGTAAAATTATATCCACACCTACTTATCTATATGTTATGACGCACCATTTGATTGTTTTCGCTTTGAAAATGAATTGTCTACCTTAAGACTAATGGGAGGAGTCATTGTTACAGAGGGGTAGAGAGCTAGATGTAATCACTATCAGTTTAAAAATGCATTCTTTTTTGTTTGTTTGTTTGTTTGGTAGCACCATACTTAGCATAGGGTGTGAAAAAGTGACCAATAAGCTTTTTCTTCTCAGAATTCAGTTCATCGTCTGTCTGTATCATAAATAATAGGGAAAAATATGTACCAGAATAAAGCATGTTGATGTCTTAAAATAAGACCATATCATTTTTTTGCAGGAGTATAGATAGAATCAGAATGACAGCATAAATGAATAAAACAACGTACAGCAATATAAGGTAGCAAATGTCAAATGAAAGCTCAGAGAAACTTATAATAAGTGCTCTAGGAGACTGACTCTTGCTTCCTTTCAGTGCTGACATTCACACAAAATGCCACTCCAGACACAGTGACACTTGACCCAAAAGACTACAGCAGAGAGAGCAGCACAGCTGGCAAGGAATGCAAGACCCTTGATGCCTCAGTGAGTCAATACTTCAAACACATGGAAAGAGAGATTTATTCTTGTAACCTTACACTTCAGAGAGAAATGCAAAGAGTGGCAGCACAAACTGATGTGTAGCTGCGTAGGTTCTTCTTTCTATGAATTGTGAAATTTTGATTAACATTTGTATCAGTCACCCGGGATGTGCTTCACTGGATAGCATCGTTACTAGTTGATACAATAAGTCAATACTTGTGGCTCTCTTTAGACAAGAAGGTAACCAGGTAGAGAGCCATAGGGTCCCACAATTCATGCCCAGAGTACAGTGGAGGTCAGTGTTGGTTGAGGTTGATCACACTTAAGCCCTCTGCACCGACTCCCGATACAATTGCGGCTTCATGGTCCCCCATGACAATATCCCAAAGGGATTTTTCTTATATAGTCCCCACCCTACACATCTACCTATCACTCAATATTTGTCAGCTTTGTGTTTCCTTATTTTAGAGCCCAAAGGGGGAAGTATCTAGAATAGTTTGAAAGATAACATGTGACTGTGTGAATAGAAGAGCAGGCCATATACATAAAGTCACATGTCCATCTTCATTATAGCTATCTAGAGACCCTGGGGATATGCTAATAAGTGCTCTAAGCATTGTTTTTGAGGACAATAGTAGAATGTCCTAGGTAGTGATGTGCAACTCTTATGAGTATGTTTCTAAAGTGGCTGAAGATATATTGTGTTTGACCTGCAATAGAAAACTCTACTTTACCAAATGAATGCTGTTCACTGCCCCAGTGTCAGAAATGCCCCAATTAATATCTCTAACAGACGGAATTTTAAAGTTGATGAAAAGCTACTTCAGCAAGCAGCATTAGAGAAGCTGTATAGCATAGAAATTCAGGTTTGTAGACTCAGTTCTGAATTATGACTTTGGCATTTGTCAGCTGAATGGCTATACTCAGGCCATTTAATCACTCTGAACTCGGGTTCTCTGTAAAAGAAGGCAAGCATTATCCCACTGAAGTTTTTAATTAAATAGGATAATATCTATAAAACAGTTAGTCCAGTATCCTGCATTTAATAATATTCCAATAAATATTAGCTATGATAATTATTATTATAGAAAAACAGAAATTTGGGGGGCAGATGAAGACTTAAATAGTCATGTAGAATTTTATTCTGTATGATCAGCCATCTCATCAATTTCAGGTAGTGCCAGTTTTGGATAAGAGATGGAGAGGTTTCCTGCAGTATTTAGGAATACTGTTACACTACCACTTGCTTTATGGGAAAGCTATTAATATTAAAGTCATTCTGAATTGAATTTTGACTTTCAAGCCAGGTAAGAATGAACTATATCCATAATCGGGACTAGAATTCAAATTCCTGTTCTTTACTTTTTTTTTTTGGCACTTCACAGTTAAAATATTTATCTAATGATGCAATTTGTAGCAATTATCAGGAAGAAACCTTTAGTTACAAGGCACCACGTCCTGGCCATCCTCAAGGAATGTAAATAAAGATTTACTTAATTTTCTTTGTCCTTATATTTTAGCTATGGGGATGTTTTACTCTGTGGTCCATAAGTACAGTATTTTGGGCTTAGTCTTGGAGAAACTCTGACTGCTTTATGTTTTTCCCAATTGCTGTGTGCTTCCCTAGACTCCGAGACAGAGTAAACACATATATATGTTAACCTCAAGCATATTGAAATTTACAAAATATTTTCTGGTAAGTGAATGTCAGAAAATTGAGCAGTCCGTTCTTTCACCTGTTACCTCAATTTTGAAAAAATATAAAGATAGAATTCTTTGAAGGCCAAAATTGTTAATTAACTTAGATTTTTTCCTTTACAGCCTGCATTTATTTATTTGTGATATAATTAAATTTCTGATTTTTACGCCCCTCCATCTACAACCTAAAAAAATGTGGGGGAGGTTGAATTGGTTTTCTTGGTTATTTATTATCATATTGTATCACTGTCAGTGAAATTGACCATGAAAGCAAGCATTAAAATGCTGATCAAAAAATAAAGGATTCTTGGCATGTGGAACAATGATAAAATAACACAGTATCAAGCCTATTTTAATTAAAATAGCCCCTCTCCGGCTGGTGTACTGAACTGTTCTCAATGGTGGCAAGAAACTAATAAGAACTGTAAAGAGTGTGAGTGAGGAACTTTAAGCTGTCCAATTTAATTAATTCCAACTATCTGACCACTACTTTACAAGATCCTGAAGTTTAAGTGTTTAGCAAAACACTGTTCTGATCCCCATTACTGGCCAGACTCATGAACTTACCCCAGGTCCCCTGAATGTGGGTTGATAACTCCTAAATGTCTCTTCTCTCAAGAACTGTTCTCAGACAAATGCCACGAACCTTCACCACTGCCCCAGTGTCCACAGGCCCTGGCCAATGGTTGCCTGGCAAAGGAGGACAAAATATACATTATGGTGCAATTTGTGCATCTTGGTTTTCTTGTGAACCCTATTCTTGTTTACCTTTTTCCCCCTGCCCTATCCTATTTCCCTTACACCCTTTCTTCTGCGAGGACGATTCCCAATACATCACTGGGAAATAATTTCAATCCAAGACACTACTTCTGGGAACTCTCACCTAAGCCGTAGCATGCTTGTTAGTTTTAAGAGACGCTAAATCATCCAGGTCGTATTATATCATCTTATTACCTAAGATTTTGCTGCTAAAGAAATTACCTTTATTATTAATACTGTGGAAGCATTTGTCTACATTTATACATATGGTTAGGTGTGTGTAATAGGTATGTAATAGTTATGTCTAGGCACGTGGGTATGGGCATGGGTGTGAGTGTGTGTAAACATATATTTAAATGAAAAGTATCAGGATACAAAATTTGAAATTGTGGAAACAGTTGCTACTCTTGCATATGCATAAATATGCAAAGCTATGAAAATAAGTAGGAGTAGTTATACCCAGGTCTGATACAGTCATTAATCTCTACTTTCTTGATATGTATTATTGTCATATTTCCATTCAGCATTTAAAATATAAAGTAAATATTCAATAAAATAATAAAAACATAAAAATGAGGAAGCCAATCCCTTGGTTTTAGTACCACCTTACTAAATGAAGTACCCCTGTATCAAGGGTAATAATACATATTAACGTGGTTGCTGTCATAGGAGGTGGTCGCTTGGGAAACAGAAAGAAGAAACGACAGAGATGCTGAGGAATTCGATTGGGGGATGTGGATTGATTCTTGTTTGAAAAAAAACTTGCTTTTTGAGTATTTTTGCTCCTATTAAACTCTTAGTATAAATAACTTCTTATCCAAATTTTCACTCTGTTTTCCAGATACCAAATAACGACATGGGGAGAGGCCTTCCGTTTTGAATTGATTATATATGTAGTATAATTATCAGAATTTCTTTATGTGGTGAGGCCATTATCTCCATCACAGATGCCTTCTAAAACCACTGCCCATCCCAGGGAGTGAGGAGCCTAACATCCTAGATCCCTACAGAATTTTCTGACAGTGTGTACATGTCTTTACCACAGGAGGCTGTTTACCTGCTCACTGCCAATACCAATTGGCCAAATCATAGGATTCAATACCAGAATATACATGTTTGGTAATAACAGTCTTCTACATTGTAATGTATATTTAATGCTATATATTAACTGTTTCTATTCTTGTAACAATAGAAGTTATTAGCCTTTCAAAGTTGTACATGGCCTTTATGAAGTCCCATATCAGGTACATTGATATCACTTACAGATGACACTAAAATTACCTCCTATGGTAATATGAACCAAAGATAATCAGTGTATATTCTGTTAAATGAACATATAAAATAAGTATGTAAGAAGTAAACTTGTTCATGATTAAAAAAAACTTTTTGACTTTAACTGAAGCATTTTAAATATTAAAAGAGCAAAGTGTAAAGTAAAATCTACCAATATTTTGTGGCATTAGCCACAGAAAACCAGGGTAGAACAACTGAGGATTCATCTTTTTTGTCATAATAATTGGTATTCCAATTCTCATTCATGCAGTAATTAGAAATTTTGTACAATTCATTTTAATAACATTTTTGTAGCTTTTAACACCCCACCATAATTGCTGAAATAGTTCACTGCGCCCCCACCCCCCACAACACTTATGTCTAGTGTGTCCACCAATATTCATTACGTGGGCCCCATCACACCCCAGCAGCAGCTATCACCTAAGAAAAGTGATCCTATTCTTCCTGTCCATCTCAGTGTTTGACTGCCCTTAATTCCACTTAGTGGAGTCTCAGTGTTGTGACTGACAGTTATGAGAATTTATTTCTTAAAGAGCGCTAGAGTGTTTCTGGATTCTATACAGAATTGGTGATAATGGCTTCTATCCACAGTCAGTACCTATCATCTGAGCCCAAGAGCTGTTGTCATAAAGACTCAGTTGAACTACAAGTCTCTCATAAAAACTGCTGTGAGGCTAAGTTCTCCATGTGGAAGCATCATCTTCACTCTAAGTGACTGAAGAAAATATAAACACCAATATACAAACTCCATCCACTGGAAAATTCAGAAATAATTGGAAAAAGGAAAAATGATATTTTTAATGGGCACCTGACCTATCAAAATTTATTTGTTACAAGAAAATATAGTCATAGGTTGTGTTGTCTTAGGATATGTTAATGACTTCACTGATTTAATTTTACCCTGTGGCAAGTCATAGCATGTCTGATCACTTTCTTCCTCTATAGGCTCAAGGTAGTGTAGGGACCAAGGGAAAACTTCCCCTTTGTCCTCTGAAAGTCCACTGAAAATCAACTGAAAAAAGGCAGATTAATAGGAGAAAAATTACAAAATTTTATTTTAATGTACATAGCAGGAGAGAATCACAGAATAACTATTCAATAATCCAGAGCAGAACAGATGCCTATATACCAATACCCTTTTTCATGGGGATGGGGAGGATGAATGGATCTGGGAGGAGGAGGTGAGAGGCAGACATTCAATGGGAAGAGAAGCACAAGGACCAAAAGGTTGTCTTATTATACAGATAAAGCCTCCAAGGTAATCTCTTAATGTTGCCCTCCGAAAAATAAATGTAAAGTCTGTAGGGGTGTGGTGATGAATCTGGGTCCTTTCTCTTTTCTGGTGGTTGATCTTTCCTAATTAACCGATGAAATCCCTAAGGAGAGGTTCTTAAGACAATTGCATTTCTTTTGGAAATAAACTTTCTGGGTCAGATATGAAAATTAAGAAAGTTCCTTCCTGTGCTTGGAGATTGACGGGGGAAAGAAAACGTTAGAGTGACCTTGATTCTGAGGCAGCTTCTAAGGCCTCAGAGCATGTCAAAGTACTAGTCTGTAGGGTATCACTTTCTGAGCCCAGACAATAGCTAAAACTGGCACACATTCTATAGCTGTCTCTCAGTTTTGCCCCCAGCAAAATTATAAAATAGGTAAAGGCTGATATTGGTATTCTCGCCCAGCCCTATCTTTGCTACCTTCTCATCCTTCCTTATATTCAGTTCCTACAGAAATTGACCTCATTTGTTGAGAAAAGTTTAAATAATTAAACTTAATTAAACAATAAAATGCTTTTGAATAATTAATTTAAACATTTTTTTCAAAGGTGACTATTCTATCCAGGCATTTTGCTAGGTTCAGGTATTAAAAAATAAAATGGCACCATTATTTTTTAGGGAGTTTATGGTTGACTGGTGAAAGTGAAGTGTCAAAATACTTAGAGAACTGCATATTCATTACCATGTTCAGTAAAAGCAAACGACATTATAGATGCAAAATGGAGAGAAATCAAAATCTACAAATGCTTTCTATCAGTGGGATGTTTTGTAATGGGGTTTGAAGAATAAATAGAATTCTAGAAGAAAAAAAAACATGAAAACTGATTCCAGGCCTATAGACAACATCATGTTCAAAGACACAGGTAGACAACTGGAGCTGCCCATGCATTGGGATTCAAGGTAGGAAGGTGGTGAGAAGTTGGCAGAGTTTTAGGCAAGAAGAAGTAATTTAAATTATATGCATGCTAACAAAAGAAACTATCTATGTATCTATGTATCTATCTATGTATCTATCTATGTATCTATCTATGTATCTATCTATCTATCTATCTATCTATCTATCTATCTATCTATCTATCTATCTGTCTATCTATGTATTTATTTATTGAGACAGGATCTTACTCTGTCACCCAGGCTGAAGCGCAGTGGCACAATCACAGCTCAATGCAGCCTCAACCTCCCAGGCTTAAGTGATCCCCCTGCCTTAGCCTCCTGAGTAGCTGGGACTACAGGCATGCGTCACCATACCTAGCTAATTTTTACATTTTTTAGCAGAGACAGGGTTTCACCATGTTGCCCAGATTTGTCATGAACTCCCAGGCTCAGATTTATCATGATCCACCTGCCTTGGCCTCCCAAAGTGCTGGGATTACAGGCCTGAGCCACCACACCCAGCCTATTTATTTATTTATTTTCTTTCTTTTTCTTGAAAGCTCCTGGGAACCATAGAACACTTTAAAGGAAGGTATCAACTTGATCATATTTGACAAGATAGGATGTTATCTCAAAACTAAAGCAAAAGCTGATAAGGTTTAATACCTCCTGGGCATATAGGCTTTAACCAAAAGGAGGGAATGTCTTCGATGACATAACCAAAAATATAATTTTGTAGAATAGATTTTTAGTATTATATCTGATGAATTAAATTTATTATTCCTTTTTCAATAATGTTTTAAACTTAGAATAGAGAGGGTAGGTAGATAGGTTTTCCAATAAGACTTCAATATAACCAGTCAAATCTTCAACTACTCATAGTGTTTCTACCCTTGAGATTCATCCCCAGGAGATTAAGTTGCTTCTCAGCTCCTGAAATAAGGAAGCGAGGTGTCAGAGGCTGCTCTCCAGGCAAAAGGGTGCTGTCAAGATGCTATCTAGGTTGATACACTGTAGAACCAGAAGGCAGAATAATAAAACTCTAGAAGCACACACTTTACTCTGATCTACTGGGCAAGTTAGAAAGTTTTTGGTGTAAAATCATATTGGGATATAAGCTTCATCACTGTTAATAAATCTAATGACACAGAATTCCAAGTTTGTTTGCAGTAGCACTATCTATAACCTTTCTCTGATAAATCTTGCAAATCAATGTCAACTTACTCTTCTTCAAATATCTGTAGGGTGTGGGTGTGTGCACACATGTGTGACTACTCTGATCAGAATCTTTTAGTGACTTCACAGTAGAGTCTGGTCTCAAAATCTGACCTGGAATGTGTAGCCCTCTACACTGACTCTATCTTACATTTCCATATCCTTTTCCCATTATTACTCTTAAATATTAAGTCAAATTTCAAGGAGCCTTCAAATTACATTTTTAAGAATAAGTCAGAAGGCAGAAAATAATATCCGTGACAGTAAAAAATTTGTAACATTCTGGAAGATAGGAAATTGATCTTTTTTTAATTCTTTGGCTACTTTCTCACATGAGTACCCTTAGAATGTTTTAAACAAGCCAGACCTGTGTGCTTGGCTTTGAATAGAACAAAGGGACATAACCTGAGTGCATATTAGAAATACCTGGGAATATTTTTTAAAAAAATACTGCTCATGCCTGTAATCCCAGCACTTTGGGAGGCCCAGGTGGGAGGATCCTTTGAGGCATGGAGTTCAGGAACGACCTGGGCCACAAGGAGAGACCTCATGTCTACAAAAAATATAAAACACTGATGCTTTAGTTCCATCCCCAGAGTCACTAGTGGAGTGAAAACGGGGCATCAGTATTATTTAGCTTAGCTGATTCTATTATATAGAAAAGGTTCAAAACTATTGAAATAGAGCAAAAGAGGCTTAGTTTATGTGAGTATCTGTGAATACTGTGCCCTATTTCAAAGTTAGTTTCAGTTGGGTCCAAAGATAGGTAGCTCATGAGAAAAAAACTACCTCTTAATTACATCAGAATCAGCATACATTTTAATTAAAGAAACATATTTAATACAACACAGTATGTGCCACTTGATGTATAGTTCAAATTAAGGCAGAGACTATGCTGAAAAATACAAAATAAATGTCATGGTTACCAACAATCTGGCATTCTTGGAAATAGAGAGTGAGTGCTGTTTCACTTTATATAAATTATTCTTATTTTTTTTTTTGAGACAGAGTCTCACTCTGTCACCCATGCTGGAGTGCAATGGCACAATCTTGGCTCACTGCAAGCTCCACTTCCCGGGTTCATGCTGTTCTCCTGCTTCAGCCTCATGAGTAGCTGGGACTACAGGCACCCACCACCGTGCCTGGCTAATTTTTTGTATTTTTAATAGAAATGGGGTTTCACCATGTTAGCCAGTATGGTCTTGATCTCCTGACCTTGTGATCCACCCGCCTCAGCCTCCCAAAGTGCTGGGATTACAGGCATGAGCCACTGCGCCCGGCCTATATAAATTATTATTTATTTAAAATATAGCTTCAAAAATTATCAAGTATCTAGGAATAAATTTAATGAAAATTGTGAAAGGTATTTATACAGAAATATGTTAAACATCACCAAGTGTGGACTTCATCTCTAGTAGTGAAGACAAAATCACCCTCAGATTCTTCCACACATATAAATTTAAACTCAGTAGTAAAACAATACAAAACAAAACAAAAACACTGTGTATATTATCTAGAGAATAAATAATTGCAAGCATATTTGAAGGGAAGTTGAATCTTGTGTTCATAGCATTGGTGTGAGGACAGGCTGAAGCTAAGTATGATGTGGGTTTGCTGAAACTCCAGTAGAAATATTTCATTTTTCTAGCTGAAAGATCACATTGCCTGGAGAGGCTACAGTCACAGGAAAGTGAAGGGAATCCCAGAAAAACAAAATGGTGGTGTATGTGTGTAACCTCTACTTAAAGTCTCTTGCTGATCCCTGAACTATACATTCATAGAAAATTGTGCAAACAGCACAACTATAAAGTAAAAAATAAATGAATAAAAACTGAACTAGAATCCAAGATTCCAGTCATCTCAAATACGGCAGAGTTTGCAGTTTCAGGCTAATTGAGTTAATCATCTGCCAAAACGAAAACAAAAGTGTAATCACCCAACTGAGTTCTTCTTGCTTGCTGCATAGAAAAAACCAATACACTTGAGAGAGTAGGTTCTGCCATAGAGAAATAGTTTAATTATTGCAAGGCAGCTGAGTGGGAGGATCAGAGATATTTCTCAAATCTGCCTCCTAAGAGCTTGGAGGCAAGGGTTTTTAAAGATAATTTGGTGGGCAAGGAGCTAGAGAATGAGTGCTGCTGATTGGTTGAGGTTGAAAAATCATAGGATTGTTCAAACTACCTTTACATGCTGAGTCAGCTTCAGGGTAGGTGTCACAGGACTGGTTGAGTCACTTTCTTGGTACGGATCATGGGTCTGGGTGGATCAGTTGGCCTTTTCAGATGGAAAAGTCTAAAAAATATCTTAAGTTTTGACAACTGTGATGTCATCTGTAGGAGCAACTGGGAAAGTTACAAAGCTTGCGATGTCTGGCTGCATGACTCCTGAGCAGTAAGCAAATTAGGGACCAGTGGCTGATTATTGCTGAACTATGCTTAAAGCATAGCAGAATTCAGGACCCTACCATAATTCAAACCTTGTGGCCTTTCTTTAGTTTTACAAAAGGCAGTTTTAGTCCCCAAACCAAAAGGAAATTCATTTTGGGAAGGGACTATTATCATCTTTAAAGTTTTAAAGTTAAACTATAAACTAAACTCCTCCCAAGTTAGCTTGGGCTATACCAGGAATAAGCAAGGTCAGTTAACTTGTGGGATTAGAAGCAAGGTGGAGACAATTATGTTAGATTTCTCTCACTGCCATAATCTTTGCAAAGGTGATTTCCAAAGCATTATTTTTAAAAATGCAAGGTTTTCCAGATACCACACAATATAACATTTACAGTTTACAGAATGTAATTCAAAGGTACTAACAATAAAGAAACAGAAAAATATTATTTATTCTTACAAAGAAAAAGGAAGCTAACTCTCAGATAATCCAGATGTTGGAATTATCAGACCTAGACTTAAAAGCAATGAGGTAAAGAAAACTATGTATAAAAAGAGAGGAAATCTCTCCAGAGAGATAGAATATATATATTTAAATACACAATGGAAAACTTTGAGTGAAAATAGTTAAAAATTCTCAGAATATTAGGAAAAAATGGACATAATAAAGAAAAACAGAAAGCTATCAGAAAATGAACATTTTTATTTTTCCATGGTTAGGACTTACTGGGAAACTTTTACTAGGATTTAGGTCACTGGAAAATATTTTTGAATAGAAGTGATTATTTAAATACTGAAAAACCATCCAAGAGTCATATGTTTACATTTCAAGAAAACATCAGGTATGGAACCAAGAAGATATTCCAGAGGCTGGAAACTAGAGTGGTTTATCTTATTCACCCCTCCCCATACCAAGTATTTATTTACATTCCAAAAGGTAAGAAAACAGGGTTCTCCCTTTTCTAGTCTCTAGGAGAAATAAGATTAAGTTTCTCTTCATCTCTCACAGGAAAAGGGGACAGCATGTATACAAGTTTATAGATTCATATTTTCCTAACAAAGTATATTCCCATACATGTGGGCCTCTCCGTCTGGCTTTCATGACATTTTCCCAGAAGGTGGAGACTGGGTAAGGCTAATAATGTGGTTATTGCTGTTAAGTGCTATAAATGACTAAGAACTAGACAGAATTGGAAATAACTGATAGAATAACTAACCTGTCCGTGCTCCAGAAACCTCAGGTTTACTTTCAGAGTACTATGAATAATTATAAATATTAAAAGCTTATCATAAACTTGAAGAAAAAAATTATTCAAACTAAAGAACAAAGAGAAAAATAGATTATTTTAAAACAAAAACAAAAATCTGAGAGCACATCAGGGACATCAGGAACATTTGGGAAAATATCAAGGAGTCCCAAAAGGAGAGACAAAAGAGACAGTGAAACAGAGAAAAGGAAATTGATGAAATAATGAACAAAAACTTCCCAGATTGTATAAAAAACAAATTTTCTGATTAATGAAGCTCAGCAAACTCCAAGAGGATAAATATGAAGAAAGCCATGTCTAGGCACTTCAAGGCCAAATGACTTAAAACCAAACATCCAATATCTTGAAAGTAGTGATGAAGTGCAAAAAACAGTACCCCAAAATATGGCAGCTTGGCATGCTGAGTATTTTAAGTTAAAGGGAACTGAATAAACCACACAAGCAGAAAAGTTCTCTTTGACTTTCTCCTACCCTCTCTCTCTTAAATACCTGCATGTGACAGATGTCCTTTCCTATACCTGGAAGGAAGGAATGTTAGACAGGCCATGAAGAATCTGAACACATAGGCTTTGCTAAATGTTTACAGTTTATTACCATTAAATTATACCCTTTTGTCTCATTCATACTTTTGCATGACTATCCATAAAAACACATAGTTTTTTCATGGGTTTTGAGTCTTTATTTTTAAAAATTACTTTTTAATGTTATTTATGTAGAGATGGAGGACTCACTATGTTGCACAGGCTGGTCTTGAACTCCTGGCCTCAAGTAAATCTCCCACCTCAGCCTCCCAAAACGGTAGGATTATAGATGTAAGTCACCATGCCCAGCCTTGGGTCTTCATTTTGGAAGGCTCTGTACCATGTAAAATTTTGGTTATGTGAATTTGTTCTGTTTTTTTGTTTTTTGGTTATTATGGTTTGCTGCTGTTTGTTACATGGGTTTAAGCTACGAATTTTGCGATGGGTGAGGAAAAGATAGTACTTTCCCCTCTCCATAGTAGCAAAGGAAAAATAACACTTTAAATACAGGGATACATTATATCAGAAACAATTGAGGCCAGAGAGAGTGGGACAGCATCTTTGTGGTGATGAAAAAATAAGGGGAAATCACTAAAAAAGAATTGTATGTTTGTAAAAATATGCCCCTAAAATAAAAGTAAAGATTCTGTCAGATAAAAGAAAACTAAAAGAATTCATTACCAGTTGACTTACCACTACAATAAATGTTAAAGAAGTTCTTCAGGCTAAAAAAATTGGTGCAAAAGGGAAATGTGTATCTTTAGGTACAAATGTAGAACACTGCAAATGTTTTATATACAGGTACATAAAAAATATTTTTTCTCTTATTCTTTATATATGATTATAAATAAGAAACGTGACATCTTAAGGTGTCTATATTATATGTGGATACAATAAATATGACATAGTTACAGTAAAAATAATGGCAGGTGAGAAATAAATGGATATATGGCTGCAAATTTCTACTTTTTCTGTAAAGTGGTACAATATTAACTATAAATATACTGTGAAGAGCTAAGGTTGTATTTTGTACACTCAGAGCAAACAATAAGATTAAAGAAATAGAGGTGAGATAGAAATAAATTGCCAAATAATAAAAAAGAAGGTGATAAAGAGAAAAAGGATGCAAAAGAAGAGAAAGGACAAAAGAAGAAATTATAAAATAATATACCAAAATTCAACTATGCCAACAATTACATTAAGTATTAATGGTCTAAGCACTCCAAACAGAAGGCAGAGGTGATTGGAACAGCAAGAACCAAATGGAATGCTATCTGTGAGAAATGCCCCTTACGGATACACAGATGGAAATGGAAAAATGTAAATTGATAAAAAATATATTTCATGCAAACAGCAAGTATAGTAATCCAAAATGATATATTAATGTCAGATAAAATAGATTTTAAGACATGCTATTAGAGATAAATAGGGAAAATTTATAATGATAAAGCAGTAATGGAAACAGAAAATGACATATTTTATCTACCCATTAGAGGACTATATAAGTCATAAATTTGTATTTGTCCTATGACATAGCCACAAAACACATGAAGAAAAGTATTGACAGAATTAGAAAAATAGATAATTACAGCCACAAAACACATAAAAAATGGACAGAATTAGAAAAATAGATAATTATATAATCATAGTAATCATGTTTTTAGGCCAGGTATGGTGGCTCATGCCTATAATCCCAGTGCTTTGGGAGGCTGAGGTGAGAGAATCACTCGAGTCCAGGACTTCGAGACCATCCTGGGCAACACAGACATCATCTCTACCAAAATATACTTAGCTGGGCATGACATATCATGCCCAACTAATTATTAATAACATCCCAGCTACTTGGGAAGCTGAAGTGGAAGGATTGCTGGAGTCCAGGAGGTTGAGTGAGCTATGACTGCACCACTGCACTCGAGTCTAGGCAACAGAGGAAGACCTCGTTTCCAAAACGAAACAAAAACAAAAAAACAAATACCTTTATAACATTTCCACAAATGATAACAGTAGACATAAAGCAACTGATAAAACTAATTGAACTAGAGAACTAGACAGAACTAGTTAGCACAGATAGAACTAGAACACTGTCAATTACCTTGATCTAATTGATAGAAAGCCAACAACTAGAACTAAAACTATTTTTCATGAAAATCATTCACCAAGACAGCTTCAGGCAAAATAATAATAATAAAAGCCTCATTAAAACTAAAACAATTATAAATATATTCCCAAATATAACAAAAATATACTTGAAATCAATAACACTAAGACATGTAAAAACAAAATATATGGAAATTAAACGCATTTCTAAATAATTCATGATCAAAAAATGGAAAATATTTTATGTGAACAAACATAAAAATACAACCTATCAAAATCTGTGCAGTATAGTTAAAAGAGTGGTTAGAGAGAAACTATGTATTTTAATACCTGTTAAAAAGGATAACAGGCTTAGATACAATGAACTAAGATTCTATCTTAAGCTGAAAAAAAGTAAAAGAAAGGAAATAATAAAGAGGAATGGATGATATTTTTTAAGAAAAAGTAGAAAAAAACAGCAAAGCCGAGAAACTTTTATAATTGAGCAGCACAAAAATCTCCTACCTAGAACTATAAAGAGGAAAACAAAGAATTGATCAACATCAAGAGTGATATTACAATTTGCATTATATACCTAAAAACACCATTTTTCAACACAAGCTTCTCTCCCACTGTGTACCTGGGTGAATATTTTAAAGCTGAAACTAAACGTGTCTCTCAAGCTCCCTGGTGCCCTTCACATCTTTTACTCATTTTCATGTTGATTCAAATACCAAGTGATATATAAAATCCGTCAATATGTGTATTGTAGTCATGGTTTCTTTTGTTCTTGAGCAGTCTTATAATATTGTTTTGTCTCTCTTAAGTGACCAAATTTCTCAAAGTAAGATGAATTTTCCTGCAAGGATGAAAGCTTGGAATATGGCTTCTGACCAAGTAAGAGGAAATCAGATGACGGACGTGGAGGGACCCACTCCCTCTACAGAAAAAGTAACAGTGATTCTTCATCAGGCTTGTAGGTACCTTTCTTAATTTTGCCTCTTTCTGACATAGATACTGTGTCTAGAATTGGTGGGTTCTTGGTCTCCCTGACTTAAAGAATGAAGCCGCAGACCCTCACAGTATTACAGTTCTTAAAGATGGTGTGTCCCGAGTCTGTTCCTTCAGATGTTCAGATGTATCCACAGTTTCTTCTTTCTGGTGGGTTCGTGGTCTTGCTGACTTCAGGAGTGAAGCTGCAGACCTTCGTGGTGAGTGTTACAGCTCTTCAAAGCGCCGCGTGTTGAGTTGTTCATTCCTTCTGCTGGGTTCGTGGTTTCGCCAGCCTCAAGCATGAAGCTGCAGACCTTCACGGTGAGTGTTGCAGCTCATAAAGGCAGTGTAAACCCAAAGAGTGAGCAGCAGCAAGATTTATTGTGAAGAGCAAAACAACACATGTCCTCCAGGATGGAAGGTGACCCCCACGGGTTGCCACTACTGGTGCAGGCAGCCTGCTTTTATTCCCTTATCTGTCCCCACCCACATCCTACTGATTGGTCCATTTTACAGAGAGCCGATTGATCCGTTTTACAGAGAGCTGATTGGTCCATTTTGACAGAGTGCTGATTGGTGCTTTTACAAACCTTTAGCTAGACACAGAGTGTTGATTGGTGAATTTACAATCCTCCAGCTAGACATAAAAGTTCTCCAAGTCCCCACCAGATCAGCTAGATACAGAGTGCTGATTGGTGCATCCACAAACCCTGAGCTAGACACAGAGTGCTGATTGGTGCATATACAATCCTCCAGCTGGACATAAAAGTTCTCCATGTCCCCACCCATCTCAGGAGCCCTGTTGGCTTCACCTAGTGGATCCCGTGCAGGGGCCGTGGGCAGAGCTGCCTGCCAGTCCTGCGCCTTGTGCCCGCACTCGTCAGCCCTTGGACAGTTGATGGGACCGGGTGCCGTGGAGCAGGGAGCGGAGCCCATTGGCGGGGGCTCGGCCCTGCGGGAGCCCACCTTGGGGCGGGGGGCTCGGGCATGGCAGGCTGCAGGTCCCCAGCCCTGCCCTGTGTGGAGGCGGCTGAGGCTGGGTGAGAATTCCAGCGCAGCACGGGCGGGCCAGCAGTGCTGGGGGACCCAGTGCACCCTCTGCAGCTGCTGGCCCGGGTGCTAAGCCTCTCACTGCCCGGGGCCGCTCCGAGTACAGGGCGCGCTGAGCCTGCACCCACCTGGAACTCGCACTGGCCTGTGAGCACCTCCCACAACCCCGGTTCCCGCCTGCGCCTTTCCCTCCACACTTCCCTGCAAGCAGAGGGAGCCGGCTCCGGCCTCAGCCAGCCCAGACAGGGCCTCCCACAGTGCAGTGGCGGGCTGAAGGGCTCCTCAAGCACAGCCAGAGTGGATGCCTTGGCCTGAGGAGGTGCCGAGAGAGCAAGCGAGGGCTGATAGCACGTTGTCACCTCTCAATATTACATGAGAATTTCTAGAATGGGACTGAATATTTGCATAATTACAAAATAATTCTAGATGATTTTGCTGTTTATTCTTATTTATGAACCACTGGCTATTTAAGATCAAAATGAGGACGATTAAGATAATTATGGAAAACTATATAGACAGAAAAGCAAAAGAAATAATTTACTACCGTCTAACAGACAAATTTACAATTGCAATCCCTTTTACATAGATAAATAAGCAATGAGCAAAAGTTTGTTGCTGAAAATAGTTGGTTATCACATGGATTAAATACGAATATTTTAGAGGAACCAAAACTTAGTGTTTAATAAGTAAAGTTTTAAGAAATATTAGTTTGTTATTTGATGATGTTTAAAAAGCCAAGTATGTGAGTCCTACAAATGTTTATTAGATTCTTCTTGAAAAACTAAAGGGCAAAAGCACCTGCCTTATAAATGCAGAAGATTCTATAAACAGGAAATGTTTCTGTGGAGTGAAGGGGTGGGTAGGTTGAGGGAATATACAGAGAGGCAAAGAAAAGCATATCGTCTCTCAATTTAATTATGATGTATATTTTTAAAAACAACACCGCCGGGTGCGGTGGCTCACGCCTGTAATCCCAACACTTTCGGAGGCCGAGGTGGGCAGATCATGAGGTCAACAGATCGAGACCATCCTAGCTAGCATGGTGAAACCCCGTCTCTACTAAAAATACAAAAAATTAGCCAGGTGTGCTGGTGGGTGCCTGTAGTCCCAGCTACTCGGGAGGCTGAGGCAGGAAAATGGCGTGAACCTGGGAGGCGGAGCTTGTAGTGAGCCGAGATCTCGCCACTGCACTCCAGCCTGTCCACAGAGTGAGTGAGACTCTGTCTCAAAAAACACACACACACACACACACACACACTAGAATATCTAGAAGGATGGAAAGAATAAATATGACAGAAATTTGGCTGAAGTAAACTCAATAAACAATTTCTAGATTCTTCTAAGATTCAGTACCCGAAGTGGAGTTCTGGGAAAGTAGGAAGCTAAATACCCAACCAAGTGCTGCTTAAGATCTTCCTATGGAAATGTGGAGCATGAATACATGATGAAGATAACTCTCAGGACTTATATGTATCCACTTAATGCATGGTTGATGTGTTTTATAGTATTTATCATTAATTAGACTTTCTGTTATAAAAATATGGAAAATGAATTCATCTAATTGTTTTGTGAGATATTTCTCCAGTGATAGGAAATCAAAACAAATAACCCAAGCAGGGAGAAGGGTTATTGAAAATATGGGCAGACTATAAAATTATACACAGTGGGCCCGTTATTATAATCCTATTGGCATTTCCTCAGACGGCAACCCTCAAAGCCAATACCTAAAGTGAGGGTTCAGGTTTGTGTATATAACCCAATATACTCATTTCCAAAGCTATCCCATGCTTTGCTCAATGCAACTACATTGTCAAAAGATAATTTGTGACTTCTACAAGGCTTCTCTTCCAAATATCGTGCCAGATTAATAGTAAGTTGTCGGCCTAAATAAGTATGTGCTCCTGAAGGACATATTCTAATGATTTTAGTTTCACTTGTTGATGCCCCTCACAGCAACTGCCACATTGTAAATATGGTAAGTCTCTGGTATGATAGATTTCTTTTTGCATTTGAGCTTAAATTATTGATATTAACTAATAAAACTCTCTGTTGGGTAGGAATCTGATGTATGTTTGACTTCAGTCAAAAATGTATTTGTCCTGGCAAGAGATGATGAAAAGGCTGTTCACATTAGAAAAGCTACACACATTTTCTAATTCTGGTAAATACTTTTTATGCACATAAGAAATTATCTACTTAAAATTTTACCTTATGGCTTAAAAATGTTATAGTGAACATTCAATGGAATATTTGTTATTTGCTTGATTTTCAGAAGAAAGGCAAATGGTAGCTTAAGGGAGCTCTGCCATTTGTCAGCAAGAGGATGACAATTAATACAATGGCAAAGCCATATATAGTCTGGCAGAAAATTATGCAAATGCCCTGCTACTTATTGATAGTTAATTTATAAAGTAGTTTGTCTTCCAATTTCTAATGAACATTGGCTATATTTGCTTGTTATCCATTCCCACTTTATCTTCATATTACTAATTTGCTTCTCTTTTGGGAATGTGTGCCTCTGTCAGACCACAGGCCATGCCCAGTCCAGCCTCTGAGGAGGATGGTAATTGGCTTGAGAAAACATGCTGGTGGGGGCGGTGTAGCTCATGTCTGTAATCGCAGCACTTTTGGAGGCCAGGGTGGGCGGATTGCCTGAGGTCAGCAGTTCGAGACCAACATAGCCAACCCGGTGAAACCCTGTCTCTACTAAAAATACAAAAATTAGCCAGGCATGGTGGTGGGTGCCTGTGATCCCAGCTACTCAGGAGCCTGAGGAAGGAGAATTGCTTGAACCCTGGAGGCCGAGGTTGCAGTGAGCCGAGATCATGCCACTGCACTCCAGCCTGGGCGACAGAGTGAGATTCTGTCTCAAAAAAAGGAGAAAAGAGAAGAAAAGAGCCACTTGATTGTTGTTCAGGCCATTTGACCCAGTAAGGGGACTTTCATAAATGTTTGGTGTAGTCTTATAATAAGAGATACACTCTTGTTATTCAGAAAGGACTACTAGGAAGAAGCAGGCATGTAAGCCTGTAACTCCCAGAAGTTGTTGGCAGACATCTCACAAGGTGATCCAGCCAGATTTCTGGTAAAGCAAATACCATGAAAATCAGAGAAGGGCCCAGAAAAGGGCAGGGCAAGAGGGTGGAGAAAGAGGTGAGAGAGGGGGGAGAATGAGGGGATGAGAGAGGAGTGGAGGCATCTTGAGCCTTGCGTCAACTCTGCATCAAATCTTAAAGTAATTCCTACAACTGGAATTTTTAGTTACATGAGTCAATAAAATTGCCACAGCCAGTTTGGGGAAGTCTTCTGCTACAAATATCCAACAGATTCCTCACTTACAGACCATTAACTCTGCTAATGGTGTATTTTGTTTTGTCTTCATAAAATTTTGTTTTTGTAGTGGCAGGAAGAGGTGGAATAGAAGCGTTTTTCAAAAGTGGTTCACATGCAGCAAACGATTCAAAATCACAAGCATGCAGTACAGTCTACACCCACTCGAGCCAGTACCAAGTAAGACTTCAGTTCTCCCATGCCCAGAGTTATGGTCTTGAAAGCCTGCTCATCAGGTAGGCTCATTAATTTTTATGACTTTTTTCTTTTACCCTAGTCTCACATAACCACTGGCTTAGGTGATTGCTTTTAGGCAGAGAAAACTGATTTGCAATCTGTGATCCCAGCAGGGAAAGAAAAAGTTCACTCTCTGGTTAGTTAAATTCTTAGAGAACAAGACAGGCATTTTTATTAAATCATGAGAGGCCCTGAGTAGGATATACTCACTTTACCGCAACTCCCAACCTGAAGCTGAGCTGACAGGATAAAATACTCTTTATTAGTTCAGCTATTGCATTGCTTACACAGTGATCTAATGCCCATGCATATTTGCTATAAAGCCTTCTTAGTACCAGAGAGGGATTTTAATTAGACAAACTGTAATCTCTTTTCATTTATTAATTCTTTCCCTTAGGCTTGCCTTATAAAAATGTGTGAATAATTAAAGCCTGAGAAAAATAACACTCCTTCCTAAAGTGTTGCTTTAAGAAAAATATTAACTTCTCCCTCCTTGCCCCCAAGAAAACGGAGAAGATACACATGTATCTCACGAATACTGACAGAGTAACTGGGGCTAAGGAGAGTTATGAAAGGATGGAAGAAAAATTGCAATTTAGGGATAAATCCAGAAGTTCCACGGTTACTGTTGAGGAAGTACAACCTAGGCATATTAACACACTGGTTAAGAGTGTATGATTTGGGAATAAGTTTTCCAAATTTTCACCCCCGATGTACTACTTACTAGCTGTGTGAACCACCTAAGCCTCCATTTTCTCAAACATGAAGCAGAGATGATATCGCCTCTATAAAAGAGGCCAGTTTTGTAGGGCAGTTATGATTATTACATGAGATGATATTGTGAGCATTTTTTCTGGCACAGAGTACACAAGGTAGAAATGGTGGCTGCTATTAGTGTTATTACTATCTATTCTTTAATATCTATCTTCATATTACTACTTCTCTTTTATTGTAATTTGTCTTACATTTCCCGATACGGGTTTTATATTTAAATGAAATCACAGAATCAAAGTGCTTGAGTCCTTGGCTATGTCTTGTTTAAATTCCTAACTGTTCAGAGGGGAAAACCTGGAAAAAAAGTTTGAGGTTTTGATCTTGAATGAGCATACCAGTCCAAAAGAGAAGGTTCATTATGTCCAAGATCATCTGTGATTCCTGTTTACCCAGGGTCATGACCAACATCACTCACAGGTAGTTCAATGTTAGCAGTCTTGGTGGAAGAGACAGAACTGGACTGGGAATTAGACAGTTTATCAAAAAGTCACACACAATCACACATACAAATATGCAAAAATTATGAAGAATAGTAATTATCTAATAACACCCTGTCTCATCTCCTTGATAATACCAGAATAGGAAAAAAAGTAATAATAAGTAAAAAGCTATAATTAATTTTTTGGGGTGATAGTGATTTGGATATGTGTCTTTCAGGTTAGGGTCAAACTAGGATAGTTGATGTTGGCATTTCTTGTAGTTATTCTATTCAATATAATTTCCTATTCTTATTGAATAGAATTGTTTTTTAAAAGTTACTGCCTTGTTGCTGAATTTTTAGTTCAACAATTTTTTTAAAAAAATTCTAAGCCTTAATTTTTAAGATTTACAAACTGATGTTGTGTTAAATACTTCTAAGAAAGCAATATATTTTGAAATTAGTGCTTCAATGCTTTGTTAGACACATTCACCCAAGAGGTAAAAATACTTCCTGGCAATATATTGATGATTTAAAAGAAGTCCATCAAAAGTGACCTGTACGTTAGACAGGCAAAGGACTCAAAACACTGTCAATTCAAATAATGTGTAATAATCCATATTTAGTAGGAAAGGGAGACACATGATGTACTATCCATTTCTACTTCTTGAGAACACATGGAAAAGCATTTGGAGGAACGACACAGAAAGCAAAGAGTAAAAAGGGATTCTGCAGAAAAAAAATGTTTAAACCTCTAAGGTAATAAAAAATAATTTTAAAAATATATAAATAGGCCTACAGTCAAGCACACAAAATCAAACTTAAATGACTTAAATGAACCAATAATTTTAGAGAATAAATATTTTGATAAATATTTTCAGTTCCTTTACCAGATATAATTTGTTATAAGTAACTGCTGAGAAATAAATGATTGGAACCTTTAGAGATTTATGTATCATGATGTTCAGCAGGCTTTATCATTCTTTCTAAAGTCTTTTTAAAATTGGAAAAGAAAAAGCTTAGAAACAAAGATAAGAGAGAGGGAATGGTGATAGATGTCATCTCTGAGTACTTCTAGGTAACAAAACACAAACAATCTCACTATTTTTATATCAAGTCTATCCCTTTTATATTTTTTCCCTTTTGCTACTCTGCTCACATCATTTTACATAGTTTCAGAGAGGAAAGGTAATACCATTTTCCCTAGAAGTAATTGCTCCTGCCCCTCCACTCAACTCCTCACCCCAGGACACACATGAAACCGTATCAATAGTGGCAATCCTCAATTTCTAAAAGACATAAAGTCTGACGTTCAAATGGCCTTTCACATTTTACAATTCAATTAGCCTGCCTTAATCACTATGTTTCTGATTGCATGATATGCTGCAAGCATTCCAGCAAGAAGATTGGAAACAGCCAGAGCCAGATGGGGTTAGGGCTGGAGAAAACTAACTTTGCAGCTCAAAATTTTGGTGATAACAATCGGGATAATAGTTCAAATTATCAAGCAAAAATTCCTAGTAGCCAATCCTGTTCCTGTTCCCAGTAGTCACCCAAAGGGTCTGATTCAGGGACTCCCAACAGTTTTCCACATGTAAAAGATATCTCCAAGTTCACTTTCTCTGTTCTTGGTGTTAAATCCACTCTTTTTTCTCTTACTGAAGAAAGTTTATTATATTATATTTAAATTAATGAGAATGGAGTTAATATAGAGATCTTAAATATATACTGAACTTATAAATAAGGTAATAAAACACTCTTTATTGTTCAGTGTTCTGTTACAGATGACTTAAACCACTTTAGCTATTTTGGTAAAAAGAGATTTGTATTTTATGATGGACTGAATTATGGTTTCCACCCTTCACTCTCTGCTTCATGATGGGATTGTGCAGTCTCACCCTGTGGCATGGTACTTACTGCAGTAATTCTCCACTTCTGGATGTTGGGCTCACCGTGTGACTTTCCTTAGCCAGTGGGATGTAACAGATATAACACAGGTATTGGGCTGAATTATGCTTGAGTGAGTAGATTTGGTCTTTCGGTCATCTGCCATTGCCATGTCCAGCTAGCCTGACACACCAAAAAGGATAGGCGTTGCCTTTACAAGAGCCCAGGGCAAATCAGCAGACCACAGTCTGACACATAGACATGAAAAATAAATGCTTATTGTTGAATGCTATTAAGAATTTTTGGTTAGTTGTTATACAGCATTGTTTTAGCAACAGTTTATTGAAAGTTATAGGGAGTTAGGTACTTACAAATTATTTGAAGGGCCAGAAGACCTGGTTCTAGACAAAATCTCTAAAAATGACTTGACAGGCCGGGCGTGATGGCTCAGTCTGTAATCCCAACATTCTGGGAGGCCGAGGCAGGTGGATCACGAGGTTAGGAGTTCAAGACCAGCCTGGCCAACATGGTGGAACCCCATCTCTGCTAAAAATACAAAAATATCAGCCGGGCGTGGTGGTGAGCGCCTGTAATCCCAGCTACTTGGGAAGCTGAGGCAGAGAATTGCTTTAACCCAGGAGGCAGAGGTTGCAGTGAGCCAAGATCATACCACTACACTCCTCCAACCTGGGTAACAGAGTAAGACTCAGTGTCAAAAATAAAATAAAATAAAAAAACAGGACCAACCTGGCTTTTTCACAGGGAAACTACCCTTCTAATATGACTTCTCAGTTGCTGTAGGAACTACTTATTCAAATATCTTACCACCTTAGCCATCATAGAGATGCCAGGAACCTCTAGCCACAACTATTAGATTAAAAAAAAAATACCCCTTTAGCTAATCCAGTGTCAGAAGCCACATTAGGGAATGATGTCACCTGAACTATTACTGCTAAATCTACACCAGCAAAATGAATGCCATTGCAATATCTTCTCTCTACCCATTTAATTGAGTTATAAGATCAAGTGTCAAATGAATATTATGATTGGTGGACCTTCAATATCTTTGGGAACACTTGCCAAAAAGGAGTCTAGAAAATATAGTTTTAGCTACAAAGCACACCAGGAGAAAGGTTGGATAAGGTGTTGAAGTAGTCAATCCAAATATTAGCCATATGTGTTACATTTAATATTACTACTAGAAGCAAAAGACTTGGCCATATATATCGCCTGTTTTTGACACATCCATGTATCTACACACCACAGTGGAAATTTCCACAATGATATGACAGAATATGGAAAAGGTAGAGCTTCTACATAACAATAGTTTCAATGATCTATCAAGATGCTGTGTGGTGTGACATAAGAATGTAGAAACAGGGTCCAGCCATAGAAAAACTGGCAGAAGCAAACAAAACAAAAGAGTTAGGTTTCTAGGCTGCCCCATATACAATTTCTTACATTTATTGTCAGGTGGGATATAATCCAGAAACCAGAACCTGGGAAAAATGCCAGTTCGGCTGACTGGTGACTATTAGAACAATGAAAGCACAAAGAACAGAGGCTAATGCTGATATATTGGGTGCAGTTAGCCTATGTAATACCTATTCATAGTTAAGTAAAAACAGCAATATACTATGAAGCCTCACTTTATTTGACTCAAAGTCTAAAAAAGACTAAGTTAACAAATAGGTGGGCATGCATCCCTCATTAGTGCAGGGCAGGAACGACCAGAGATTGGTGAAACCTGCCACTAATTCATATTAAAAAATATAGGAATATATATCACTTGACATGAGAAGAATACTCACCTTTTTCTGCTTCCAACTCTAACTCAGCCAAAAAACTAAAAAAAAAAAAAAAAAAGTTCTGAAGAAAGAATGCAACTTTTATAAGTTTTATATTTATGGAAAGGTGGTCAATTATATTTTATTCACAAGTTCATCGTAGGCATCAAAAACTACTTCAATTGGTGTTTTGTGTTCTTTTATGTGATGATCAGTGAGGTACAGCCACAAGAGGAAATGCAGGAAAGGCTGAGGGAAACAGAGTTTATTATACTCTCAGGTTTTACAGACCAGAGGCAAGATACACCATGTCAACAGGTGGTAGGGGGAGGGAGAGGATTAGACCTTGGTCTTTACTGGGATTTTTCAGCAAGAAAGGCAAGGCAGGGCAGGTTAAGCAGTTTAGTATGGCTTGTTTGAATAATTTCAGTGGGCTCTAACCTATAGCAGTAGATTCTAGTTGCATGATACCTGGCCTGGAATGGTTTAGGCAGGGGGCTATTGCCTCCTGGTGTGTAAAAGTCAGATAAAGGAGGCATGGCTCTGGGTTCATTTGTTTGTATAGCAAAGGCACATTGCTAGCTAGACCCTTTGTCATTTCTAAGAATTATCATCAGGAAGGGACAATCTCTCCCCAGCCAGAAAGGAGTTTTAAGATGTCAAAACATTATAATACATATAAAATTTGAAAATATATATTTATAATACAATTGGTTTAAACCGTTTAACATAAGATGGTAATATCAGTAGCACCCAAACTCAGGCTGAGTCCAAGCCTGTCTGCTGGATGTATGAGTGCTGACTACTGGATGGGTAAATAGTGATCTACACTATTGACTTGTCCTAATGTTGTGGCAGAGTCAAAAGATTGCAACACTGTCATACTTATAGAGAGACATCATTATTACAAAATACAAAACTTTTAATTCAGTTGTAGTTTGCTTTAATGTAATTTTACAATGTTCAGGAAAACATTCTATGGTAACCCATAACTTCAGTCTGATTATGAAAAAAACAGATAAATTCGACCCTTTGGATTGGGTATAAATACCTGATCCCTAATCATCAAAACTCTCAATGTCATTCAAAACAAGAAAATCTGAAACACAGTTACAGCTAAAAGGAGCCTAGGAAGGCATGAAGACTCCAAGTAATTTGGTATCCTGGATGAAATCTTTGAAGAGAAAAAGGATTTTAGATGATGAAAATTAAGGAAATCTGAGCAAGTCTGAGCTTTAGTGAATAATGATATAGTAATATTGGTTAGTTAATTGTGACAAATATACTAATGTAAGATGTTGGCAATGGGAAAAACTCAGTGTGGTGTATGTGATAGCTATCTGTTCTATCTTCACATTTCTAGAAATATTCTAAAATTAGAACGTTTTTAGAAAACAAAATAACCAAAAAGAATTCTGTCCAGAAGTCACACAGTAAAATACAAATGCCTTGCAGAAGAAGTTTCCTATATACAAATGTTACATGCATTACTAGCTGCCATCTTTAATAAAGGGCTTGAAAGTCAGATGACCCAAACATAATATTCAGGATCCCAAACTACATTCTCCTTTGACAAGAAAAAAGTGAAAGTATTCTTTCTCCTAAAGGCAGGAAAAACAAATTTTGCATAAATTCTAGTAACAAAATGGTTTTACAGACCCTTTATCATCTTTATTTTTGTCGGCAAGAGGGAAAGAATCAAGAATCTGTCACGTTGGTGTGCAAAGACCATCAGTTGAAAAACTAGGAGGGTTGTGATAGTTTGAAAATCTAAACTTAATTACATCTTAAATCATTGATTTTTTTACTGCAGGGTTTCTATCTCTTTAATCTTTCTGAGACATGGCATTGCTTATAAGTAGAAAGAAATAAAATATTTAAATGTGCCTTTGGGTGTTCGGATTATGATGAAGGTATATACCTTTCTTTGTATAGGTGAGAAAGAAAGCAATACATAAATGGTCAAGTTGAGAAATTTTTTCTTGCTTATTTTGACATTCTTGAATAAAGAAAAAAATATTAAAATTAAGATCAGTCTTTGTAAAGTGTGTCCATGAACAGGCAAAAAACTTGTTACAAATGGAAATCCCATACTTCATCCATTCTCTGGCCGGATTACTAATGGTAAAATAATCCCCAAGTAATTTGCGTGGTCATTAAAATTTGTGAATTAAGTTACATTAAAACCACTTAATGGCAACTCAGCATATACATACATATACATATACATAAAAACACATACAAGCATGCACAAAACCATTTTTATTCATTTGATTTATACAGCAGAAAATTAGGAATTCTCATATACTGATCTTCAACAAGTGTGTTTAATGGAGTCAGGACTAGAAAAAGGAAGAGGGTATCATTTCTACCATTTATTATCAGTGTGATGTTAGGATTTTGGTTATGCATCTGAGCCTCATGGATTTCCTTGTCAATTTGCCTGCCTCACAGGAGTTTTTTTGAGAACAGTAGATAATTATTGTGTCTACTTGAAGTCTGTAAAGTGCCATAGCTGCATGAATTATGTCAGAATGATCACTATTAGCCTCATTTGGTGAAGGGAAATGTGGCAATCATAAATGGTTCCAAGACTGCAAGACCAATGGTAGACAGGCTAGGTTTATTTTTTGCTATGGTAACTCGTTTCAGATGGATGAATTAGAAAGGAAATTTCCATCAGCTGATTTCATCTTGCCTGGGATATCTTTCTTTTATTGAATCACATCACATTATGAAATTCTATGTATATTAAGGGTTTTAATTATCAAAATGGAAAAACCTACCACAGAAATAAAGGGTTAATAAAAACATTGTTGGGTTAAATATTACATTAACTAAATTGTATATGAACAATACAGTTAATTTTCTATTGTTGATTTATAAATAATATACAGCAATTATTTTAATTCATACCAGTTCATTACAATTTACTTATAGGTAAATCATCTTTCTACCCTCACTATCTTAGTGAATGCAAGTCAATTTTACTGTGACATATTCTAAAAAGTGACTCTGACACCCTTACTTACAACTTTCTCTGTCAACATTATTTTACTTTTTTATATATAAGTATTTTTTCTGATATATCTTCAAGCTATGGCTATATGAAGAGTTATGCAACTTCTTACACATTAAATATTTAGTTTGTTTTCTATTTTTATGTGTTACAAACAAAACCTGAACAAATACTCATTTACAACATTAATACATTATATATCGCTGCTTATTAACTGAAGACTAAAATTATTTATATCAGAATTACTGGGTCACTTTTACCTCTTATAAATGTATTTACACACATATCCAAATTGCATCTTTCTCTGAAACGTTATAGTAATATAGTCTCCCAAACAGAAAATGACAATGCTTATTGCTATCTCTTATTCTTACATAATTTTTTAAAAAAATTAGCTAAATTGACAAAGATAGAATGTCATTTTCAAAATTTGCATTCATTTTATTTACTGGTGAAGATAAATGTTTATCAGTGACTTTGGCTACTTGCCTTCTTCCGTTAATCTTCCTTTTTGTCCTTTTTCTCGCTTAAAAAATTAAATTGTCATTTTATATTGTTTCTAAGTTGACTTGTGCTGAAGAAACTTGACTTTTGCTGAAGAAAGTTTACCAGATTTTTCATGAGGGATCAGTATCCCAGCTGCTATACAAGGAACCCCTACAACTGAATAGCAAAAACAAAAACAAACAAACAACCTACCAGTAACCTGATTTCAAAATGGGCAAATGATTTAAGTAGACATCTAAAGAAGACATAAATATGGCCAACAGTTATATGAAAAGATACACAATATCACTAATCACTGGATAAATGTAAATCAAAACCTCAATAACATATCACCTCACACAAATTAATTATTATCAAAAGATAAAATGTAACAAGTGTTGGCAAGGATGTGGGGAAATTGGGACCTTTGTCATCTCTCAGGAATGTAAAATGATACAGCCTTTATGGAAAAGAGTATAGAGGTTCCTCAAAAAATTAGAAATAGATCTACTATATGATCCAGCAATTCTCTTTCTAGATATTTATCCAAAAGAGCTGAAATCAGCATCTAGAGGAGGTATGTGCACTCTCGTGTTCATTGCAGAATTATTCAAAATAACCAAGACGTGGAAAGAACCTAAGTGTGTATCAACAGATGAAAGGAGAAAGTTTGGCATATATACACAATTGAATACAATTCAGCCTTGAAAAAGAAGGAAATTCTGCCATATGAGACAAGGTGAACGAATCTGTAGCCAATCTGTGTAAGCCAGTCATAGGAGTACAAATACTGAATAATTCCACTTACACTAGATATCTAAAATAGTCAAACTCACGGAAACAGTAGATTAGTGCTTACCATGGGCTGGAGGGATACAGAAATGAGGAACTTCTGTTTAACAGGCAGTTTCAGGTATGCAAGTTGAGTAAATTCTAGAGATTTGATGTATGACATCGTGGCCAGAGTTAACAATACTTAAACATTTGTTAAGAACGTAGATCTTGTGTTAAATGTTCTTACCATAATAAAATTTTTAAAAGTAAATGTAATTTTTAAAAAGGTTATCATAAAAATATGGAAAAATAAATATATTTTATTATTGAAGATAATTTTCAGTCAAATTTTTCACTAACAAGTTTTTTAATTTATCATTTTTTAAAAAATTTTTTACCATTATGTTGATGTAACATGTTTGTTTTTATGTCACAATAATCTCATTCTCTCATTTTTATTTAGATCGTTGTTTCTGTACTAATTTATAGTGGTATTACCTTATATTTGCTTCTTGTATTTTACTTTGATTTTTTAACTCTTTAATTTACTTGAATTTATGTTGTTCCATGCTGTGATACAAAAATTTAAGTTTTTGTGTACCTAATTAACTGTGCGTCTTGTATTTAGCCTTTTTTTTGTTTTTGTACAAGCAACACAGTGACACACACACAAACACAGTAGCTCTAAAGCATTTGACTATCTGCTGAGCAAATCCTCATCACAATTCTTTTTTAGCATTTTCATAGGTTTGTGTGCTTTTACCTAAAAATTAACCCACTACTCTCTCTAAAGAATCACATGGAGATTTTTATTGGTATGTCATTGAGATATTACCTTTTGTAGAAGTCAGGTATCTAGGCAATCCACCTGAGTATAATATATCTGTCCTTTTTCATGTGTTCTTTAGTCCTTCCTTAAAAAATATTTTGGATATTGCGTTGCTAATGGTGATCTCAATATCTGTGTGTAGTTGTTCTTAAGAAGGAAATTAGAAACCTACAGCCTATGCTACTATGACTACAATTATATAGTATTTTTAATGGTCACATATAGAAACTCCCATTATTTAAGAAATAATGCTCTAAAAGAAGCCATTTTCTATGAAAAGAAAATAAATAGCAATCATGTATATTAATGCTCTCCACTGAACATGCTGGTTGTCCACCTGTCTTATTTACTCTGTATCGCTTTAGCTTAAGCGTAGATCAAATCTTCTATATGTGAATTTAAAAACTGTGTGTATGAATTCATATTAACAACATTCGTTTTTGTAATAATACTTCATGTTAATTATTTTATTCAATCTCAAATTCAGATTGGGGGAGGTGGGGGAAATTCCATTAATCCCAATTCACATGAGAAAATTGAAGCCAAGCAAGGTTAAGTAAAAAGAATTAGGTTGCACTTTCAACAAGAAGCAAAGCTGGATTGGACACCAGGTATGCAGAATGTTGTTGCATTCTATCACACACAAAATTAGTCAGCTCTCATCTAACACAAGACAGATAATATTTCAATATTATTTTATGTTTCAGTTGCCTATAATTAATCATAAAAGAACTGTCCTATCAAGATTTGCCACTGTTATATACACATTTTTAAACACTTGTTTTGAGATACTTGTTTCATGCTTAGATTACATTTAAATATTTAAGGCTGTATGTATATGAGGTAGCCTCAGTGAGAGAATAGTTCTAATAAACCTAAAAAAACACTTTCTATAAACATTTGTTCAATACTTTCATAACCAACATTAAGAAATAGAAAATAAAAGATTTCTTGGGTTTTAAAATTTAATTTGGGAACCGAGTATTTCTTTAACATTTTTCAAACTGCAGTCTTATGACAGTTAAATTAGAAAGTTAAGGCTGGGCGCGGTGGCTCACACCTGTAAACCAGCACTTTGGGAGGCCGAGGCGGGTGGATCACGAGGTCAGGAGATCGAGACTCATCCTGGCTAACACGGTGAAAACCCGTCTCTACTAAAAATACAAAAAATTAGCCGGGCGCAGTGGCGGGCGCCTGTAGTCCCAGCTACTCGGGAGGCTGAGACTGGAGAATGGCGTGAACCCGGAGGCGGAGCTTGCAGTGAGCCGAGATCGCGCCACTGCACTCCAGCCTGGGCAAAAGAGCAAGACTCCATCTCAAAAAAAAAAAAGTTAAAGAAAACAGGCCAGGTACAGTGGCTCACTCCTGTAATCCCAGCACTTTGAGAGGCCAAGGAAAGAGGATCCTTTGAGATCAGCAGTTTGAGACCAGCCTGGGCAACATGGTGAGACCCTGTCTCTACAAAAAATGTAGAAATTACCAAGGCTTGGTGGCATGCACCTGTAGTCCCAGCTACTTAAGGGGCTGAGGTAGGAGGCTTGCTTGACCCCAGGAGGGCTAGGGTGCAGTAAGCCAAGATAGCACCACTATATTCCAGCCTGGGTGACAAAATGAGACCCTGTTTTTAAAAGAAAAGGAACATAGAAGTTTTGTTTTTTTTTAAGGCTTTAGCTGGGTGCAGTGGTGCATACCTGTAATCCTAGCCTCTTGGGAAGCTGAGGTGGGAGGATTCTTGGATTCCAGGAGTTCAAGACGAGGCTGGGAAAAATAGCAAGACCCTATCTCTAGAAAATAAATAAGTACATAAATACATAAATAAAATGCCTAGTTCACATCTAGACAGCCATATTAAAAATAGAATTTGAGATATTGTAGCTCAAGACGATAAATATCCAAGTGCTCTATTTGATAGCTGAGAAAGTAGAAGAGTTAGATAGTGATAGGGCTTAGATTTGAATATAAGCCTGTTCACCAGAGCTTATATTCTCAACTATGCACTTTCTGTAAATAAAATATAAAAGGCAGTCAGAAATAAATACAAATGAGGCTAAATCAACAACAATGGCAAAATAAAACAATAGAAATATTAGACTTTTGTAAATTTGTTTTTAATTTTAAAAAATAATTTCAACTTTTAGATTCAGCGGGTACATGTACAAGTTTGTTACATGGGCATATTGTATGATGCTGAGGTTTGGGGTATGAACGATTCTCACCCAGGTAGTGAGCATAGTACCCAATAGGTAGTTTTTCAGTACTTTTCTCCCTCTCTGTTTTCCCCCATTTAGTTAGTAGTCCTCATTGTCTATTGTTCTCATCTTTATGTTCATGTGTAACCAATGCTTAGCTCCCACTTATAAGTGAGAACATGCGATATTAAGTTTTCTGTTCCTGTGTTAGTTTGCATTGGATAATGGCAAAGGACATGATTTCCTTTTTATGGCTGCATAGTATTCCATGGTGGACATGTACTACATTTTCTTTATCCAGTCTACCATTGATGGGCACCTAGGTTGGTTCCATGTCTTTGCCATTGCTAATAGTGCTGTAATGAACATATGAGTGCATGTGTCTTTCTGGTAGAACAATTTATTTTTGGGGGGGTATATACCAGTAATGGGATTGCTGGGTCAAATGGTAGTTCTGTTTTAAGTACTTTAAGAAATCTTCAAACTCCTTTCCATAGTGGCTGGACCAATTTACATTCCTACCAACAGTGTATAAGCATCTCCCTTTTTCTGAAGCCTCCCCAGCCTCTATTGTTTTTAGCCATTCTGACTGATGTGAGATGGTTTCTCATTGTGGTTTTGATTTGCATTTCTCTGATAATTAGTGATGTTGAGCATTTTTAAAATACATTTTTGGCCATTTGGATGTCTTCTTTTGAGAAGTGTCTGTTCATGTATTTTGTCCACTTTTTAATGGGGTTGTTTTTTGCTTGTTTAATTGTGTAAGTTCATTATAGATTCTAGATCTTAGACCTCTGTTGGATCATAGTGTTTGAATATTTTCTCTCATTCTCTAGGTTGTCTGTTTATTCTTTTGATAGTTTCTTTTGCTAAGCAGGAGTTCTTTAGTTTAATTAGGTCCCACTTGTCAACTTTTGGTTTTGTTGCAATTGCTTTTGAGGACTTGGTCATAAATTCTTTCCTAAGGCTGATGTCCAGAATGGCATTTCCTAGGTTTTTTATAGGATTCTTATTGTTTGAAGTATCACATTTAAATCTTCAATCCATCTGGAGTTAATTTCTCTACATAGTGAAAGGCAGATGTCCAGTTTCATTCCACTGCACATGGCCGGCCATCTATCCCAGCACCGTTCATTGAATTAGGGAGTTATTTCCCCAGTGCTTATTTTCTTGTCAACTCTGTTGAAGATCAGATGACTGTAGATATGAATCTTTATTTCTGGGTTCTCCATTATTTTCCATTGGTCTATTTCTGTACCAGTACCATGCTCTTTTGGTTACTGTAGCTTTCTAGTATAGTTTGAAATCAGATAATGTGATGCCTTCAGCTAGCTTCATTCTTTTGCTTAGGATTGCTTTGGTTATTTGGACTCTTCAGTGGTTCCATATGAATTTTAGAATTTTTTTTTCTAATACTTTGAAAAATGATATGGGTAACTTGATAGTAATAGCATTGAATCTGCAGATTGCTCTGTGCAGCATAGCCATTTCAATGATATTGATTTTTTCAATCTATGAGGATGGAATGTTTTTCCATTTGTTTGTGTCAAATGAAGAAATATAAGACTTCGGTTTTGCATCAAGGTGTTGCTAAAAGTTTCATGGAGGTAATGGAAGTAAATCAGAGTTGTAACATTCCTGAATTCTTAATTTTAAACTTTCTAATGTCTGATCACAAACAATTATCTTTCAGTTTTCTCACTTGGCCACTCCTTCTGAAATTGTTCTCTGACCACATCAGGTTTTCTCTTAATTTATGTTTGGGATTTTCTCATCTTCCTGTTTTAGAACATGCCATCGAAAATGGTCATCAGGGGAAGCACCAAGCTTCCATCATTGTTTAGGAGCATGTGCAGAAACTTTTAAAACATTCTTCATTAATAAATACTAAGCTTGATTGGTTTTTATAACATTAAAATATAAATGTTTTGGACACAGAAAATATTTTTTTCAAATTTTATTTTTTTGTAGAATTATATGCATGGTATAGGCATACCTTAGAGATATTGCAGGTTTGATTCCAGACTACCATAATAAAAGTTAATATCACAATAATGTGTTACTCAGTGTTTTTGGTTTCTCAGTGCATATAAAAGTTATGTTTATACTATCTGCTGGTCTCTTAAGTGTGTAATACTATTATGTCTAAAAGACAATGTAAATACCTTAATTAAAATGTTAGCTGAAAATGGTAACAATCATCTGAGCCTTCAAGTCATAATCTTTTCTTAAAATTATTTTATTTTATTTTTTAAATTTAGATACAGGGTGTCACTATGTTGCCCCTGGAGTACAGTGGTTTTTCACAGAAACAATCCCACTACTGATCAGCATGGGAGTTTAGACCTGCTCTGTTTATTTCCTGAGCTATTTAATCCCTCCTTAGTCAACCTGGTAGTCCCCTACTCCCAGAATGTCACCATAGTGATGCTTCAATTAGTGCAGACACCTGATTGGAATAGTGCACCACAGCATAGAACTCCTGGGTTCAATTGATCTTCCTGCCTCAGCCTCCTGAGTAGCTGGGACTACAGGCATGTGCTACCGCACCTGGCACATCCTAATCTCTTTGCTGGTGGACAGTCCTTCCTCGATATTGTTGGCTGCTGACTGATCAGAATGGTGGTTGCTAAAAATAGGAATGGCTGTGGAAATTTATTGAAATAAGACAAGAATAAAGTTTGCTACATGAATTGACTCTTCCTTTCTCAAAATGTTTCTCTGTAGCATTCAGTGCTGTTTGATAGCATTTTGCCCATAATAGAACTTCCTTCAAAATTTGATTCAGTCCTATCAAACCCTACTGCTGCTTTATCGACTAAGTTTATATAATACTCGAAATTCTTGGTTGTTATCCCAACAACATTCAGAGCATCTTCACCAGACATAGATACCATCTCAAGAAACTACTTTCTTTGCTTATCTATAAGAGGTAATTCCTCACCCATTCAATAATTTTATCATGAGATTTCAGCAATTCAGTCACATCTTCCACCTCTACTTCTAATTCTAGTTCTCTTGCTATTTCCACCATATCTTCAGTTACTTCCTCCACTGAAGTATTAAACCTTTCAAAGTCATCTGTGAGGGCTGGAATCAACTTCTTCCAAACTCCTGTGAATATCGATATTTTGACCTCCTCCTATGAATCACAAATGTTCTTAATGACATCTAGAATGGTGAATTCATTCCAGAAGGTTTTCAATTTACTTTGCCCAGATCCATCAGAGGAATCACTTTTCCTTACGAAGTGTATTTTCTAAACAATAAGACTTGAAAGTCAATGACTCCTTCATTCATGGGTTGCAGAATGGATTTCTGTTAGCAGGCATGAAAACAGCATTCATCCTTTTGTATATCACCATCAGAGCTTTTGGGTGACTAGGTCCACTGTCAATGAACACAGTAATATTTTGAAAGAACTTTTTTTTTTCTTTTCCTGAACAGTTTATCTTAACAGTGAGTTTTAAATATTCAGTAAATCATGCTGTAAACAGAGTGAGCTGTCATCCAGGCTTTGTTGTTCCATTTATTAGAGCACAGGTAGAGTAGATTTAGCATAAGTCATAATAGCCCTATGATTTTGTAATGAAAAATAAGCATTGGTTTCAAATCACCTGCCACATTGGCCCCTAACAAGAGAATCTGTCGGTTCTTTGAAGTTTCAAAGCCAGATATTAGCTATGGAAGTCCAAGATGGCATCTTCTAATATAAGGCTGTTTTGTCTACATTGAAAATCTGTCATTTAATGTAGGCACCTTCATCAACGATTGTAGCTAGAGCTTCTGGATAACTTGTTGCATTTTCTGCATCAGCACTTGCTGCTTTACCTTGCATTTTTATGTTATGGAAACGGCTTTCCTTAAACCTCATGAACCAACCTCTGCTAGCTTCAGACATTTCTTCTGCAGCCTCCTCACCTCTCAGCCTTCATGGATTCGGAGAGAGTTATGACCTTTCTCCAGATTAGGCTTTGGCTTAAGGCAGTGCTGTGGCTGGTTTGGTCTTTTATCCACATCACTCAAACTTTCTCCATATCAGCAATAAGGGTGTTTCACATTCTTATTTGTTCACTGGGGTAGCACTTTAAATTTTTGTCAATAACTTCTCCTTTACATTCACAATTTGACTGTTTGGCACAAGAAGCCTAGTTTTTAGCCTATCTTGGCTTTTGACATGCCTTCCTCATGAATGTTAATCATTTCTAGCTTTTGATTCGAAGTGAGAGATGTGTGACTTTTCCTTTTAATTGAACATTTAGAAGCCATTTTAAGGTTGTTACTTGGCCTAATTCAACATTGTTGTGTCTCAGAAAATAGAGGGACCTGAAGAGGAGAGAGATGGAGGAATGGCTGGTTGGTAGAGCAGTAAGAACAGATGGGATATTTATTGATTAAACTCACTTTTTTATATGGGCACCATCCATGGCATCCCAAAACAATTACAATAGTAACATCAGAGATTACTGATCACAGATCATCATAACTGATATAATAATGAAAATGTTTAAAATGTTGTGAGAATTACCAAAATGTGATAAAGAGAACAGAGTGAGCACATGCTGTTGGAAAATTGGCACTGGCTGACTTACTTGATATAGGGCTGTAACAAGCCTTCGATCGTGAAAAAATGCAGTATCTGTGAATTACAATAAAGTGAAGCACCGTATAACAATGTGTGCCTTATTTCCGTAGCTGCTTTACTATTAGATGGCTTCTATTTTAGTTCATCTGTACATATTCTAGTTTTCACTATCATTCTTAGTATATGACATGTGCGAAAGTGCTAGAGTGCAATATGTAAATATTCATTTTTGAATTCAAATTAAACAAGCCATTGACTATATTATTAGTACATATGTATAGTATTTATCTTTCATTGAGCCTTGTTAAGTACAACAGAATGCTTTAGTTTCTGTTCATAATATATCTTTTCCTACTTCTCTATGAAACACTCTCATTTCAAAAGTATTACAGAGTATTTCCCCCTAAAATTTCAATTTAACAAATAATAAGACAGATAAAGCATATTTCGTATTCACATATCAGAATGAATAATAAAACATTTTGAATTTTTCTTCAACTTTCATAAAATAATGAATAGTACTTTAGACAGGCAATACAGACTTCTGAAGGAAATGAGGAAAAGATATCATGTAATTAATTCTTTCATACTTTATATCATATTATTTCTAACAATCCGTTACTATCTCAAAAGTAACTTACAGAATTGAAATAGGAATGCAGTCCTATAACTTCTACATTTAAAGGAAACAGAATTGTTTGTAGATAGGAGTAATATAACAATATTTAAATAAAAAACAATATTTTGCTGGCCTCACACAAATTTATTTCAAAAAATTTTGAGTGATGATTTAGCCAAAAAAACTTTAACATAGCCCTTTCTTAGGGCTCCATTTCAGGAGTGATATTTACTTTGATTAAATTATCACAGTAAGAATATATGTAAGACTTATTTTCATCTACACATTCTCTTTCTTGCTTACTAAATCATTAGGCTGTCTGTGTTTTATTCTTGGAAACATTTATAACCCTGTCAGTTTTTGATGTTCCAGTTTGAGGGCTCGGTACAAAGAAAAATAATCTTGCTTTTTAGAGTGGGTTCTAGGCCTCAAGGGAAAAAAAAGAAAAAAAAAAGGCTTAGAACAATTGCATTAAAGTTCACCAGATGGCAGAAATTCAGTGGTATGGGGTCTAGCTTGGAATTAAGGGAGTTTGTTCATGTGTAATAGTGAGTAGCTCTTAATAACCGTTTTCATTAGTATTGTTATTATTTGCTTTTCCATTTTATTAAATAATCAAAAGTAAAATCATGAGACAGGCAGATATAAAATCAACGTGTGTTAAAGATTTTGTTTAACTTACTGTTAATGAGGAAGCTAATAAGGTATTATAACCAATTCAATGGACAACCTAAACAAAATGACATTTTTCAATCAGAAATAGTAAAACGAATGTGCAAATTAAGGCAAAATTTGATTCTTTTATATTGAGGAAGGAAAGTTAATTGAACCTTCACTGGAAATAATTTATTTTCATGTCTATACCATAATAATTTTATATTTTTTCAGTTATTAACATCTATAACTTACAAAGTAGTATAATATCACAAAAGCAATAAAGTCCTAGAATCAAATAACCTAGAAGAGTAATAAAGAATACATAGTTTACCATTGGTGGTTTTAAGTAATTTTTTTTTGCTTATGTCAAATTTCTTTACAACTTGCATATGTCCCTTAGCACAAAACTTTAAGTATTTAGGGATCTCCATGACTTTCATAAAAGAACTAAGTAAGTCAAGTACTATTTCAAGCAACTCACAATTTTTTCTTCTTTCCTATAATACCAAAAGCTCAGAGTGCGTAATCTATACCCATTACCAACTTTCATTTGCCAAAGTTATACCTTAACTCTTTAGAGAATTAACTCAGTAGGATAATCAGAAATACCTTATTTCTTAATTCTATTTTTATTTCTAAGTGCTCTGTTAACTCCTGTTGAATTCCACTACATCTGAAGTGCTTGCTTCTGGCTTCTGTAACATCATATGGCATTAACTCTCTAATTCATATTTGACTGTTTTGTCTGGAATCTCTAAATGTGTGTGTCCCTCAAGTGTCTACTTACAGTTCTGTTAAATTACTTTTCTTAATTTACCCTGAACTGTGATTTCACCAAATGCTATGACTTTAAATCCAGCCATCATTAATAGCTTCTGCAGATTTGTCCAGACCCCTCTATATGACAGGTAAATCGTTTTGATTTTTATAGCAGAACGTCTTTGAAATTAGGTTCACTACAATACGCAAACATGTGTATAGCTACTCATTCTACGGATTAATTAGGAATTTACTGTCATCTAATTCCAGCAAAAGTAGAGTGAAATAACTAATGTTAGAGAGGCAGTAATGGGGAATATGCTAATACTCAATGTATAAATGTTTTTATAGTTTATAATTGTGCAAATAGATTGTGCGAACTAGGCTTTCATTCCCAGGTGATTTTAATTAATTGAATATTATATTCTAGACTGTTATTCTTTTTGTGTTCATGGGTTTTTGAAGATCAATTTATGAAGTGGTTATGTGGGAAGGCTTTTCTGTAATAAATACAGTACATGCATAAGGATCACATTCTTTTTTTTCAAAGGCTCACATTGATAGGCCAAGAAATACAATAAGACAAAAATCACCTAGAATATAGTTTCTGTAATACAATATTTTAGCAAATATTTGGGTTTAAATTATGTGAAATGTATGTGTATTTCTGTTTAGATGTGTGTGGGGTAGTAAGCAAGGGTGAGAAAAAGAAAATTATGCTAATTTTCACTATTTCTTATTCTAGGTACAGTTTCACTCATAAACAATAATTAGAGAACAGAAGATTTAAATATATTTCTTCTAAGTATAATAGTTCCTTTAGATGGACAGAAAATATTACTTTTTTTTTTTTTTTTTTTTTTTTTGAGACGGAGTCTCGCTGTGTCGCCCAGGCTGGAGTGCAGTGGCGGGATCTCGGCTCACTGCAAGCTCCGCCTCCCGGGTTCACGCCATTCTCCTGCCTCAGCCTCCCAAGTAGCTGGGACTACAGGCGCCCGCCACTACGCCCGGCTAATTTTTTGTATTTTTAGTAGAGACGGGGTTTCACTGTTTTAGCCGGGATGGTCTCGATCTCCTGACCTCGTGATCCGACCGCCTCGGCCTCCCAAAGTGCTGGGATTACAGGCGTGAGCCACCGCGCCCGGCCGAAAATATTACTTTTAAATCACAAGAGGAAATAAAAACACCTCATTAAATTGAAAAATAAATAGAATATAAAAATTTAACAGATAGAAGGATGTTAATCAAAAAGCATAAAACAAAATAACTAAATTGGAGCCAAACAGATCTGTTGTAATAAAAATTATTTTGAAAAGAACTCTCAATAAGAGTAACACAAAAGAAAATCACCTAATGTAATGCTTTACACAATAACAAAAGCAAAATAGTACTGCAATATTAAAACTAAAATGGATAATGCAAAAATGCATTTGTCAAAAAGATGAAATAATGTAGGATACCCTTATTATTCTAGATAGGAACATTAAGCATATGTATTTTTCAATTTATATTGCAAAAAGGCAAAATCCACAGAGAAGGTGTCAAAACCAAGTGATTCCCTATACAATGAAGATCATGTAATTAAGTGAAGCAATGTTAACTAGTAATATTTTTGACAATGATAGAAGACATTTGTTGAGTTTCTGTGATGTAGAACTAAACTAAATTAAAGGTTATACAAATATTCTGATTGAATCCATGCAACAAAAACTAGAGGTAGGTTTTATTATTCTATTTTGCAAAAAAAAAAAAAGAAGTTTTGTGATTTGACCAAGTTCAAACACCTATTAAATTACAGAACTGGGATTCAAAGCTAGGTTTGTAACATCTCAAAGCCCTATAGTTGGCCAATCCTCTACTTTAAACTCACACAGAGAAATTGGCAAAAGGAAAATTTAAATATCGTCTCATAACAATTTTATTCTTTGATAGATCATATATGAAAAAACCAACCAACCAACAAATAAACAAGAAAAGAAAATGGAGAATCTAAGCAATATAATGGATAAGGACATATTGGTCACTCCACCTTTTTTGTATAGGTAGCATGTCTCTGTTTAATAATACCATGGACTCTAATATTAGAGAAGTAACTCTAGGTTCATGATATTATATATCTGTTTGAATTATAATTGATCCCTAGTTTTTCACAAGCTGACTCCAGATATTTGTATTATATTTCTCATTTGCCTAAATTGTTATCCTAATTTTCTTGAACGTTGCTGTCTTGCAAATAACTGATTCTCAGTTATGCATTACCTTGGGCCTAGTGACTGAAGGCATAACAGTTACCAATGCAAGAGATTTTAATAAAGTTTTGAGTGTAAAAAGGTATAGAATTTTTCATTTCTTTTAATCTGTTTTGCCTAACATGAAGTTTCTCATTCTCCAAATAGCATTCCTCTGAATCTCTAACTAGCATGGCTGATAAGAGGATAGTGAGTATGGCTTTGAAACCACACAAAATCACAACTGTTTAATTTTCTCTAACACCTCTTCTATTATGACTCATATGTATTTGCATTCAACTTTTTCTCTGGGTAATACTCTTTTGGCAGTTATTTCCCAAATTGCTACCACTTAGCGTAAATTAACAATTTCTTACCCATTAATTATTCTGCCATTTTTTTCACTAAACACTTTTCTTAAGGAAAAAAAAAAACAGTGTTTATCTAAATGGTGGAAGCAGCCATTACTACATTAGTACAGTGCTAGACTATGCAAAGCAGAGTCAGAATTCAAGAAAAATCTTGGGCTTCCATTACCTTTCTGTGAGGAGCCAGCAATGGATTGAAATGTGTTGTAAAGCCCAGAGCTAACACTGAAGCCTAAGAAAATCCATACCTATCTAAAAAAAAAAAAAAACAAATTGAACACCTGTGCTCTCTACATAAAGACAATGTGAGTGGTTTTGTTCAGGAGATATTAAACCATCTCTACAGAAACTGATCAGCCCAAAGCAGACTTTACATAATTATAGCATGGAAAGTCTGAGAATCTGGATCCAAACAAGAGAGGGAAGCTACATAGTAATTTGAACAGAAGAAATTTAATATAAAGAACAATTAATTACAACAGGGTATTGAAGTCATGAGAGATTGACTAGTAATAAATACAGAGAACTTAAAAAAATACAGGAACATCAAATATAAGGATCAAACAATATAGGGATTATTTCCCTGTATTTCAGGGAAACGAAAATACAGGAAATTAACTCAGCCCTTCTGAGCTGAGATCTAGATCTTGTTGCAAATAAATAGCCATAGCCTACTAAATGGCATAGAAGTCTCTGAATACTGCACCAGTGAAACTGCAAAAGCCACCTGCCTGGATATGCAGCAAGTTGTTTATGATGTCTCACTGGAGGCATTTTACTACAAGTTTTCCCAAGGAATGGTATCCCCAGTAGCCAGTAGCATGGCTACTGATTGCTATGCACAGCAGGAATTCAATGAGTGAAAACCAAAGCCAGAAAGCAAAACCTTTTCTTCCTGCAAATTCTTCCCATCACCATCTATTGGCAAAGCTTGGAATTGTGCCTTCTGGCAAAAGAAAAATATTTAAAGGGCCCAGATCCACTTTCAAAAAGCAGGAAATATATATGACTTAGGAGCAATAGAGACAACAAAAAGCAGGAAATATATATGATTTAGGAGCAATAGAGACAACAAATCAAAAATCAATAGAGACAACAAAAAAAATAATGTATGTGTTAAACTTAGCTTGCTATTGAGATAACATGATGTCTTGGTGCATTTATTAGGCTTTCTTAACTGAAAAAGGTTTACCTAGAACTCAAGGATTTTTTCAATTTTAATTTTAATCTAAGTACTCTGTCTTAATTAAAGCATTACAATATGAGAAACATTTGGCGAACTTTATTTACTAGTTAACAAATTGATTGAACTTATGCTTATTTTAAGTTCTAATGGATTTTTCTAATGCAAATAAAAATTTTGTTAGCAAGTACTTTGGAGGAAAGTGGGAAGGTAAATATAAAGTGGTTATAATATTTGAGAAACTGAGTTGGTAAGAGACATAAAGCTTTTCTATTTAAGAATGTATCCATCAATTATTTCACTAACTTTTCTCCCCCAAGCAAATCTAAACTGTGGAAAAAAACACACTTTGAAAATAGTTCCTATTATATTTAGAAATAATTCATATGTTGTGGATTTATTTCTAATATAACCAAATGAAATTGAGGAACACGTCCACTGCATCTTTAAATCTCCTTTCCACTGAACATAGATATATAAAATTAAATTCACATGTGTGTTTCTGTGTATGTTGTGCAATAATACATCATAGTACTTTTCTCTATAGAATTAGCAAAAGGAAGCATAAGGCTGATTATCAGCCAAGAAAAAAGCTGATGTCAATTTATGACCCAATCAATGGAGCAAAGGAGATATTCTTAAATTTAACAATCATTCACATACTACCTACTCTTAAAGTGGGTTATAAATAAGATGCCAAGAACAGTAGCAAAGGATGTAGGAATGGGCCTTATTTTGAGGGTGATATTTTCTAACCTCTGCAGTCAAAATGAGAGCTTTAATTATATTTTCTCTTTTTATCCCCTCTGTTCCCATTTTTCTTTCTCTCCTTGATGTGTGTCTTCTTTTCCTGACCATGTACTCCCAAAGAGATAACTTCTATTGATGGGCTAAACCTGTTTCCTTGATGCCATTCTTACCTTCCCCATCTTGATATTTTCCTGTTCTACTCTTTTACTCATTGCTTCATGGCTAATATCCTACTGCTTTCTTGAAATTTCTCATTCCCAGTTCACACTTTGCCTCCTCATATTCTTCGAATCCTTATGGAATACCTAAAGCAATTTGATATGTTTTCTTTTTTAACACCATGCTATCTTGTTTTTTTCTAGTTCTCTAGCTCCATTATGGGCTAAAAACTCAAAACCTACCAAAATCTTAAAAGTAAATATTCCCTATTCAGAGTTGTATTCTTAATTCTTCTCTAGTCTTATTCTATATTCTGCCTGGAAGAGCTTATGTATTCCAAGGTATACTATTTTTTAGGGTTGGTAGCTCCCATATCTGTATATTTAACCGAGATCTCTACTTGAATCTCTGGAGAGATACATCCATTGGACTGCTCAAATGTTTTTTTCTTGGGGGCATTATTTCATAATGGAGGGAAGAGAGTGAACAAGATCTCTAAGATTAGCTAAGTACATCATTTTCCACCATGCTACAGGAAATCTTCAAGCAGAGAAATTGCATAGGTCATACATAACACAGGGCTGAATAGAAGGATGAAAAATGGGAATAATATTATTTCTCGGTGGGTGTTTGAGTAGTATTGCATTTCAGCCAGCATCTTAACACAAGAGATCATTGGGTCAAAATCAGTAGTTCCCTGTAGGTTTTGGTAAAAGCTAAGCTCCATAAAATAACTTGAGCTCCAGGGTTACTTTTTTCATTGTATCTGCTTTCCAGGGGTTGCCTTCAAATGGTATTATCTCCCACTGGTTTAACATGTCTTGTCTTTTGCCTAAAATATTTTTCTCCCCTTGTAGTGTTATAGTCACAGATACTAATGAAATAGTGCCAAATAATTTATCACCTAAATAATAGATCCTTACAGCTTAAAAATACATAATGACTAAATATCTTTATAATCATCAGTACATTTATCAATCAAGTGGTAATTTTATAGGTATTAGTTTTTACCCAGTACTTGGAGCCTCCTTTCCCCATACCCATTTTAGTAAGCAAGGCCTCTAAGTAATATTATACGTAATGACAACTGCTAATTTTAGTTTACAGATTTGCAAAAAGCTTTCTTAACCTTTCAGTCCCTGCAGATGATTCAAGAGTACCTGCTATGAATTCAAGTTCAGGTAAAAATATTACATTTTGTCAAAGCCTATTTAGCTTATATTGCCTCTCCAAATGTCTCATGATCTTTTTTTTTATATCAGTGTCTTCATTTTCTACCCTTGACACCATAATCACATATACACCATTTATGGAGTATCAGAGAAATGAAAACACAGGAAATTAACTCCCAAATATGATCTTTGTTCTTAGTTCAGAGGTATTTTTCTTTTCATGATGTCATCCACAAATGACAAATTCTGTCTCCATGTTGTCTTACATAGCAACATAATTTGATACATTGACTTATTCACCTTTTTCACACTTCTTATTATTACAAGACACCGTATTCTTAGTTTTCAATAAATTATTATGATACAATTGTATTTCCATATGATGAAAAATAATATAACTTTACCCCTATCTTAAACCATACACAAAAGTTAAGTCTAGCTGGTTTGTAAATGGCATAATAATTTAGGTATTGGTAGATGATAGAAGTGATTATTTTGTAAACTTGGAGTAAGGATGTTTTAATTCAGCATAGAAAACATTTCATAAAGAAAAATATTATAAATTTTATTTAATTAAAATTAAGAACATATATTTAAAAACCACAACATTAAGTAAAAAGGCGAGCCATACCATGATAAAAGGAAATTATTTGTTGCGTATTTAATAAAAAGCATTCATTTATAGAATATATAAGGAAATCCCACAAATAAATCCTGAAATGAAAATCAGCCCCGCAGTAAAATAGACAAAATAATTAAACAGGAATTTCATGTAAGAGAAAACACAAATGGTCAACATAAAGTTATTTCAATACAAGCATGGTGGCCTGTGCCTGTAGTCCCAGCTACTATGGAGGTGGACACAAGAAGATCAGTTATTCTTGAAAAACTAGCAAACTTACTAACTTATAAGAAACTTCAAAATGAACCAAAATATGCTAGCACTATATTTACTTTAGATTGACATGTATTTTTTAAAGGTTTTATTTTAGTAAAATATATATATATTTGATATATATATTTACTTTAGATTGACATGTGTTTTTTAAAGGTTTTATTTTAGTAAAATATATATATTTGATATATATATTTGAGTTGGGGTCTAGCTCTGTTGTCCAGACTAGAGTGCAATGGTATGGCTCACTGCAGCCTCGGCCTCTTGGGCTCAAGCAGTCTTCCTGCCTCAGCTTCCCAAGTAGCTAAAACTATAGATGTGCATGCCTCCATGAACACTGTTCTACTTTTTTTTTTTTTTTTTTTTTTTTTGATAAAGATCAGGTCTTGCTATTTGCTATGTTTTCCAGGGTGGTCTTGAACTTTTGACCTCAAGCAATCCTCCCACCTTGGTCTCCCAAAGTGCTGTGATTACATGCATGAACCACCATGCCCAACCAGCAAGTGTGTTTGAAGTCACTTAAAATCAAATATTAAAGACTCTTTGGAGTGACAATAAGTATCACATGTTGTTAGAGAAGGTTTAAATTGGTTCAATCCTGGAAAACCATGTGATAATTATCCAATAAAATTAAAGGTAATTATCCTATGACCCACCAATTTAATTCCTAAGTGTACGTGTGTTTTTATGTGCACCAGGTTGTATGGATCTAAATATTAGCAGCAACATTTATCCTAATAGGCAAAAACTGGTAATGATACAAATTTTTATAAAAGTGAAACAGATCAACTGTATTATGCAGTGTAGTACTACTCATTAGTGCAAATGAATGAATCACAACTACCCACAGTAACTGCTTGGGGGTTCTTAAAAATGCATGGTACAAAATAAACTGAATAAATAAACATGAATTTGCCTAGCGAGATATTATGAGCTTTTATTATTGGTGTGAAGAAAATTATGGGTAAAAGCTTTTTTTCATAAGATATTAGTTAATATGACTATATACATTTTTACAAATTATAAGTTCACTAGAAGAGATAACATTACTCGTAAGAAACCCTTCTGTATAATGAATAATGCCAGTCAGCTGAACTCAACAAAGGTTTATTGAGCAACTAGGTGATGGGATTGGAAATATAAAGACGAAAAAGATGCTATCCCCACCTGCAAGAAGCAGAAACACACTTGTTTATACAGATGGATTTTTGTTTATGTAATTTAAATAGGAATCATTTTGATTTTGATGGCTCGATGATATATTAAAGGATTGTGCTAGACATGTGTCATGTGGAAGTTAATAATTGTGGCAGGGGAGTAGAATGGTGGAAGAGAAAATGAGGAAGGAAGGGGAAAAGATTTTTTTTTTATTCTAAAAAAAAAGGAAACAAACCTGGATGCATGTGCAGAACATGCAGGTTTGTTACATAGGTATATGGTGCCATGGTGGTTTGCTGCACCTATTAACCCATTCTCTAAGTTCCCTTCCCTCACTCCCCACCCACCACACACCTTGGTGTGTGATGTTCCCCTCTCTGTGTCCATGTGTTCTCAACGTTCAACTCTCACTTATGAGTGAGAACATGCGGTGTCTGGTTTTCTGCTCATGTGTTAGTTTGCTGAGGATGATGTCTCCCAGCTTCATCCATGTCCCAGCAAAGGACATGATCACATTCCTTTTTATGGCTGCATAGTATTCTATGATGTATATGTACCACGTTTTCTTTATCCAGTCTATCATTGCTTTTCTTTATCCAGTCTACCATTTGGGTTGGTTCCATGTCTTTGCTAGTGTAAATAAGTGCTGCAATAAACCTATGTATGCATGTGTCTTTATAGTAGAACAATTTATATTCCTTTGGGTATATGCCCAGTAATGGGATTGCTGGGTTGAATGGTATTTCTGGTTCTAGATCCTGGAGGAATCACCATACACTGTCTTCCACAATGGCTGAGCTAATTTACATTCCCCCCAACAGTTTAAAAGCTTTCCTATTTCTCCACAGCCTCGCCAGCATCTATTGTTTCTTGACTTTTTAATAATCACTATTCTGACTATCATGAGATGGTATCACACTGTGGTTTTGATTTGCATTTCTCTCATGATCAGTGATGTTGAGCTTTTTTTCATGTATTTGGCCATGTAAGTGTCTTCTTTTGAGAAGTGTCTGTTCATATCCTTTACCCACTTTTGGATATGGGTTATTTGCTTTTTTCTAGTAAATATGTTTAAGTTCCTTGTAAATTCTCTATATTAGACCTCGGTCAGATGGGTGGATTGCAAAAAGGGAAAAAGATTTTTTATCCTTTGACAAAGATGAAGACAGGAGGTTGGTGGACTAGAAAGAGATTAAAATGGAAGTTCAGAGATTTGCTCAGTAGACCCCAGATTGTGGAAAACCAGGTGTCTCCATTTGAAAACTGGTGCTAGTCATAGATAGTTTCACATAAGTAAAACTAACTCCTTGCACTAGAAAGTAAACTTTTAGACTTATTTACTTGAGACAATGTACAGAATAAAATATAAACATACAATTTTAAAAGGAATTGAGATGTTTTGTGATAAAAATATTTATACTAATCTATTTTCTACCAACTTGCTAACAAATCGTTTGAATCCTATTTTCTTCAAGAGGCTTCCCTACCACCTTCTTTTTTTGACATTTCACAGCATATTGAGCATTCCTTGATTACCAATGATAATACAAAGATGAATGAGATCTTGTGCTCACACAATCCAGAGTAAATTGACTCAGTTGAACCTAAGAATCAACTGATTAACTTATATTTTTATCCTAATTTGTTTAAATGTATTTTATTTAGTAATAGAAAATGATGAAGATGACTTTACTATAGCATTCTCTGATGTTGACTTCTTTCATAATACCAATGACAATACAGAAAAGTGTAAGTAATACACTTTTCCTCTCAGCTGGATAAAATATACTACCTGAAGTTATATAATAACTCACAAAGAATAATCACCTAATTGAGAAATTTTTTAAAAAGCAATAGAACTGCTGGAATCCAAGTGAAAATATCTTCTAAGACATGTGATAAAATCACATTCTGATGTTATGTAATAATGGCAAATTTTACATATGGATATCTAGCTGTCTCAGCATCATTTGTTGAAAAGACAATTCTTTCCCATTGAATTGTCTTGGCACCTTTGTGAAAAATTGATTGACTGTAAATGTGAGGGTTTAGTTTTAGACTCTGAATTCTATTCAATTGATCTATATATCCTTATAAATAAAACATGATTTTTATAACAGCTTTATTGAGATATAACTGACATACCATTTAAAGTATATGACTTATTAAATTTGGATATTTTTGTGAAACTACCAGCACAATCAAGGTAGTTAACCTTTGATAACCAAGTTAACCTTTGACAACCTAGCTAACCAAGATAGTTAATCAAAATTGTTTCACCATCAAAAGTTTCCGCCATTCCCTTTGTCATCCCTCTTTCCCTCCATTTCCAAACAACCACTGATCTATTTTCTGTTGCTATGGATTAGTTTGCATTTTCTAAAATTTAATATAAATGGACTTGTACAGTATGTGTTCTTTTTTTGGCCTGGCTTCTTAGTTTGAAATTCGTCATTATCATTGCATATATCGGTTCTTCTGGTTGCTAAATAGTTATCTATTTCATTCTATAGATATACCACAGTTTGTTTATCCACTTATTCATTGGTGGACATTTAGGTTGTTTATAGTTTTGTCTATTACAAATAAAGCTGCTGGGGGCATTCAAGTACAAGTCTTTTCATGGACATTTATTTCATTTATTTTGGATGAATACTCAGGAGTGGAATGACTGAATCATTTGCCTACCAATACTCAATATTTCTCATATTGCATTTTTGTTGTTTATTCTTCAGACACCTATTGGATTCAGTCTTGGATGAGACTTGGTCGTATATGAGTTTGGGGTCCCCACTGGATGGAGAGTTCTTAATGGGTACTTTGGCTATTCCTGTATCATTAACAGAATGCAGCACATAGAAAGTGTTCAATACATCCCGATAAAAGTATATCAGGGTCCATGGAGGATAACTAACATGAGAAAGTTAGAACCATTAGAGTTTTGTAGTTGCAATGGTGAATATGATCTGTCTTAGTCATTTTTCCCAATCAAATTCAGATGCCAAAGTTGGAATTTTTGTGATTTTTTAAAACATTTCTTCTTATGTTCTTTCTATTTCTCATATTACTGAAAAGATAAAAGGGCCACTGGTTGTTCATTGGTTCTATTATTCATGAAGCACAGGATATTCATCCTTTAAATACATTCCATCTTGAGATTTAGGTATTTTTTTGGATATAGCATCCTTATAATCTTTAATAATGAAATTGACATATTTATGACTGGTGAAAAATAAAAGGCCTGTGATATGGATCAATTATTGTAATATCAGCTGCCAGAATAGAAAAAACCAAAGTTTTCTTGTTTCTATGACAACCACATATGGAAATTTCTCATTTCTAAACAGGTTCAAGGGAACAATAGACTTCATAAAGTAGAGCTCAGCATGTTTTAATTATAATTGATTTTTACCTTCAAAAATATGTGTTGTTGATTCAAACGAAGGTGGACGAATAGGAATAGCTTCAGTCTGCAACTCCCAGAGAGATCAACACAGAAGGCAGGTGATTTCTGCATTTCCAACTGAGATACCCAGCTCATCTCATTGGGGCTGGTTAGACAGTGGGTACAGCCCATGGAGGGTGAGCCGAAGCAGGGTGGGGTGTTGCCTCACCTGGGAAGTGCAAGGGGTCAGAGAACTCCCTCCCCTAGCCAAGGGGAGCGTGAGGGACTGTGCCATGAGGGACGGTGCTATCTAGCCCAGATACTACGCTTTTCCCACAATCTTCACAACCCACAGACCAGGAGATTCCCTTTGGTGCCTATGCCACCAGGACCCTGGGTTTCAAGCACAAAACTGCACGGCCATTTGGGCAGGCACCAAGCTAGCTCTAGGAGCTTTTTCTTCATACCACAGTGGTGTCTGGAATCCCAGTGAGACAGAACCATTCACTCCCCTGGAAAGGGGGCTGAAGCCAAGGAGCCAAGTGGTCTAACTCAGCGGTTCCCACCCTCACGGAACCCAGCAAGGTAAAATCCACTGGCTCGAAATTCTTGCTGCCAGCACAGCAGTCTGAAGTCAACCTGGGATGCTTGAGCTTGGTCGGGGGAGGGGTGTCCACCATTACTGAGGCTTGAGCAGGTGGTTTTCCCTTCACAGTGTAAACAAAGCTGCCTGGAAGTTCAAACTGGGTGGAGCCCCCCACAACTCAGCAAAGCCACTATAGCCAGACTGCCTCTCTAGATTCCTCCCCTCTGGGCAGGGCATCTGTGAAAGAAAGGCAGCAGCTCCAGTCAGGTGCTTATAGATAAAACTCCCATCTCCCTGGGACAGAGTACCTGGAGGAAGGGACGGCTGCGGGCACAGCTTCAGCAGACTTAAACATTCCTGCCTGCTGGTTCTGAAGAGAGCAGTGGATTTCCCAGCATAGTGCTTGAGCTCTGCTAAGGGACAGACTGCCTCCTCAAGTGGGTCCCTGACCCCCGTGCCTCCTGACTGGGAGACACTTCCCAGCAAGGGTTGACAGACATCCTTACGGGAGAGCTCTGGCTGGCATCTGGCGGGTGCCACTCTGGGATAAAGCTTCCAGAGGAAGGAACAGGCAGCAGTCTTTGCTGTTCTGCAGACTGCGCTGTAAATACCCAGGCAAACAGGGTCTGGAGTGGACCTCCAGCAAACTCCAGCACACCTGCAGCAGAGGGGACTGTTAGAAGGAAAACTAACAAACAGAAAGGAATAGCAACAACATTAACAAAAAGGACATCCACACAAAAACCCCATCTGAAGGTCACCAACATCAAAGACCAAGGGTAGATAAATCCATGAATGTGAGGAAAAACCAGTTCGTAAAGGCTGAAAATTCCAAAAACCAGAACGCCTCTTCTCTTCCAAAGGATCACGACTCCTCACCAGCAAGAGAACAAAACTGGATGGAGAATGAGATTGATGAATTGATAGAAGTAGGCCTCAGAAGGTGGGTAATAACAAACTCCTCTGAGCTAAAGGAGCATGTTCTAACCCAGAGCAAGGAAGCTAAGAACCTTGAAAACAGGTTAGAGGAATTGCTAACTAGAATAACCAGTTTAGAGAAACGTAAATGACCTGATGGAGCTGAAAAACACAGCATGAGAATTTCATGAAGCATACACATATAGCAATAGCCGAATCAATCAAGTGGAAGAAAGGATATCAGAGATTGAAGATCAACTCAATGAAATAAAGCGTGAAGACAAGATCAGAGAAAAAAGAATGAAAAGGAATGAACAAAGCTTCCAAGAAATATGGGACTATGTGAAAGGACCAAACCTAAGTTTGATTGGTGTACCCAAAAGTGGGGGGGAGAATGGAACCAAGTTGGAAAACACTCTTCAGGATATTATCCAGGAGAACTTCTCCAACCTAGCAAGACATGCCTACATTCAAATTCAGGAACTATAGAGAACAACACAAAGATAGTCCTCTAGAAAGGCAACCCCAAGACACGTAATCATTGGATTCACCAAGGTTGAAATGAAGGCAAAAATGTTAAGGGAAGCCAGAGAGAAAGGTCAGCTAACCCACAAAGGGAAGGCCATCAGACTAACAGCAGATCTCTCTGCAGAAACTGTACAAGCCAGAAGAGAGTGGGGACCAATATTTAACATTCTTAAAGAAAAGGATTTTCAACCAAGAATTTCATATCCAGCCAAACTAAGCTTCATAAGTGAAGGAGAAATAAAATCCTTTACAGACAAGCAAATGCTGGGAGGTTTTATCACCACTAGGTCTGCCTTACAAGAACTCCTGAAGGAAGCACTAAATATGAAAAGGAAAAACCAGTACTAACCACTACAAAAACATACCAAATTGTAAAAACACTATGAAGAAACTGCATCAACTAGCGGGCAAAATAACCAGCTAGAATCATAATGACAGGATTAAATTCACACATAATAATATTAACCTTAAAAATAAATGGGATAATGCCCCAATTAAAAGACTGGCAAAGTTGAAAAAGAGTCAAGACCCATTGGTGTGCTGTATTCAGGAGACCCATCTCACATGCAAAGACACACACAGGCTCAAAATAAAAGGATGGAGGAATATTTACCAAGCAAATGGAAAGCAAAAACAACAACAACAACAAAAAAAAACAACAACAAAAAAACAGCAGGGCTTTCAATCCTAGTCTCTGATAAAACAGATTTTAAGCCAACAAAGATTAAAAAAGGACAAAGAAGGGCATTACATGATGGTAAAGGGATCAACACAACAAGAAGAGCTAACTATCCTAAATATATATGCACCCAGTACAGGAGCGCCCAGATTCATAAAGCAAGTTCTTAGAGACTTACAAAGAGACTTAGACTCCCACACAATAATAGTGGGAGATTTTAACACCCCATTGTCAATATTAGACAGATCAATGAGACAGAAAAGTAACATAGATATTCAGGACTTGAACTCAGCTCTGAACAAAGAGGACCTAATAGACATCTACAGTACTCTCCACCCCAAATCAACAGAATGTATGTTCTTCTCAGCACCATATCGCACTTATTCTAAAATTGACCACATAATTGGAAGTAAAACACCCCTCAGTAAATGCAAAAGAATGGAAATCATAACAGTCTCTCAGACCACAGTGCAATCAAATTAGAACTCAGGATTAAGAAACTCACTAAAATCCACACAACTACATGGAAACTAAACAACCTGCTCCTGAATGACTACTGGGTAAATAACAAAATTAAGGGAGAAATAAGTTCTTTGAAACCAATGAGAACAAAGACACAACATACCAGAATCTCTGGGACACAGCTAAAACAGTGTTTAGAGGGAAATTTATAGCACTAAATGCCCACAGGAGAAAGCAAGAAAGATCTAAAATCAACACCCTAACATCACAATTAAAAGAACTAGAGAAACAAGAGCAAACAAATTTAAAAGCTAGCAGAAGGCAAGAAATAACTAAGATCAGAGCAGAACTGAAGAAGATAGAAACAAACAAACAAAAAAAACACATCAAAACATCAATGAATGCAGGAGCTGGTTTTTTGAAAAGATTAACAAAATAAATAGGCCGCTAGCCAGACTAATAAAGAAGAAAAGAGACAGGAATCAAATAGACACAATAAAAAATGGTAAAGGGAATATCACCACTGACCCACAGAAATACAAGCTACCATTAGAGAATACTGTAAACATCTCTATGCAAATAAACTAGAAAATCTAGAAGAAATGGATAAATTCCTGGACACATACACCCTCCCAAGACCAAACCAGGAAGAAGTTGAATCCCTGAATAAACCAATAACAAGTTCTGAAATTGAGGCAGTAATTAATAGCCTACCAACCATAAAAAGCCCAGGACCAGATGGATTCACATCCGAATTCTACCAGAGGTACGAAGAGGACCTGTTACCATTCCTTCTGAAACTATTCCAAACAATAAAAAAGAGGGACTCCTCCCTAATTCATTTAATGAGGCCAGCATCATCCTGATACCAAAACCTGGCAGAGACACAACAACAAACATAGAAAATGTCAGGCCAATATCCCTGATGAACATCAGTGCAAAATTCCTCAATAAAATACTGGCAAACTGAATCCAGCAGCACATCAAAAAGCTTATCCACCACGATCAAGTCGGCTTCATCCCTGGGATGCAAGGCTAGTTCAACATATGCAAATCAATGAGTGTAATCCATCACGTAAACAGAACCAATGACAAAATCCACATGATTATCTCAATAGATGCAGAAAAGGCCTTTGATAAAATTCAACACCCCTTCATGCTAAAAACTCACAATAAACTTGGTTTTGATGGAATGTATCTCAAAATAATAAGGGCTGTTTATGACAAACCCACAGTCAAGATCATACTGAATGGGCAAAAGCTGGAAGCATTCTCTTTGAAAACTGGCACAAGACAAGGATGCCCTCTCTCACCACTCCTATTCAACATAGTATTGGAAGTTCTGGCCAGGGCAATCAGTCAAGAGAATGAAATAAAGGATATTCAATAGGAAGAAAAGAAGTCAAATTGTCTCTGTTTGCAGATGACATGATTGTATGTTTAGAAAACCCCATCGTCTCAGCCCAAAATCTCCTTAAGCTGATAAGCAACTTCAGCAAAGTTTCAGGATACAAAATCAATGTGCAAAAATCACAAGAATTCTTATACACCAATAATAGACAGAGAGCCAAATCATGAGTGAACTCCTATTCACAACTGCTACAAAGAGAATAAAATACCTAGGAATACAACTCACAAGACATGTGAAGGACTTCTTCAAGGAGAACTACAAACCACTACTCAAGGAAATAAGAGAAGGCACAAACAAATGGAAAAACATTCTATGCTCTTGGATATGAAGAATCAATATTGTGAAAATGGCCATACTGTCCAAAGTAATTTATAGATTCAGTGCTATGCCCATCAAGCTACCATTGACTTTCTTCACAGATTTGGAAAAAACTATTTTAGACTTCATGTGGAACCAAAAAAGAGCCCACATAGCCAAGATAATCCTAAGCAAAAAGAACAAAGCTGGAGACTTCACGCTACCTGTCTTCAAACTATACTACAAGGGTACAGTAACTGAAACAGCATGGTACTGGTACCAAAACAGATATATAGACCAATGGAACGGAACAGAGGCCTCAGAAATAAGTCTACACATCTACAACCATCTGATCTTTTACAAACTCAACAAAAATAAGCAATGGGGAAAGGGTTCCCTATTTAATAAATGGTGTTAGGAAAACTGGCTAGCAATATGCAGAAAACTGAAACTGGATCCCTTCCTTATACCTTATACAAAAATTAACTCAAGATGAATTAAAGACTTAAATGTAAGACCTAAAACCATAAAAACCCTAGAAGAAAACCTAGGCAATACCATTCAGGACATAGGCATGGGCAAAGACTTCATGACTAAAACACCAAAAGCAATGGCAACAAAAACCAAAATTGACAAATGAGATTTAATTGAAATAGAAAGCTTCTGCACAGCAAAAGAAACTATCATCAGAGTGAACAGGCACCCTATAGAATGGGAGAAAAATTTTGCAATCTATCCATCTGACAAAGAGCTAATATCCAGAATCTGCAAGGAACTTAAACAAATTTACAAGAAAAGAAAAAAACATTCAAAAAGTGGGTGAAGGATATGAACAGAACTTCTCACAAGAAGACATTTATGCGGCCAAAAAACATATTTAAAAAGCTCATCATCACTCGTCATTAGAGAAATGCAAATCAAAACCACAATGAGGGATGGGTGCAGTGGCTCACGACTGCGATCCCAGCACTTTGGGAGTCCGAGGTGGGCAGATCACCTGAGGTCAGAAGTTTGAGACCAGCCTGACCAACATGAAACCCCATCTCTACTAAAAATACAAAATTAGCCAGGCATAGTGGCACATGCCTGTAATTCCAGCTACTGGGGAGGCTGAGGCAGGAGTATCGCTTGAACCCAGGAGGCGGAGGTTGGGGTGAACTGAGATGGTGCCATTGCATTCCAGCCTGAGCAACAAGAGCAAAACTCCATCTCAGAAAGACAAACAAACAACAACAAAAACAACAACAAAAAACCACAATTAGATACCATCTCACGCCAGTTAGAATGGCGATCATTAAAAAGTCAAGAAACAACAGATGCTGGAGAGGATGTGGAGAAATAGGGAAACTTTTACACTGTTGGGAGCATAAATTAGTTCCACCATTGTGGAAGACAGTGTGGCAGTTCCTCAAGGATCTAGAACCAGAAATACCATTTGACCCAGCAATACCATTACTGGGTATATGCCTAAAGTATTATAAATCATTCTACTATAAAGACACATGCACACCTATGTTTACTGCAGCAGTATTCACAGTAGCAAAGACTTGGAACCAATCCAAATGCCCATCAATGAGAGACTGGATAAAGAAAATGTGTCACATATACACCATGGAATACTATACAGCCATAAAAAAGGATGAGTTCATGTCCTTTGCAGGGAAATGGATGAAGCTGGAATCTATCATTCTCAGCAAACTAACACAGGAAGAGAAATGTTCTCTCACAAGTGGAGTTGAACAATGAGAACACATGGACACGTGGAGGGGAACATCATACATTGGGGCCTATTGGGGGATGGGGGATTAGGGGAGGAGAAATACCTATTGTAGATGATGGTTTAATGGATGCAGCAAACCACCGTGGCACGTGTATGCCTACGTAACAAACCTGCTTGTTCTGCACATGTATCCAAGAATTTAAAGTATAATAAAAAAAGAAGAAATGTGTTGTCAAAACATATAATTATTTATATTTATTTGTATGTGATTGAATGAGAAACAAATCATCCTATGCTTCTTCAATTTCTATAGAAATTCTAAAAGAATATGCTTTTCTTTTACCTCCTCTGCTGGTAGGCCATTATGTTTCCCAGTAAGATGTGAAAATCTTCAATGCAGAACAGCCTCCATCAGTTATGCTTTTATAAGTTTCAGGAGCATGTGGGTTACAGCAATCAGATTAGTCCTGAATACAATCATTTTATTCATATCTCAGTGCTATAGGTATATATATGTATATGTGTATATGTGCATGTATGTGTTTCATGCAGAGATGGGATGAAATTTTTTTTTTTTTTTTTTTTGAGATGGAGTTTCGCTCTTGTTGCCCAGGCTGGAGTGCAATGGCACAATCCTCTGCCTCCCAGGTTCAAGTGATTCTCCTGCCTCAGCCTCCCGAGTAGCTGGGATTACAGGCATGAGCCACCATGCCCAGCTAATTTTTTGTATTTTGTATTTTTAGTAGAGACAGGGTTTCTCCATGTTGGTCAGGCTGGTCTCGAACTCCCGACCTCAGGTGATACACCCACCTCAGCCTCGCAAAATGCTGGGATTACAGGCATGAGTCTCCATGTCCCGCTGGGATGAATTTTTAATCAAAACTTTTTCTGCTGCTTATTATGAATTTATGTCTTTCATTCCCACCAAATCTTTTCTTCCCACACCTGTCATGATGAACTTTTTTAGTGCCATGCAGTAGCAATTAATGTAATGCTAAGACTTGCTTACCATATTCTGCAGTATACCTTGTTCCTATTGTAGGAATATATCTAGAATATTTGGAAGCTGTCAAGTTTTTTTGTTTAATTATTCAGGCTCCATAATTCCTTTGCATTTCTTTGCATTGATTGAGTAATGCATACTTGGCTTCGCTAAGGAACTATCATGATGCGACTGTATATTATAGATAGACACCCAAGAACCTGCCTAGCAACCCATATGGATAAATCAGAAAAATTAAGAGAATAGTGCAGCTCCACAGATGCTGGGGATAATTGCTTTTCACATAACAGACATGGAGGAAAGAATATATATGAATGCTGTCTTTTTCCTAATCATTAAGTTGAACCAAATAGAATATTTAAACATTTTTATTCTACAAAAGTGGTAATTTAATATGGCTCGGTCTAATATCCTTCAGTTATACTCTAGATGCCCAGAACATGCTACTGCAGTGTTTCACAATCATCTTCTAACTCTGCTCCTCCTGTACTCCAGAGATTGTATTTCCTCTGCCTTTTTCACAAATCGATTATCCTTGCCCCATTCTCCTCTGCTAGAAGGCTATCTCACCAGATCTCTCATGGTAAATAGAATATCATTCTGATTTCATCTCTGTGAGGCTTAGCTCTCACCCTCAGGTCAATCGGATTCACTTCTGAGCTGTAAATATCTATTTCAAAATCTCATTTTTGAAATACTCTAATGAAAACAGCCCAGGCTTCTGTAAGCCAGGTTTGGTGACTGTGCCTTTATTAAAGTTGAAAGGCTCTTTACTTCACAGAAGCCTACCTCTATATGAAGTTCCTTACTCTGTTGGGGGAACTGTGGAATAATATCTTAATTCTCGCTTGAGTTTTTGACCTCCAGAAGAAGTTTTTCATGTCTCTTGTTATATAAGTTGGTGGCAGCTTTCCTGCCTTTCAGTTGAGACAATATTAGAAAGAGAAGTGTCAGAATATGTCATAGCTCCAGTCTTAGACTAGCATTCATAATGTTCTACTATAGCATATAATCCCAATAAGGCTTGCCATGGGAAAATGCCAACAGTCTGGAGCTTTTCATAAGACTCTTTGACCTGCTTCAGAGTGCAACTTGCACTCTGATTATCTCTGGAAAAATCTCTGATCTTTATTCTATATCATACTTAAGCTATCAACACTAATTACATCATCTAAAATTTTCCAAATTTACAGATTCTCCTTGGTCCCAGGAAACCAGGAAATCTGTGGTAGTTACCCAGAAGGAAAACTGAAAACTGCATATGCAGTAACTGTGTGTTACATTTGATTTGGTGCCACAAGTCATATGCCTTCAGAATGCATATTGGACCTTTCAGAGCCCATAATCAAGGCACTCTGTTATGATACAGATTCTAGGTAGGCTGCTGTGTCAAAAGGACATCAGTAAGTATGATACAAGCTGTGGCTTAAAGAGTGGCTGTACATTTGAGGCTTGCCTCTTTTCTCTGTGCTTGGATGTATGAAATCAAAGTGTGAATGAGTCTGAGTTAGCCTCCACTCAAAGAAACCATTTTGAATAGAATTAAAGCCTCCCAGCCAACAGCCTGCAAACTGCCATACATATGAATGAGGCCATCTGTTTTAGTCATTTCATGCTGCATAATAAATCATCCCAAAACTAAGTGGCTTAAAACAGCACTAACTTTTTTTTTTTCTCTAGAATATGATATTTGAGTAAGGCTTGGCAGGAATAGCTCAACTCTGCTTTACTTGTTGTCAGCTGGGACAGTTTAAAGGCTGCAGGCTAAAATAATCTGAAGATTCACATATCTCTGGTGGTTGATGCTGACTCTAGAGTGGGTGTGCCAGTTCCTCTTCAGGGAGGACTCTGTGTTGTTTCTCTGGGTGAGCCCATATGGATTTCCTCTCAGCATGGTTGGTTGGTTGGTTGAAAAACAGAGTTCCTAAGAAAAAAAGCAAGGAAGAAACTGTGTAGCCTTTTCTTAACCTAATCTTGAAAATCATGCATTTGGGACAGACCTACCCAAATTCAAGAGGAGGAAAAATGTACCCTCAATGTAGGAGTATTGACATCACAAGGTAAGAACAGCTTATGGCATAAAATATTGGTGTGGCTGTGTTTGGAAAATACAATCCACATAATATCCTAGACTGTCCAGCCCCAACTCACCTGCCAGCTGACTTCAGAGCCTTGAGTGAGCCTATAAGACACCAGTGTTCAAAATGATTCAGCTGATCCCAGGCCAAGATGCCAACCCAACATACTGTAAGCTGATACATGATGGCTGTTTCAAACCTCTATATTTTGAGAGGGCTTGCTATGCACCAAAGAATGATATGGTAATTGATACCCAGAGGCATGGTGCTTTTATGACAAAATCTAATGTGTGTGGTATTGGTTTGGGACCAGTAGGTGAGTAAAGGATCAAAAAGCAATGGAGAAGCTGTTGGAGATGGCTAGAAAAGTAGCAAAGAGAACTGTTAGTGTTGCTGAAAAAAGGGTGAGCAAACTCTAAAGTGGCTGGAAAAGGGATGAAGATTCCTTTAGGCCCTCCATATACAGAACCACAGCTATCACCTTGATAGGATTAGCATTGGTACAATATTTTTACCATCTCAAATATTACTTTTACTCTGACTATAAAACTACATTTGTGGCAAATGCCTTCTAGGGTCCTGAAATCTCTTTATTTTCCAGCAGTTGATCTTCAAATTTTACCCCCTTCAGTAAGGAAACACTGTAATACCTTATCACCTCTGTTGCATTGTAGCTGTTTGCTATTGTAATTCAAGGGGCTGGCATTCTAGTAGCTTCTAACTTAGGCAGTCTTGGGTCTTCTCTTGCACCCAAATCTCCAAAATTATTTTATGAAGTATATATATTTAAATTCTAAAATACAAATGCTATATTTAGTTGAGAGTACTCAGAAGATGAAAAAACATGAAGACTTCTGGGGTAGGAGTCCTCATAATTCTTCTAAAATATGGAATTTGGAATTTGCCTGTTTTTAAGCACGCATACATCTTGGTGCATGTGACAGAAGTTAGTTTAAAATTGCTTACAAAATGGCATACATGATTGAAAGAATGGAGGTAGATTTGGTTCCAGACAGCACTCTGTGGGCTTAAATGATTTTATACCTCTTTCTTAGCTCTGTTAGAATAGGCAGATAGCTAGACATGAGCAGGAGAGGGGATTCCCTGAGAAATGGGAGGTCTGGAAAATGTCACACCCAGAGATCACCCAAAACATGCATGTTAGATATGAGCAGAGGAGAGGAGAAATACCTATGTAGAAGGGAACACTCCTTAAGATACTCAGTAATCATTCATGCTGCAGTTAAAATGTCAGAATGTCACTAGGTGCATGCTGATAAGGGGAAGAGGGCAAAGGAGAGAGGAAATTCCCGACAGATAGGCAGGTGAAATTTGTATCCAACTCCTGGGCCGCCATGCACACCAACTAATACTAAGTGGGGGTTCCACAAACCTGGGGTTGGAACTAGGCAGCAGAGGAGGGGGATGGGGTGGGGCGGGGGGAAGTTGAGGACTTAAGGCAGAAGTGGGAAAACTAAACAAAGGAAAATGCTGAGACTTAAGATAGAGGCAGGAACTTCAAGAAAAAATCTGACACCATAAAAACCCAACGCAGAAGTCTCGGGTTGCTGCTGGCTCACTCCCTTTCAGCAGCCTACTCTGCCTCATATTTCAGAGCGTATTGTGTCTCTAAATAATCCCTCTGCTCAATAAATTATCTCTCTTGTGGAGGGGGTGGGGGGGCAGGGGTTGTAAGTTAGTTGTTTGGCAGAAATCCTTCCCCAAATAAAGCTAAGAATTGAGAATTCCTGCACCTCCGGGTAACAGCTCTATTTCTCTTTCTGTGCTGGCATCAATTCCTTCCTACTTCATGCCTATTTCCTCCTTGTTTAATATCCTTCTAGTATATCAATACCAGAAAATAAAGGTTATATTTCTTGCTAGTGATAACAGAAAATGTAGAGGGATAGGACTCTGGATTTTCTTGAATTACATGCCCGTCTTTCACCAATCACTGTATCCAGGAGAATTAAATGCTCAGAGGTTGTCCTGGATCACATATCTACTTACACCTGTAGTGAGAAGGAAGAATCAGGCTCATCAGAGCATTATAGCCTACAAATAAGGAAGAACTGGCTCCCCAAAGGAATGCTGGAGAGATATACAATCATGTCTGCTCCAACTTCAAACTTTGTCATATCTGGTATCCCAATTATGTCTCTTAACCATTTAACTATGTCTGTCTTCTCTTCTCACTATCTTTGGATGGACAACTCACTGAGAGATCTTGGCTGCCTTTATATCCCTGAGATATTGCAGCTCACATTGGCCTCCAGTGCCCTGAGCATGGGCACACTACCATGCCTAATTGATTTTAAGGATGGCAAATCTTTGCCCAGCCCTCAGCTCTCCCTTTCTGTGGGAGATTATGGTCTACAATCTGAAAAAATAATGGAAGCAAAGAAGAGGTTGATGAGTGGCAAGGTTTAAATAAAAAGAAAATACAGTTGAGTTATAACAGTTCACATTCTAATCTTCTTACTCACAAACTTCACTTTTGTTGTCATTGTTGTTTTGTTTTGTTTTGTTTTCTAACCACTACACCACCAGGGAATTCACAAGCTTCATTTTTGAAGGCATGCTCCCATAAAGGTGACTTCATTATTCATCAAAATTTTCCTCTGTAATGTCATGCGTAAACCTATTCCTCTGCTTAATTCATGTGGATCACTGGGAGTGGGACCATGGGCAAAAACTTCCATAGATGAAATAACAAAAGCTATGACAGTAAAATCTATTATATTATGAAATGATGGATTATGATTTCAGAGTTCTTTTTAGATAATGTTTAATTGAATTAGTTTAAATAAATATTTTTATAGACTTACCTTCTCAAGCAAAGAAGTTACTCTGAATCTCTGGGAACTAATTGGGGTTTAGGATTAAGTTGGGCAGGGGATACATATATACATGTGTGCTTGTGCGTGTGTGGAGAGGTTGTGAGTAGATGGAGAGAGTTTTAATGTATTTATTAAACTTTATAAATGGAAGTAATTCCTTTAAGTGAACAAGATAAAGTTGAGCAAAGAAAAAATATTATATTGTTCAAATATATTGGCTGATTAATGTGCACTATAATTGATTATTCAGACACTAAAAGGGTCAGAACAAGCCAACTACAAATATTAACATAGCTTAACTAAAATTAATCATTAATTCTTGAAGAAATATCAAGAGATATGCACAAAGACTCATTTTATATGCTTTCTGCTAATGCCAAAGAAAAAGGAGATTCAAGTGATAAAAGGTAGTTAAAAGGATAATATCTGCTTTGCCCATACTTTGTGCTTGATTTCATCTAGTCATGATTTTGATATTATCAGGCCTTTCCTTCAAATCTCTCCATCAATGTACAAACACTTTTGATGAATATGCCCTTGATGTTTCATTTGCATTACCCTTCCTTGTAACACTAATAACAACTGCTATATATTTTTTTTATTTTTTATTTTTTATTTTTATTTTTTGGAGACAGAGTCTCGCACTGTCGCCCAGGCTGCAGTGCAGTGGCATGATCTTGGCTCACTGCAACCTCCAAAAAACAAGTATATCATAAAACTCTCTCTGTTTTTTCTTATATGAAGTGTCATTACTTTGGGAAAGCAATATATAAATAAAGGTAGCATTCAAGCATTGGGACTCATTTTAATTATTCTATGATGATTTCCACAGAGCTTCCACAGGCTATCAAAATGCAGTCTAATCTTCCAGCAAGATATAAACTTGTGAACTTTCAGGTACCTCTTGGTTTTGTCTCCCACTCCTACACAATGAGTTTGTGAAGGCTGGAAAGGAACCTTGTTTTACTCAACTTTCAAACTATCGTATTGCTGTGGCAAAAAAAAGTTCAAGTGTGAGTTGCTAAATATATATTTTTGTGGGTTTACAAATGTATACATACAAAACCACATGTTTGTTCAAGTCCACCACTAGTCAATAAGGAGAATGTACTAAAAATAAGGTTACATTGTCTCTAGTATACACCAAAGTGTTTCTTTTCTATTTCTATTTTGCAGTAAATAAACCCAGTCAGGCCTTGAGAAAAATTGTAAATCTAGGAAAGCTAGGATTTAGTGTTCATAGTCTTTCCATGCATTGTCTTTTGGTGAACCAAATGCTTCTTTCTCTCTTTCTCTTTCTTTTTCACTAAGAATCCCATGGCTAACATAAGTCCTTGCCTACCCACTTTTCTCCATCAAAATTTATTTATTTCAATAAACATACATTGGATACCTTATGTTCCAAAGACAGTATTAGGCACATGGTATAAAAATCTTACCTAATAATATCTATAGTCTACTATGAAATAGATTTCATTATTGAGGCATAATACCACTGGTTAATTTGGTTTCTGTTTTAAATTCCATATTTTATTTGTGCACATTCAAAAGCAAAATATTTCCTTTCACTCACTGTGATTGCTATTTTGTTTTTGTAGAAACAAATAAAATCAAATGTAGTTCATATAGTACTTCTTTTTTTCTAAGGCAGCACCAGATGACATAAGTTGGAAAACTGCATAGAACAAACTCTGAAAAAATTAAAATGCATAAATAATTTTTTCTACGCCTTGCTTAATGTCACAAACGCTCATGAAGTATGGTATAAGTACCAAAAAGACATTCTGCATAAGAACTTCCCAGCCTTGAATATATTTTTAGTTACCTTTTCCATTAGGACTATAAAAATATTACAAATTTTATAAGATATCCTTAAGTGAATAACTTTGCATGGTTTTAAAATGATGTCTACAATCAATGTTACAATTCAATGGACTAAAATGATTAAAACCTGGAACATTTGTTTGCTTATAATACTTTTTGCCAGGAAGCTCTTGAGTGTGTATACGAATTTTAAGTTTGCATTACTGTTTTACTCATCGATATGTGAGAGGTGATTTATTTGAACTACATATAGATGAGTAGGAATAATATTTGGAATCACAGTTAAAAATTATTTCCAATTTACAGCCTATTTTGGTCACCTGGGTCAAAATAGAGCAAAACTCATCATCTGCTTTATTTGAAACTTAATTACTCTGATCATTGTAGGCAGACAATTCAAGTAACTTAGGATGACCTATGATGTTTGTTTGTAAAGTGAATTATTTTGCTTAAATTATTTGACAAATTGGTTTTAACTGCATTATGTCATAATGTGTTCCATCTAAAAACATCCCCACTGGATATGTATGACCTATCAAACAAGCCCATTTTGTCTGTAACTGTAATGTTTTCCCAATTTAATCTGGCACAAATCACAGATCAATATTTATGAACCCTAGAATATAGATTATTCCCAGCATATATATGCATATTTGTGATATTTAATGTATATTTTTTGTCTCTCCCCCATAAAATGAGACTCATAGTTTTGTTCACTGCAGTATATCCAATGTCTAGAACATTGCTTGCCATGAGTAAGCTTTCATGAGTTGTTATGAAAGAAACACAGGAAGAAGAAAGACAGAAAGGAAGAAAGCAAGCTAGCAAGCAAACAGGATTGATGAATCTCTTCTCAAGGATCTAGGATTGAGGGGACGCTTGTGTGATTATTAAACTTCCACCCTGAGTTCTCTACTAGTTCTGTATCTGTAAGCTCAGAAGATATAAGGTTGGCAGAAAGAAACTGCTCTTAGATCTGGGAATTCTCAGCCAAAAGGTCATAACTTATATGGTAGTATTTTTCCTACTCTTGAGGGATAATCAAGCATGGTTAATTTATGTTGACCTCTCAGTGAGCAGAACTCTGTGGGCATATCATTTATGTCTCCTGCTCCTGAGTTTTCTTCTTTTTTTTTTTTAACCAACCAATGGTCCAAACAGTAGTATTTACAAAGTACTGCTATGCATCAGGAATATAAATCATAGCAGTAAATATTTCAGAAATATCAGAGTTTGTAGGAAACTTAGAAGTCTACCCACCAGTCAAGAATTTCAATGACTTCTATAAAATATTCCATACTTGGTACTACTTGAGACAATCTATTCCATTTCGAAAAAAATAATCATTAGAAATGTCTTTCTTACACTGAGAAACAGTGGGGGTAACATGATATCCTCATAATTTCCATTGTGTTTGACTCAGTGGAAAAATACCAGAAAAATAGCATCTATACCTAAACCTGGCTTTGCTATTTGCTGTTATCCATCTGAAATTGAGTACATGGCAATTCTCAAGAAGTAATTAATAGTTTTTTTCATATTATAAAACAATGAATTCCCCAAGAGACAAAGTTGTTTCAACTGATGAGGCAATCAAAATAGAAAAGTGAAGATGTCCAAAGCAGATTTTGACTATTGTTTCCAGGAAGCCCTGGATAACACCATCTACCTGTTGCTGAAAAATTTGTAACTATTAGTGAGTTTCCAGTAAACTATACTTACTGTTGGTGGATAAATCCTTCAAAATTACAAATAATATAGGCTGCAGCACCTTAATTAGAGAATTTTTCCAGCTGTTATTTCTACCATATTACATAATGCTATCATACTAAGTTGCAGTAAAATAAATGAGTAGATGTTTGTGGTCTTCTATCTAATCTTCCTACATTCTCATCTATATAGGATAACTACTATGTCTGTAATCTACACAGGATAACTACTATGTCTGTATTTTCCTTCAAATCAATCTCCCACAAACTTTTCAAATATGTTCCCCAAAATTCTTTTTTTTTTTTTTTGTTTTGAGATGGAGTCTTGCTCTGTCACCCAGGCTAGAGTGCAGTGGCGTAATCTCGGCTCACCGCAACTTCTGCCACCCGGGTTCAAGTGATTCTCCTGCCTCAGCCTCCTGAGTAGCTGGGATTACAGGCACATGCCACCACACCCGGTTAATTTTTGTATTTTTAGTAGAGACGGGGTTTCAGCATCTTGGCCAGGCTGGTCTTGAATTCCTGACCTCGTGATCCACCCATCGCGACCTCCCAAAGTGCTGGGATTACAGTCATGAGCCACTGTGCCTGGCCCCCAAAATTCTTAATTTTCATGATACAGTAAAATAATAAATTATAATAAGAAGGAAATGAATAACATCAATAACAGTGACTCACAGTGCTATTTACTCTTCTAAAGAATCCATTTTATAAATTAAAAGTTCATGGCACAAGTTGGATAAAAACTAACTTGTCCTTTGTATTCTCAAGTAATTCACTAAATATTTTATCCTACTTGCCTCAATCAAAAATTATTTTCCTTTCAAAGATCCTGCTGCCTCTAAAATATTCTCAAGAAAATTCTATTTTTTTTTTATTCTACATGTACCTTTGAGCTTTTTCTGGGAATAGTGTTGGATTTTCCAAACTTCATTGTTTAGTATGTTAATCTTTCACTCTCAGAAAAAAAATCTACCACACTGAAGTCGTTGCCATTCAATAAAGGGTACCGTCTCTTCTTGAACTCAATGTTACCGATTTTTCTTAGAGTCAGAATGATTACTGAATCATCCAGGATTCTTTGAAGACTTTTGGACCTGGATAGATTCTTCCCTGCACCTCAAATTATGTCATTACCTTATGTGATTTCACCAGCCTTATGACTCACATTTCCAGCCATATTGCCTTTCAGATCCATGGATTCTCATAATACTAATCTATAAAGTCATGATACTCATCTCCATTTTAACTTGGCCTCTAATGTTTGTTGTACTGCCCTATATCTTGGTGAGCAAAATGTTTTATTGTTAAAATTCTAAGTTCCAAGATAATATCTTACATTTTTATCCTGATACCTCAATCTGTTTTTTCTATTATATCAAGACTACAGTTCCTTGACTATCCCATTTCATCATCTAATATCTATCTATCTCTCTATCTGCATATCTATTTATCACCTAGCCATCCATCCATCCATCAATATATAAACTACTTTCTGTCTAGACTTTCTTCTATACCCAGCTAGATTACACAGTACACCATTTAAGCCATAAGTCAGAAAATATCTTCATGTCATGTTTTCTGTTTCCCTGGCAGAGCCACAAATCTAGACCAAGTTCTTTAAATGTATCTAATATAACATGATTATTAAACTTTGTATTGATAATCTAGATAAAGAAGATTATAAAAACAGAGCTTTAAAGTATAGGGCAAAAGCCAGGTGTGGTGGCTCCCACCTGTAATCCCAGCCCTTTGGGAGGCCGAGGTGGGTGGATCACCTAAGGTCAGGAGTTTGAGACCAGCCTGCCAACAGGGTGAAACCCCATCTCTACTAAAAATACAAAAATTAGCTGGGTGTGGTGGGGTGCCTGCAATCCCACTTTCTCTACTCGGGAGGCTGAGGCAGGCGAATCACTTGAACCCCGGAGGCGGAGGTTGCAGTGAGCTGAGATCGCGCCACTGCATTCCAGCCTGGATGATGGAGCAAGACTCCGTCACAAAAAAAAAAAAAAAAAAAAAAAGAATAGGCAAAAAGGACACTTAAGCAGGATTTAACATTAACATACTAGGGCAGATGATATTTTATACTAACAATAAGATTAATTCTTATTATCTATTTTGAAAACAACACAGTTGGAAATGTAGGGATTTGATTTTAATTGTTCAATCTTATCATTTACTTAATTAAAATTCTATTTTGTGGGGGGTCATTTTCCAACTGGATTTGTTATTTTTAGTGCACATTGTCTGAAGTTTATAATATAAATGAAATAGTCGATATTTTTTGCAAAATAAGTAAGAAAAGTAAATGTTACTTGATGAATAATTTTGAAGATTATACAGTGTAAAATAATTGGTAAATAAAAGCACAGTTTTATTACTTTCTTTAGTCTTTATTGAGCAAATATCAAATGAGTGGCCACAACATGCTAGATATGCTTCTATGTGCTATGAATTGAACAATGAGAAATTTAGAAATTAAAGTCATAGATTTTACAAAAATTATGATATAGTATTTGGAAGACAGAAACATAAACTAATAGAAAACCTACACATTTTCATATAGTTTTAAGTTCTATGGAATGAGAAAATAATGTTATGTAGTAGATAATTTGATATTATAAAAAGGTGACCTTTTATTTGTTGATCAAAAGGCCTCTATTAGAATTGTTACATGTGAGTTGAAAGCTGAATTTCAATAAAAATCATTTGAAAATCTGGGAAAGGTTATCCAGTCAGACAAAATAAATTGCACAGTGTCCCTAGGAAGGGAGAGAAATTGGTTTGGTCAAACAATAAATGAAGATCCATTTGTTAGGGGTATGGTGAATATGAAGAAAAGTTACATAAAATGAGATCTTGATAACTAGGTAGAGTCTAGATATGTTAGAGGCCATGGTGGATGGTTAGAATTATTCTAAATTCATTGGCTGTATGGATGAATGATAGACAGAAAGCAAGATATTCTAATAAGAGTTATGTAGGACATTCTTTTACTTCATTTAATACATGTTTAAAATGAGGTTTATAGAAGTGTAGAGTGAAGTAACTAATTTTAGGTAATGTATGATATCAGCTTAGCTATGAACAAAATTTCTAAAATATGGGATATATCTAAAGGAAATTTTGAAATATATGTAGTTTAATAGAGCTAGTCAATAAATGGTTCCAGAATAGCCACATCTTGTGGCTATTCATATGGGAAAATAAAAAAAAAATGTGTTTTTTTCCCATCACACTAAATTAAAAAAAAGATTCAAGATCCAAATGTGAAAAATAATAAAATGTAAAGCCTTTAGAATACATACAGTAGACAATTTTTATAACAATGAGTGGGTAGAACATTTTGTAAAATGTAGAAAACATAACTCATAAAGCATATAATATAATTATGCTAAAATTTAAATGCCTGTATAAAAAAGATCCCTTGACAATATAAAAATTTATTTGACTGACTTTCAGAAAGCACCTGCAAAGCACATAATTAGTAAGAAATTAACATACAAAAAATAAAAAGACATTCTAACAGGTAAAAAGCAAAAGAAGTGAAGGGCAACTCACAAAAATGAAAACCAAAATATTGCTGGACACTGAAAATAATAAAAGGAAAATTAATTTAGTAGTATTTCATATAAGCCACTTTGATGAAAATGTAAAATAAATATAAATTGATTTTTATACCATTCATATATATCACTTTAATCAACATGGTGAGGAAATGAGAAATATGAGCTCTCATAAATTGCTTTTGAGAGTGCAAATTGCCACAGCCATTTCTAAAAAATAATTAGCAAAATCTGGACAAACTGGTGATAAGATTACCCCATGACTTAGCAATCCCACTTTTACATTTATTCTGGAGAGAAGCTGTTAAAAATTTATACTTGTAGAAATGTACAAAGGTATTTGTTTCACTATTATTAATAAATGTGAAGACCAAAACTAATCTAAATATCTAACAATAAAGGAATTAATGTATGAATCATGGTTTATTCACAAGATAAAATACTATACTGGAGCTAAAACAAGTAAACTAGTTTTCTACTTATCATGGATAAATCTGAAATATATTTTTTGTGTCAAAAATATGTTGCAAAAATGCATGTCATTACATCACTTCAATGTACTACATACTGCCATTAAAATGATAAAATATGTATAAAAATAATGTAAATGGCTTTAGGATAATGACTTTTTTTTTTTTTCTTGAGACAGAGTCTCGCTCTGTCACCAGGCTGTAGTGCAGTGGCGTAATCTCAGCTCACTGCAACCTCTGCCTCCCAGGTTCAAGCAATTCTCCGGCCTCAGCCTCTCAAGTACCTGGGACTACAGGCATGCGCCACCAAGCCCAGCTAATTTTTGTATTTTTAGTAGCAACAGAGTTTCACCATGTTGGCCAGGATGGTCTTGATCTCTTGACCTCGTGATCTGCCCGCCTCAGCCTCCCAAAGTGCTGGGATTACAGGCGTGAGCCACCGCGCCCAGCCAGGATAATGACTTTCTTTGGGGAGTGAAAAAAAAGGCTATCTTGATGGAGACTTTAACTTGTGACTATTATTTCAAAAACAAAACCAAACTAGAGCCTGATTCAGTGTGGCATGATGCTATTATTTATTAGTTCTTGATTTATATACATATATGTTTATCATGTTGTGGCCTGTATATTCTAAATAAGGGGTAGTAATAATCAACACATTGAAGGTTTTACTCCAAAATGTATAACAACCACATAATATAACACCAGTATTTTTTGTCATAGTTGGATCTATTTAGATTGGTGTAGGCTATATTAATATAGATATCAGTCCAAAGCGAAGACCTACAATTAAATACTAAAGCATGTTGATGGCAGTTGTAAATAATAGAGGAAGGAAGAACTTGACAGGGCTCCGAATCATCTAGCTAAAAATGTTTAGTTTGAATTTGGATGTAATAGTAAAGGTTCTGGGAAGATATGCCTTTTGTAAAGATATCTTCAAGTTAGGTTATTTTATGGTGCTGTAACAAACCACTCCCTGCTCTTAGAAGCATGTCCAGTGTAGTTTGGCAGGAAGGCTCTGCTTATCAGTGCCATGGATATTGGCTGACAGTAGGTCAGCCAATTTACAACCCCATCATCTCAATAAAGGTCTTTAAGAATAGAAAGAGAACACAGACAACTCTTTCACTGGCTCTTAAACATTTCCACCTGGAAGTGAATAACATTTCATGAGCCAAAGTAAGACACATAGCCAGTTCTAATTTAGAGTAGCAAGTATAATCATCTTATCTGCCTAGAATGTCAAGATAATTGAAAATATTAATGAGTACTACCAATATCTACCATAAGAGATTTGTGAAATATTTGTATTTTGGAGGTATAAATGGATGAGATTGTCTACAGAGGTAAAAAGTGCATTGATTTAAAAAAACTCTATATAAATACTAATTTCTAGCAGACATTCTCTAGAAGAATAATGCACCCTTTCTAATAAAGGTGATTGAAATCTCCTTTTGGATAAAGGTAATAGAGATCTTCTGCTAATAAACATGTGAAAGCCAACTAGAAAAGGAAAATATATAAAAGCAAGAAAAATCTTAAGTAGCTAAAATAATAAATGTTCATTGAATAATTGAAGTAATGTTATATACAATTTTTAAAATTGAAATTTTGGTTAGTATGATGTCAATTTTGAAATAATAAAAATCACAACAATAATGCAGAAAAGCTAAAAGTCTTAAATGGGTCAAGGATGAGGATATAAAGTTTTTAAAATATCATTAATAATTGCTTATTAGTTATCAAAAACCCACAGATTTCATAAATGTATACCAATACACCTTATTTCTGTTTCCTTTTCTGTTTTTTTTTTTTTTTTTTTTGAGACAGGGTCTTGTTCTTTCGCCCAGGCTGGAGTACACTGGCAGGATCTCAGCTCACTGCAAGCTCTGCCTCCTGGGTTCATGTGATCCTCCCACCTCAGCCTCCCCAGTAGCTGGGATTACTGGCAGGCACCACCAAGCCTGGCTAATTTTTGTATTTTTAGTAGAGTTGTGGTTTCACCGTGTTGGCCAGGCTGGTCTCAAACTCCTGACCTCAAGTGATCCACCCACCTCAGCCTCCCAAAGTTCTGGATTACAGGTGTGAGCCACTGCTCCCAGCCTTGATATACCTTATTTCTTTTTTTTTTTTTTTTTTTTTTTTTTTTTTTTTTTTTTTTTTTTTTTTGAGACGGAGTCTCGCTCTGTCGCCCAGGCCGGACTGCGGACTGCAGTGGCGCAATCTCGGCTCACTGCAAGCTCCGCTTCCCGGGTTCACGCCATTCTCCTGCCTCAGCCTCCCGAGTAGCTGGGACTACAGGCACCCGCCACCGCGCCCGGCTAATTTTTTGTATTTTTGGTAGAGAAGGGGTTTCACCTTGTTAGCCAGGATGGTCTCGATCTCCTGACCTCATGATCCACCCGCCTCGGCCTCCCAAAGTGCTGGGATTACAGGCGATATACCTTATTTCTTAATTCAAGTTAAATTTACTTCCAAGTTTTAAGAACCATAACAATTAAAAATCAACAGCCGTGTGCGGTGGCTCACGCCTGTAACCTCAGCACTTTGGGAGGCTGAGGCGGGCAGATCACCTGAGGTCGGGAGTTAGAGACCAGCCTGACCACCATACATGGAGAAACCCTGTCTCTACTAAAAATACAAAATTAGCTGGCCGTGGTGGCACACACCTGTAATCCCAGCTACTCGGGAGGCTGAGGCAGGAGAATCGCTTGAACCCATGAGGGAGAGGTTGTGTTGAGCCGAGATCTCACCATTGCACTCCAGCCTGGGCAACAAGAGCAAAACTCCGTATCAAAACAAACAAACAAACAAACAAAAACAGTCAATATTATCTTTTAACAAAACCATGCCTAAATCTTCTATTATTTACTAGATGTTTGAATTTGAGCAATTAGCATAGCATATATAAATCTTAATTATTTAATTGTTTAAATGGAGCTAAAATTTTATGGTAATGATTGAAATGTTACACATACAATGCTAGACATATAATGTTAATTTCTTATATCCTCTCATGCAATAACTTGGTGAACATTCAATATTTATTTCCTTGATTTACTATCTTGTTAATCATTTTGTGAATTTCAGTTATATCTATTGCAAACAGTTGCTTTTTCAGAGAACATAGCTCTCTTTTTTTGTTGTTGGATTATTATTATTAATATTTAAATTTATGTTCATATATACCAGCTTTTCTGCAAGCTGGTTACAAGGTGACCATTTTATTATTTTAAGTAAAGTTTACAATGATGGGACCAAGAATGTGTAATTTAATGGAGAATTGTCAGAGGAAGTTTATATGTTTTCACTGAAAGAAAAGTGGAACTAAATGGAACTTCACTTTTCCATTTAGTTATCCCATGACCTTAAGCGAGTTGCATGCTCTTAGAGATTATTGCCTCATTTGTAAAATATGAAAGGATGAACTATATGATCTTGAAATTTCATCTAGTTCTTTTATTCTGTAATTTCTGTGGACTGCTAGTCTAATGTCATTCTCTAGGTTGTTATCTTTTATTTGATTAAATATGTGAATTTCTTCTATATTTTTTAGAATGAGTTTCTTCTATTAAGTTGTACTGAATCAGATCTCTAGTCTACATTGTTAGAACATATAGAAGACATAAAAATAGCATATTCCATCTGTTTATGATGTTTTTAAATGAAAGATGCAAATGAAAGAATTTGCTAATAGAGCACATCATGTTCACATATCTTTTTCATATTGATACCAATAAAAATTTCACAATGTCACAATTAGGAACAGAATAAATATATTTTTCTGCCTGGGGTCTATGTAAGGCCATTACCATGATTTGCATTAACCATTAATTTCTTTTGTAATCATCCATTATTTCAATTATTTGTTTAATAAAATTTCTAAATCCAAGGAAATTTTACAGTTTCTCTCTATACAAATGAATTCAACCTATCCCTCAGGTTTTTATTTTCCATGAAATGAGTATATATAATTAATTTTAATATGACACTCTTATTATCACAGTTTACAATTTTTCATGTAATCTGATTTAGAAATGTTGAACAATGAAGTTATAATCCAAAGGAATACTGACATTAGTGTCCTCAGCAGATATTGTCTCTGAAATTTATTTGGATGAAATAACATTAATGACATGAGCCCCAGGTCATTTTTCTCATCTTAATGCTAATATCTAGTCAGATCCCTCTAAAAAATATTTTATTGACCAACTGAAATAAATAATGCCAAAGCACTTTTTCAGTTGTACCGTGTTAAGATATTAAGTAGGATTGAAAATAATTTAAATAAGCTATATTGTTGGTTGTTAGTGCTTAGTGATTGAAGGAGGGCTCAAAGGACCTCTGGGACCTGGTTGGTTATGGTCTGAATGTGTCCCCTAAACGTCATATGTTGAAACTTAATTGCCCCTGTTTTGTGGAGGTGATTAAGTGCTGAGGGTTTTCCCTTCATAAATGAGATTACTGACCTTATAAAAGAGATGTGATGGATCTGTTCATCTATTGTATGTGAGGATATAGCAAAAAATCCTGTCTTGGAAGCAGAGAACTGTCCTTACCAGACACTGAATCTTCTGGCACCTTGATCTTGGTCTTCTCAAACTCCAGAAATGTGAGAAATAAATTTATATTATTTATTAGTTACCTAGTCTGTGATATTTTGTTATAGCATAAGGAACAAACTGAGACCATGGTAAAAATGGGAACAGAGGTATGGAATAACAATATGGGCAGTTTTGGGGCCTTTGAGAAGTGTGCTTAGGACTTAAATTATTCAGCTGAGATCCTTCCTCTAGCCTTCCCCAATGGAACTTATGTCTTTTTTTTTTTTTTTTTTTTTTTTTTTTTACCACGGTAACTGTCTGTTGGGGAAAAGAAAATAATCAGGCTCTTTTGGAACTACGGGACAGAGGTTCTGAACTGACACTAATTCCAGGAGACCCAAAATGTCACGGTGGCCCACCAGTCAGATGAGGGGCTTATGGCGATCACTGATCAATGGTGTTTTAGCTCAGGTCTGTCTCCTGGTAGGCTCAGTGAGTCCCACAGTGATTTCCTAAATCAATTCTGTGGTTATTTCTCTAGTTTCAGAATGAATAATTGGAATAGACATACTCAGCAGCTGGCAGAATCCTCAAATTGGTTCCCTGACCTGTGGAATAACATCTGTTACAGTGGAAAAGGCCAGTGGCAGAAACTAGAATTGCATCTACCCCGGAAAACAGACACACACACACACACACACACACACACGCACATATTTCTGGAGGGATTGCAGAAATTAATACCACTATCAAGTGTTTGAAAGATGCAAAATGGTGATTCCCATCACATCTCCGTTCAGCTTACCTATTCAGTGAGTTCATGTCACCAAACACCACCTGATTCCTAAAAACCTATTGAAATGAGAAAGAGTTTTCTAAAAATATTATGAAAATATACTTTCATTCTTCAAGATCTGTTTTCTTTAGAGGCCAAATAGGTGAGTTGAATTATGTCAAATAGAGGTGGTGAGAGTGGCCATCCTTGTCTTGTTCTAGATTTCAATGGAAGTGCTTTCAACTTTTCCCCATTCAGCATTATACTAGCTATGGGTTTCTCATAGATGGCTTTTATTAAATTAAGGCATATCCCTTCTATGCTGATTTTGTTGAGGGTTTTAATCATAAAGAGTTGCTGAATTTTGTCAAGTGCTTTTTCTGTATCTATCGAGATGATCATGTGATTTTTGTTTTTAATTCTGTTTATATGGTGTATTGCATTTATTGATTTATGTGGGTTAAACCATCCTTGCATCCCTGGTATGAAACCCACTTGATCATGGTGGATTATCTTTTTGATATGCTGTTGGATTCAGTTAACTAGTATTTTGTTGAGGATTTCTTTATCCATGTTCATCAGGGATATTGGTCTGTAGTTTTCTTTTTTGGGTATGTCCTTCCTTGGTTTTGGTATTAGGGTGATACTGGCTTTGTAGAATGATTTAGGGAGGATTCTCACTTTCTGTCTCTTGTGGAATAGTGTCAACAGGATTGGTACCAATTCTTCATTGAATGTCTGGTAGAATTCAGCTGTATCTGTCTGGCTCTGGACTTTTTTTGTTGTTGTTGTTGTTGCTGGCAATTTTGTTATTACCATTTCAATCTTGCTGCTTGTTATTGATCTGGTCAGGGTTTCTAATTCTTCCTGTTTTAAGCTAGTAGGGTTGTATATTTCCAGGAATCCATCCATATCCTCTAGCTTTTCTAGTTTATGTGCATAAAGGTGTTCATAGCAGCTTTGAATGATCTTTAGTATTTCTGTGGTGCTGGTTGTAATATTTCCCATTTTGTTTCTTTTTTATTTTTTGAGACAAAATCCCACTCTGTCGCCCAGGATGGAGTGCAGTGGCATGATCTCAGCTCAATGCAAACTCTGCCTCCTGGGTTCAAGTTATTCTCCTGCCTCAGCACCCCCTGCAGTAGCTGGAATTACAGGTGCACACCACTATGTCTGGCTAACTTTTTGTATTTTTAGTAGAGATGAGGTTTCACCATGTTGGGCAGGCTCATCTCAAACTCCTCACCTCAGGTGATCTGACCACCATGGCCTCTCAAAGTGCTGGGATTACAGGCATGCACCACAATGCTCGGCCCTCCCATTTTGTTTCTAATTGAGCTTATTTGGATGTTCTCTCCTTTTCTTGGTTAATCTTGATGATGGTCTATCAATTTTATTTATCTTTTCAAAGAACCAGCTTTTTGTTTCATTTATCTTTTGTTTTGTTTTTGTTGTTGTTTGTTTCTTTCAACTTTATTTAGTTCCTCTTAATCTTGTTATTTCTTTTCTTCTGCTGGATTTGGGTTTGGAATGTTCTTGTTTCTCTAGTTTTATGAGATATAACCTTAGATTGTCTATGTGTGCTCTTTCAGGCTTTTTGATGTAGGCATTTAATGCTATGAACTTTCTTCTTGGCACCGCTTTTGCTGTGTCCCAGATGTTTTGATAGGTTGTGTCACTATTATTGTTGAGTTCAAAGAGTTTTTAAATTTTCATCTTGATTTCATTGTTAGCCCAATGATCATTCAGGAGCAGGTTATTTAATTCCCATGTATTTGCATGGTTTTGAGGGTTCCTTTTGGAGTTGATTTCCAACTTTATGCCACTGTGGTCTGACAGAGTACTTGCTATAATTTCAATTTTCTGAAATTTGTTGAGATTTGTTTTGTGGTCTATCATATGGTCTATCTTGGAGAATGTTCCATGTATTGATGACTAAAATGTATATTCTGCAATTGTTGGGTAGAATGTTCTGTAAATATCTGTTAAGTACATTTGTTTTTGGGTATAGTTTAATTCCATTGTTTCTTTGGTGACTTCCTGTCTTAATGATTTGTCTAGTGCTGTCAGTGGAGTAATAAAATCCCCCACTATTATTGTGTTGCCTTCTATCTCATTTCTTAAGTCTAGGAGTAAGTGTTTTGTAAATTTGGGAGCTTCAGTGTTAGGTGCATATATATTTAGGATTGTGATATTTCCTGTTGGACAAGGCCTTCTATCATTATATAATGTACCTCCTTGTCCTTTAAACTCCTGTTGCTTTAAAGATTGTTTTGTCTGATATAAGAATAGCTACTCCTATTCACTTTTGGTGTCCATTTGCATGCAATGTCCTTTTCCACCCCTTTGTCTTAAGTTTATGTGAGTTCTTATGTGTTAGGTGAGTGTCCTGAAGACAGCAGAAATGTGACTGGTGAATTCTTATCCATTCTGCCATTCTGTATCTTTTAAATGGAGCATTTAGGCCATTTACATTCAATGTTAGTATTGAGATGTGAGTTTCTATTGCATTCATTGTGCTATTTGTTGCCTGAATACCTTGTTTTTTTCATTGTGTTATTGTTATAAAGGTCCTGTGAGATTTATGCTTAAGGACATTCTACTTTGGTGTATTTTGAGGATTTGTTTTGAGATTTAGAGCTCCTTTTATCAGTTCTTATAGTTTTGACTTGGTAGTGGCAAATTCTTTAAGCATTTGTTTGTCTGGAAAAGACCATATCTTTCCTTCCTTTATGGAGCTTAGTTTTGCGGTATACAAATTTCTTGGCTGGTAATTGTCTTGTTTAGAGAGGCTAAAAATAGGATCCCAATCCCTTCTAGCTTGTAGAGTTTCTGCTGAGAAAACTGCTGTTAATCTGATAGGTTTTCCTTTATAGGTTACCTGATGGTAACCAAGTATGCATTCATAGTCACACATGACTATCAAAATAGAGACTCCTTTATCTATATTTTTCTAATACCACTTGGGAACTTATCAGAGATGAAAGGTCTCTCAGTATTTTATTTTTACTTAGAATAAAGAAGTTTTTATCCATTCAGAAAAAAACTTTTAATGCTAAAGTAATTCATGACTAAATATTAATTATATTAATTTTGCTACTAACAGGTCAGAGGTTGAGCTCTATATAAAACATTCTCTCCATAATAAGAGGTTTTCATTTTTTAAGAAACCTCCCTACATTCAGTACTTTAGGGCAATAATCTCTCAGAACGTGTATTTACTATTTATTATTCTATTATTTCTCAGATTATTGCTGGACAATTTATAAGTGAGCCCTCCTGATACTATTTTTTAATGAAGATGCCACATACGCAAATCCTATTTTATAATGTGGATAAAAGAAGAAGTGGTAAACTGTATTATAAAATGAGTCTTCACTTTACAAAAAGCTTTATCTAAGATTCTTCATGCAATGATTTTCTACATGGTCATTTTTTGTTTGCACTCAGATAAATAAACAGCTGCAGTCAAGGGCTGAGAGGCATAGATAATTACATGCAGGATATACGTTATATAATCCATCCAAAATGAAGATAAGGCAATCTGAAATGAGAGGTTTTTGTCTCCCGAGACAATAATTTGTACAGGAAAATAAACATTTTTTGGTTGTTTCCTGGAATATATCTAATTGTGAAAATAAAACACACTTGCCAATGATATGACTATCATTTCACAGTATGACAACAAACCCTCCATCTAAACTACTTAGGGAATCCCTAACTGATCCCCTGCCCCACCCCCCACCCCGCTGACCCTTGTCCATTATATCCCTTAGTTGAAATAAAGCAGGAAGTCCTTACTATTCACAAAAAGTTTTCATTTTGATTGTCAGAAACTCAAGATTATGCTTGAGTTTACTCTCCCTATTAGAATGTGAGCCTTATATGGTTAAGGACTTTTTTTACCCAGGTTGTTCCCTGCTATATCACTGAGAACAATCCCTGGTTATACATTACATGTTATGTGAGGTAGAATAAGTGAGCTATCATAAAACTGGCTTAAATGATGTCAGTGTGCATTATGGATTCAGTGTAGCCCCTTCGTTTTGGCCAATTTATCCCATTTGAAATGGGAGCATTTATCCAATTCTGTAACCTCATTGTATCTTAGAAGTACCTAACTTGTTTTTGATTTTACAGGCTCGTAGATGGAAGAGGCTGCCTTGTCTCAGATGAAACTTTGGACTTGGACTTTTGGGTTAATGCTGGAATGAGTTAAGACTTAAGGGAACTGTTGGGAAGGCATGGATGGTTTTGAAACATACAAAGGATGTGAGATTTTGGAGTGGCCAGGAATTGAATGATACGGTTTGGCTCTGTGTCCCCACCCAAATCTTATTTTGAGTTGTAATCCCCACTATCCCCACATGTTGAGGGAGACACCCAAAGGGAGGCAGGTACCCCAGTACTGTTTCCCCCATTCTGTTCTCATGATAGTGAGTTCTCATGAGATCTGATGATTTTATAAATCATTGACAGTTCCTTCTTTACATACACTCTCTCTCCTGTTGCCTTGTAAAGAAGATGCCTACTTCCCCTTCACCTTCCACCATGATTGTAAGTTTCCTGAGGCTTCCCCAGCTATGCCAGACTGTGAATTAATTAAACCTCTTTTTTAAATAAATAACCCACTATCTGGTAGTATCTTATTGCAGTGTGAGAACAGACTAATACACCATAGTTCCCCAGGTTTTTTTACAGGTTCTATATCCACCAGTCTATATTGACAGATCCTGTTCTATGAACTGGACCCCACCTTTCTGTTTCCAGCTGCAAATGAAATTCAGTCTTTTTAAAAAGAATAGATAGAGTACACGAATGGCTAACTGGAATAACCAGTGTAGAGAAGTCCTTAAATGACCTTCAATAGCTTCAATATTGACCTTAAAAAGCTTCAATAGCCGATCCAATCAACTGGAAGAAAGGGTATCAGTGATTGAAGATCAAATGAATGAAATGAAGCGAGAAGAGAAGTTTAGAGAAAAAAAGAGTAAAAAGAAATGAACAAAGCCTCCAGGAAATATGGGACTATCTGAAAAGACCAAATCTACATCTGATTGGTATACCGAAAGTGACGGGGAGAATGGAACCAAGTTGGAAAACACTCTGCAGGATGTTATACAGGAGAACTTCCTCAACCGAGCAAGGCAGGCCAACATTCAAATTCAGGAAATACAGAGAACGCCACAAAGATACTCCTAGAGAAGAGCAACTCCAAGACACATAATTGTCAGATTCACCAAAGTTGAAATGAAAGAAAAAATGTTAAGGGCAGCCAGAGAGAAAGGTCGGGTTACCCACAAGGGGAAGCCCATCAGACTAACAGCAGATCTCTCGGCAGAAACTCTACAAGCCAGAAGAGAGTGGGGGCCAATATTCAACATTCTTAAAGAAAAGAATTTTCAACCCAGATCTTCATATCCAGCCAAACTAAGTTTCATAAGTGAAGGAGAAATAAAATCCTTTACAGACAAGCAAATGCTGAGAGATTTTGTCACCACCAGGCCTGCCCTAAAAGAGCTCCTGAAGGAAGCACTAAACATGGAAAGGAACAACTGGTACCAGCCACTGCAAAAACATGCCTAATTTTTATAAAGACTGTCGATGCTAGGAAGAAACTGCATCAACTAATGAGCAAAATAACCAGCTAACATCATAATGACAGGATCAAATTCACACATAACAATATTTAAATGTAAATGGGCTAAGTGCTCCAATTAAGAGACACAGAGTGGCAAATTGGATAAAGAGTCAAGACCCATCAGTGTGCTGTATTCAGGAAACCCATCTCACGTGCAGAGACACACATAGGCTCAACATAAAGGGATGGAGGAAGATCTACCAAGCAAATGGAAAACAAAAAAAGGCAGGGGTTGCAATCCTAGTCTCTGATAAAACAGACTTTAAACCAACAAAGATCAAAAGAGACAAGGCCATTACATAATGGTAAAGGGATCAATTCAACAAGAAGAGCTAACTATCCTAAATATATATACACCCAATACAGGAGCACCCAGATTCATAAAGCAAGTCCTTAGAAACCTACAAAGAGACTTAGACTCCCACACAATAATAATGGGAAACTTTAACACCCCACTGTCAACATTAGACAGATCAATGAGACAGAAAGTTAACAAGGAATTGAACTCAGCTCTGCACCAAGTGGACCTGGACCTAATAGACATCTACAGAACTCTCGACCCCAAATCAACAGAATATATATTCTTCTCAGCACCACATCACACTTATTCCAAAATTGACCACATAGTTGGAAGTAAAGCACACCTCAGCAAATGTAAAAGAACATAAATTATAACAAACTGTCTCTCAGACCACAGTGCAATCAAACTAGAACTCAGGATTAAGAAACTCACTCAAAACCCCTCAACTACATGGAAACTGAACAACCTGCTCCTGATTGAACTGGGTACATAATGAAATGAAGGCAGAAATAAAGGTGTTCTTTGAAACCAATGAGAACAAAGACACAACATACCAGAATCTCTGGGACACATTTAAAGCAGTGTGTAGAGGGAAATTTATAGCACTAAAGGCCCGCAAGAGAAAGCAGGAAAGATTTAAAATTGACACCCTAACATCACAATTTAAAGAACTAGAGAAGCAAGAGCAAACAAATTCAAAAGCTAGCAGAAGGCAAGAAATAACCTAAGATCAGAGCAGAGCTGAAGGAGATAGAGAAAACCCCTTCAGAAAATCAATGAATCCAGGAGCTGGTTTGTTGAAAAGATCAACAAAATTGATAGACCGCTAGCAAGACTAATAAGAAAAGAGAGAAGAATCAAATAGACACAATAAAAAATGATAAAGGGGATATCACCACCAATCCAGCAGAAATACAAACTACCATCAGAGAATAATACAAACACCTTTACGCAAATAAACTAGAAAATCTAGAAGAAATAGATAAATTCCTGGACACATACACCCTCCCAAGGCTAAACTAGGAAGAAGTTGAATCCCTGAATAGACCAATAACAGGCTCTGAAATTGAGGCAATAATTAATAGCCTACCAACGAAAAAAGTCCAGGACCAGACGGATTCACAGCCGAATTCTACCAGATGTACAAGGAGGAGCTGGTACCATTCCTTCTGAAACTATTCCAATCAATAGAAAAATAGGGAATCCTCCCTAACTCATTTTATGAGGCCAACATCATCCTGATACCAAAGCCTGGAAGAAACACAACAAAAAAACAGAATTTTAGACCAATATCCCTGATGAACATCGATGCAAAAATCCTCAATAAAATACTGGCAAACTGAGTCCAGCAGCACATCAAAAAGCTTATCCACCATGATCAAGTGGGCTTCATCCCTGGGATGCAAGGCTGGTTCAACATACACAAATCAATAAATGTAATTCAGCATATAAACAGAACCAAAGACAAAAACCACATGATTATCTCAATAGATGCAGAAAAGTCCTTCAACAAAATTCAACAGCCCTTCAGGCTAAAAACTCTCAATAAACTGGGTATTGATGGGACAAATCTCAAAAAAATAAGAGCTATTTATGACAAACCCACAGCCAATATCATACTGAATGGGCAAAAACTGGAAGCATTCCCTTTGAAAACTGGCACAAGACAGGGATACCCTCTCTCATCACTCCTATTCAACATAGTGTTGGAAGTTCTGGCCAGGGCAATCAGGCAGGAGAAAGAAATAAAGCGTATTCGATTAGGAAAAGAGGAAGTCAAATTGTCCCTGTTTGCAGATGACATGATTGTATTTCTAGAAAACCCCATCGCCTCAGCACAAAATCTCCTTAAGCTGATAAGCAACTTCAGCAAAATCTCAGGATACAAAATCAATGTGCAAAAATCACAAGCATTCTTATACACCAATAACAGACAAACAGAGAGCCAAATCATGAGTGAACTCCCATTCACAATTGCTTCAAAGAGAATAAAATACCTAGGAATCCAACTTACAAGGGATATGAAGGACCTCTTCAAGGAGAACTACAAACCACTGCTCAAAGAAATAAAAGAGGACACAAACAAATGGAAGAACATTCCATGGTCATGGATAGGAAGAATCAATATCACAAAAATGGCCATAATGCCCAGGGTAATTTATAGACTCAGTGCCATCCCCATCAAGCTACCAATAACTTTCTTCACAGAATTGGAAAAAACTCCTTTAAAGTTCATATGGAACCAAAAAAGAGCCCGCATTGGCAAGTCAATCCTAAGCCAAAAGAACAAAGCTGGAGGCATCATGCTACCTGACTTCAAACTATACTACAAGGCTACGGTAACCAAAACAGCATGGTACTGATACCAAAGCAGAGATGTAGACCAATGGAACAGAAAAGAGCCCTCAGAAATAATACCACACATCTACAACCATCTGATCTTTGATAAACCTGACCAAAACAAGAAATGAGGAAAGGATTCCCTGTTTAGTAAATGGTGCTGGGAAAACTGGCTGGCCATATGTAGAAAGCTGAAACTGTATCCCTTCCTTACACCTTATACAAAAATTAATTCAAGATGGATTAAAGACTTAAATATTAGACCTAAAACCTTAAAAACTCTAGAAGAAAACCTAGGCAATACCATTCAGGACATAGGCATGGACAAGGATTTCATTTCTAAAACAACAAAAGCAATGGCAACAAAAGCCAAAATAGACAAATGGGATCTAATTAAACTAAAGAGCTTCTGCACAGCAAACAAAACTACCATCAGAGTGAACAGGCAACCTACAGAATGGGAAAAAATTTTTGCAATCTACTCATCTGACAAAGGGCTAATATCCAGAATCTACAAACAACTCAAGCAAATTTACATGAAAAAAAGAAACAACCCCATCAAAAAGTGCCTGAAGGATATGAACAGACACTTCTCAAAAGAAGACATTTATGCAGCCAAAAGACACATGAAAAAATGCTCATCATCACTGGTCATCAGAGAAATGCAAATCAAAACCACAATGAGATACCATCTCACAGTAGTTAGAATGGCGATCATTAAAAAGTCAGGAAACAAACAGGTGCTGGAGAGGATGTGGAGAAATAGGAACACTTTTACACTGTTGGTGGGACTGCAAACTAGTTCAACCATTGTGGAGGACAGTGTGGCAATTCCTCAAGGATCTAGAACTAGCAATACCATTTGACCCAGCTATCCCATTACTGGGTATATACCCAAAGGATTATAAATCATGCTGCTATAAAGACACATGCACATGTGTGTTTATTGCAGCACTATTCACAATAGCAAAGACTTGGAACCAACCCAAATGTCCAGCAATGATAGACTGGATTAAGAAAATGTGGCACATATATACCATGGAATATTATGCAGCCATAAAAAAGGATGAGTTCATGTCCTTTGTAGGGACATGGATGAAGCTGGAAACCATCATTCTCAGCAAACTATCGCAAGGATAAACAACCAAACACTGCATGTTCTCACTTATAGGTGGGAATTGATCAATGAGAACACTTGGACACAGGAAGGGGAACATCACACACCGGGGCCTGTTGTGGGGTGGGGGGAGGGGGGAGGGATAGCATTAGGAGATATACCTAATGTAAATGACGAGTTAATGGGTGCAGCACACCAACATGGCACATGTATACATATGTAACAAAACTGCATGTTGTGCATGTTTACCCTAGAACTTAAAGTATAATTAAAAAAAAAAGAATGGATAAATTAATATGTTTACTTACTGTTAACAACTCAGTTTATTTTCTATCCCATGAGTATTATTTATATGTGAAGGAGATTGAATTGGGAAAGCTTATATCTATGCTTTCTTCTATTTACACCAGATTTTAAAAAAATTCACTCTGAGTTTTATGGGCCCTCTTCCTATTTGAAATCAATTTAGGAGAGAAATTCAACTTTTTTTCATAGTATGAGGGAATATATTTTTCAGGAGAGTAGGAATGTTGGCATCTTTAAGAATTAGCTCTTACATACTTTCTTTAAGAAAACAAAAGTATAGTTTAAGTTTTGTTTTACATTTTTATTTGTTTATTTTCTTATTTTTTGAGACATGACTCACTCTGTTGCCCAAGCTGGAGAGCAGTGGTTCTATTATAGCTCGTTGCAGCCTCAGTCTCCCTGGCCCAAGCGATCTTCAACCACCAGAGTAGCTGGGACTACAGTCATGCCCCACCATGTCCAGATAATTTTTAAAAATTTTTCTGCAATGAGGAAGTCTCACTATGTTGCCCAGTCTGGTTTTGAATTCCTGAGCTATCTCTAATTCCAAAGCAACCCTCTTGTCTTGGTCTTACAAACTGCCAAGATTATAGGCAGGAGTGACCAGGCCTGGCTAAGTTGTTTTTTGGTTTTTTTTTTTTTGTTTTTTTGTTTTTGTTGTTGTTGTTGTTTTTGAGTTGGGGGCAGTGGTTAATAAATCCTTTTGAGAAAAGGTCAATGCTTGCTTTAAGAAAGTAATTGAACTTTGGGAAGCTGAGGCGAGCAGATCATTTGAGGTCAGAAGTTGAAGATCAGCCTGGACAACATGGTGAAACCCTGTATCTACTAAAAATACAAAAATTAGCTGGCATGGTGGCACACATCTCTAGTCCCAGCTACTCGGAAGGCTGAGCCAGGAGAATTGCTTGAACCTGGGAGGTGGAGGTTGAAGTGAGCCAAAATTGCATCATTACACACCAGCCCGCACGATAGAGTGAGACTTCGTCTCAAAAAAAAAAAAAAAAAAAAAAGAAAGGAAAGTAATTGCTTGATACTTTAAAAATTACTCTTGTGTTTGCAAAAAGTGAAGTTATATTTAGAGTACGGGCCAATTTAAAAAGTCAGTGTGGTTAAGTTGCCTTAGCATGGGTTAACTCCATGTTAGAGGAGATTCATCTCTTCCTTTCTAGAGGGCATCCTTGGTTTTCCTTCTCATCTTTTAGAAAATCTGTCTTGGAATCTGATAAACGTTGCAGGAATGATGGCTTTGTACTGTCATGTGCCACGTGACAGCATTTCAGGCAATGACGGACTGCAAATACAAGGGTGGTTCCGTAAGATTATAATGGAGCTTAAAAATTTGCATCATCTAGTGACACTGTAGCTGTGGCAGTGTCCCCACTGTATTACCCACTTGGTTGTGGTGATGCTGGTGTACACAAACCTACTGCAGTGCAAGTCTTATAAAAGTATAGCACATACAATTATGTGTGGTATATAATACTTGATAATAAATGACTAGTTTATGCATTTACTATTGTTTTTATCTTTATTTTACACTGTACTCCTACTTACATATTTTTTTAAAGTTAACTATAAAACAGCCTCAGGCAGACCCTTCAGGAAGTATTCCAGAAGAAAGCATTGTTATCATAGGAGATGACAGCTCCACACGTTTTTGTCCCTGAAGATCTACCAGTGGGACAAGATGTGGAGGTGGAAGACAGTAATATTGATGATCCTGACCCTCTGTAGGTCTAGGCTAATGTATGTGTTTGTGTCTCAATTTTTAACAAAATAGTTTAGAAAGTAAAAAATAAAAAATATAGATATAAAAATAAAAAAGCATATATTAGGGATATAAATAAAATATTTCTGTGTAGCTGTACAATGTGTTTGTGTTTTAAGCTAAGTGTTACTGTAAGAGTGAAACAGTTAAAAAATAAAAAGTTTACAAAATAAAAAAATACAGTAAGCTAAGGTGAATTTTTAATTGAAGAAAGGAAAATTGTTTTTATAAATTTGATGTCACCTCAGCGTTCAGGGATTATAAAATCTACAGTAGTGTACAGTAATGTCTAGGCCTTCACATTTACTCATCACTTGCTCACTGACTCACCAACAGCAACTTCCAGTTTTGCAAACTGTATTCATGATAAGCACCCTACACAGGTGTTCCATTTTTTATCTTTTCTATCATATTTGTACTATACCTTTTTTATGTTTAGATATGTTTAGAAACACAAATACCATGGTGTTACAGTTGCTTACAGTATTCTGAACAGTAATGCTGTTCAGGTTTGTAACCTAGGAGCAATAGACTATATTATATAGCCTAGGTGTAAAGTAGAGTATAACAGGGGTCTCCAACCTCTGGTACTGGTCTGTGACCTGTTGAGAACTGGGCCATATAGTGGGAATTGAGCAGTCAGCAAGAAAGCAAAGCTTTATCTGTATTTACAGCTGCTCCTCATCACTCACATTATCACCTGGGTTCTGCTTCATGTCAGCTCAGTGGTGGCATTGATTCTCATAGGAGTGTGGGCCCCACTGTGAACTGTGCATGCAAGAGATCTAGGTTGCGTGATTTTTATAAGAATCTAGTGCCTGATGATCTATCACTGTCTCCCATCACCTTGAGATGAGGCCTTCTAGTTGCAGGAAAACAAGCACAAGGATCCCGCTGAATCTACATTATGGTGAGTTGTGTAATTATTTCATTATATACGAAAATGTAATAATAATAGAAATAAAGTACATAATAAATGTAATTCACATGAATCATCCTGAAACCATGCCCACCCTGAGTCTATGGAAAAATTATGTTCCATGAAACTGGTCCCTAGTGCCAGAAAGATTGGGGACCACTGGTGTATAACATCTAGGTTTGTGTAAGTACACTCTATGAGGTTCTCATTATCATGAAATAACCCAGCAATGAATTTCTCAGAACACATTCCCAACAACAAAGGGACACATGACTATATTTACTTGTTCTCTCACCTCTTTATGGAACCTCAACCTCTCTAAGCTTCAGGGTTCTCTTTTTTTGTTGCTATTTGTTTGTTTCTTCCTTTTTCTTTGATTAATTATATTTGTCCAATGAGAAAAAAATATATATCATTGTAAGTTCAAATATAATGTCTGGCTTTGTGTTTAACAGAGAGTGATAAAAAGATGTTTCCTGTCTCCTTACCTTGTGTAGCTTAAAAAAATCCTCTTAACTCTCTTCCTGTAGTCCTATTTTTTCTCTTCCATTTCCTCTCATTTATTCTTTCAAATTATTTTATATTTTTACATAATTCCTCTCCCATTGTCAATATTCTTCTTTTCTCTCTCTTTTTCCTTCCATCTGTCTCTAAAGCAGAGTTAACCATTCTGCTGTCAGTGATTTTTCTAATACTAAACAAGTATTAAGGTCTGCGCTGCTCATGCTACTGAGATTAATAAGCAACATATTTGACCTCCCTAGTTAAATGAGGAAAGCAGAGGTAGAATATGTTTAAACTCACTTCATAAACAGATAAAGATTTGTTCTCTACTTGAAGAATACTAAGGCAGCCGCTTTTGTAATAGTAAATAGGAATGATTGTCAATTCTGAACGACTGAGAAAAAGGCCAATATTTTGAGAAATACAACTTAGGATTATTAATAGAAATGTTTATAGAAACCTCTGGGTCACTTGCTGGCTTTCACAGGGCAGTGAGAAAGTTCAACTACAGAAGGAATTGAGGAAGCACAGAAGCCCACCAGTGTCTTATTGCTATTATACATTGACACTATCAGGGAGGCATAAATTAGGTATTGCAAAGAAAGGGAAAGGATTGAAATCACATGAAAATCAGACTATCAGGAAAGGAAATAAACTGAATTTAAGGGTAGAAAATAATGAAGTGCTTTTGAACAGACAAGTGCGACTATTTGCACGATTTGACTCTTGAGTTCCCCTAAGAGCATGAGTAAGATTAGCCTAGAAAAAAACAAAGGAAATACCTCTTCTCTGCCTGAAGTGCCAGGGTGCAGGATAGGTGATTCAGATAGTGCCTCTTCCCTAATTTGCAATTACATGTTTCACTATATGGCTAAGTGTTTCTTGGTGTTGCTGTTGGTTTGATGCCATTTGATTCTGCCTGAAAATATTCTCCTTATTGGCCTTTTGTCGTGTCGTCTTTATTCCATTTCACATTCCTGCTGTGCCGATCATAAGTGGTTTAGCTGGGAAATAATGAAGCCATTGCCTATAAAAGGCATCTTATAATTAAACCCTCTTTTCTTTATGGGAATGATCCTCTTGCATTCTTTCACATGTCAATTTAGTAGGTTATAAAAAGCAGTAGTTTTCACAGTTTTGATTTATTCCTTTAAAATCTTACATGGAAATTTAGAATTTACATCTTAGAGGAATTCAATTTACATCTTCAAGGTGCTTTGCAGAGTGGCAAGAAAGCAGGATCTCCACTGTCTCCTCACCTCTATTTTTCCAAAATAGCTCCTATGTTACATCAGCTCAATCTCTGAGAGTCAAGATTTGGTTAATACATACAGTTCACCCTTGAACAGCCTGGGCTTAAGGTGCTGATACCAGGCACAGTCAAAGATTCGAGTATAACCTTTGACTCATCAAAGACTTAACTACTAATAGCCTATTGTTGACCAGAAGCCTTACTGATTACATAAATGGCCAATTAACACATATTTTGTATGCTACATGTATTACATACATATAATTCTTACGATAAAGTAAGCTAGAGAAAAGAAAATGTTTTTAAGAAAATCATAAGGAAAAGAAAATATGTTTGCCATTCATTAAATGGAAGTAGATCATTTCATTGTCTTCACGTTCAGTAGGCTGAGGAAAGGAAGAAAGAGGAGGGCTTAGTCTTGTTGTCTCAGGGGTGGCAGAGCTGGAAACAAATCCGTATATAAGTGGGCCCGGGCTGTTCAAACCCATGTTGTTCAAGAGTCAACTGTACATATTTCCTAAACATGGAGGGATATTTACTACCTCCAACTTAAATTTTTGGTCATTTTTTTAGTAGATAACTTGTAAAATACTAGCACAGCAGCTTGGAAAAAGTGGAAATGCCAAAAACTGGGAATATTATCTGATTTTAATAGATTTGATTAGAGGCTGGTAAAGATCAAAGAAAAGAAAAACTGCAAAAGAAGATAAAATTTCTATGGTCTGTAAAAGTTCTGTTCAGGTTTAACATTTTATACATATAGAAACAGAATGGTGATAACCAAATATGTGTGATTCAGTGAGAAAGCACACAAGATTTTTGGTGTCAATAATCAAGAGTCAGTTATAGTTATTTTATTTTCCTATCAATTTCCTCTCTTCTGCCCTTCTAGCAAAACAAAAACAGTCACAGAAAAAGTCTAAGATGAGGAAAAAGTGTGTTAAGTTTGAAGAAATGAACAGATTTAACTAGACAGAAGAATAAAAAATGACTTTCCATCAGCTGTCTTTTTAAGCTACTCTAAATAAACACACTATTTGTGTAAAATTCGTGTGCTTCCCTGAACAAACAGTGTCAAGAGAAATTCCTGACAGTTCCTCTTCACCTGCTACACAAATTGCCATCTTTATATAAATATTGTCTCTGTTAAATCAACAAAAGTTCTTGATTGCTATTATAAGTCACTGGATGTTCGGTGTGAATTTTTGGGTAAGAAATTCAGTTTGGCCACTATAGACAGTCCTTGACTTATGATAGTTTGACTTGCAATTTTTTGACGTTATAACGGTGTGAAAGCAATACACATTCAATAGAAACTGTGCTTTGAATTTTGAATCTTGACCTTTTCTCGGGCTAGTGATGTGCAGCAAGATACTCTCTCCTTATGCTAAGCAGAGACAGCAAGTGCAGCTCCCAGTCGCCTCCGCAATCACAAGGGTAAACACCAGATCTCTACAGTGCACTGCATTGAGAGATGATTTTCTTCACCTGTAGGCTAATGCAGTTGTTCTGAGAATGTAGGTTAGGTGTACTGATATGGACAGGAGACAGGGAAATACTAGGCATAAGAGGGCAGTTCTCCAGCAAAGGTCCCACCATCAAGCCTGGAGGCCCACAGCCCTAAGTGGGAACAGGCATTTCTGTTTTCACACATCTTTTGGCCCCTCATGCACCCCTATTCTGTACCCACATAAATCCTGAACCCCAGGCTCCAGGAGCAGATGAGGAGACAAGGAAACAAGCAGATGAACAGCGTGATAGAGAATGAGAGAAGGGAAGGGATGTCTGAATGCCGAGAGAAGTTTGACTACTGGTGGTGGGTGGGAGGGGAGTTCAGCTGCTGAATGGCCAAACTCCAGGGGAAGATCATCTTCCCACTCTATCCCCCTTCCAGCTCCCCATCCATCCCACTGAGAGCCCCCTTCACCACTCAATAACACCCCACGTTCACCCTTCAAGCCTGTGTGGGACCTGATTCTTCTGGGACACTGGGCAAGAGCTCAGGATACAGAAAGCTGTCACACCAGCCCTCCGACCTTGGGAAAAGGCGGAGGGTCCATTGAGCTGGTTAACACTTAAGCCATCTGCAGATGGCAAGGGTAAAAAAGCATTGTAACTCTGGGCCCTCAGATACCCACCTCTAGACACTACTGCAGGGCTGGAGCCAAAAGCACTCACCCAGGCTTCCTGCACCTGCCAGTCTGCATGCTCCCCCTCCCATCAGGGGTTTGAACAGACAAGCCATGCTCCTTTTGCACATCCTGCAAGGGGATCAGGAAACTCTCCCATTTCAATATTAAATACGTTTTTTAATTATAGTATGTTAAAGTTATCATAGGTTTATGAGGACATAACCTAATTGTCTATAAGTCCAGAGCATGGGTAGTCAGTGTCTTCAGAAGCCCAGGGTTATTGTCCTATCTCAATATGGATGGGAAACCATTTTTGTCATTTCTAATGGACAGTGCACTTTTCTACCCCTCATTGGTAGAATTATCTAAAAGACTACAGAGGGTACATATTCTGTTGTCTGCTGAACAGCTTATCAGAGTAATTAGTGGGAAAGATGGCAGAAGAAAAGGACAGAGGGCCAGGCATGGTGGTTCACACCTGTAATCCTAACACTTTGGGAGGCCGAGGCGGGCAAATCATGAGGTCAGGAGTTCGAGACCAGGCTGGCCATATGGTGAAACTCTGTCTCTACTAAAAATGTAAAAAATTAGCTGGGTGTGGTGGTGCGCCTGTAGTCCCAGCTATGCGGGAGGCTGAAGCAAGATAATTGCTTGAACCCAGGAGGTGGAGGTTGCAGTGAGCCAAGATTGTGCCACCACACTCCAGCCTGGGTGACAGAGTGAGACTCCATCTCAAAAAGAAAAAAGAAAGAAGAAAAGAAAAGTACAAAAAGTATCTTCACTTAATACTTGAGTGTGAGTCATTCTACCCTTCCCCCATAGCTCCTTGGAGGATAAAAGGAAAGAAAGAAAACTCTCACCACTCATATATACTGGTTAAGCAACCATGAGGGCTACTTTCTATTTTGCTGTGTGTGAAAAAATAGTCTGGTGCTGAGAAAAACTGGTTTGTGTTTTATTTTATTGTGCTGCTGTAAAGCAATTTTGGTCTCTAATTGAACATTTCATTCTTCTTTTGAATTTCACAATTGTTCTTTACCTCAGGTACTTAGGGTAGTCACACTTATATTTTTTGGAGAGAATATTTTCGCATATATAAGTGCTTATCATAAAGAACCTGGTGCTTTTCAATACAAGGAATCCAGGCACAATAAGCTGGAAGTGGATACTTTGACCGTGAAAGGGCAATGCAGCACTTGTGAAATAGAGAGGGAGGAAAGAAGGAAGAAGAGCAAACTGACATAATGCATAGCAGATCAGTGTGATGCCTAATCAATGTGGCAAAAGGGTCAAGCCTTCATGGTTGAGATGTGATTGATAACAGACTTCATGCCTCTCAACAGTCATTACAGGAAGAATGAATATGAACTCTGCTGAGAATACAAAGACACAAAATACATGTATAATAGATTGAAGGCCAAGTTTAAGTGTCACCTTTCCTGTCAAATCCTCTCTGACTACATCAGATCTCCCTGCTCTTCCTCTTCAATGAACGTATGTATTGCTTCCTTCAATGTGACACAATTGAATAGTTAACTATTTTCTTTCTATATTTATTCTTCTTTTCAACACTTTTGAATACCTAATGCTATTAGTTTAGGTAATCGTACCTTATTCCTCAGCCAGCTTGAAAGATTTTAAGGACAGCAGCCATATCCTTAAAGAGATAAAATCATGTAATAGAATAATATTAATAGAACCATATTAATTATATAAGGTATCAGTATTATACTGAAAACATATAATCTGCATTTCACGTGTTTATACAATTTGTTCAAATGTTGAAATTAAAATTTAAACTTAGATTTATAAAATCCTGCATCTTACAATTATTCTACCATAAAGAAACACTGAAATTCTACTCAATTTTATTCAGTTCTAGACTGAATTCAACCCCCTTCTAGTTGTACAACTGTAGACATTCACTTCCTCTTTATCAGCCTCATTTTTATCATCCATAATATGTATGTAATGATATCACTTTTGAAAACCTCTTCATACAGTTGAAGTTTCAACAAAATCATAACCTATGGATAAATGTATAAATTAAAATGTATTGTACAGATTAAAGTATGATATCACATATCTTCTTTTGTATCTGCCTTTTATCTAGTACCTAGTACAGTATTGATTGCAATACTTTCTGTACTACCCCAAATGAGGGTCTGTACTGACCATTTTAATATAAGGGGTTGAGTATTTTATTTATATATCTCCCAGAGAATTTGAAAGACTGCAGAAGAAGAGGAAAATTAGGAAAAAGAATGACCAATTCTTGAGTTACAGAAAGTATTTACTTTTTTTAAAAAAACTGAAAAAAATAAAAAATTATAAAAAAAGTCAATACTGGAAATAGCAGTGACTCACTGTCTATTTCAGGAAGGAGGCCTTTAAGATATTTAATCAATTCTAGTGATTTTTTAAAAATTTAATTTCAGGTGTGTGTGTGTGTGTCTGTGTGTATGTGTGTGTGTTTGTCTGTGTTTATTGTGTTGAGCAAGTGGGCTGGGTGGGAGAGGGGTAGTTTGATGTCTAGAAATAACCACATTAGCAGACAAAATATCCAAGAAACCTATCAGTTCTGCAAAATTCAGTTATTAATACATCAGGGAAGAAAATTTAGCTACAGATTTGGTCAAAGTGGTACTTGCACCCCAGAAAATAATTACTAGAAACCAATATTCTTTGTTAAAAAACATTCTGGAACATTGCCTAATCCCTGTTTCCCATGTATGCTTTCCATCACCCAACATGTATAGTAATTTAACTTTAATTCATTGATTTTTGTGTTTATTTTGAAGTTGTAATTATGAGAGATTGTTAGATTGGTACCCCCCTATAATCCCTGTCTTCTGGCATTCAGACACTTAAATAGTTCTCTCCTGCACTAGTTCTGAGCTTGGCCACACAACTTGCTTTGATGAATGGGACATTGGCAAGTGTAGAGAAAGCACAGATTTGAGAAGTAATTGCACATTTGGGCTTATCATCTTCAAATCCCTCCCACCTGAAAGTCAGCCACCAACCTTAAAGAAGTCAGATTAGATTACCTGAATACCCACAGAAGATACAGAAAGAGAGACACTTTGAAGGATAAGAGGTCATCTTGGAAATTCCAGTTCCAGGAAAGCTCATATTTGAATATAACTCCATGAGTGACTTCAGGAAAAACTGAGGAGCAGAACCATATACTGAATTGGGATAGTTAATGTCATTGTTTAAAGATACTAAGTTTTGGGGGTGCCTTGTTTTGCTTCAATGAATAGCTAAAACACTAATGAAGATTCAAACATAGATATAACACACATTTCATCCTCTATTTTCATTTAATTGGCTGGTTTTCTCTCATATGTGAGTAGGAAGGTAAGCAGAAAGTAAGGTTTTCAGTCTCTTTTCACCTCACTGTACTGCCCTTTACTACCTGAAGCACAAGACTGTAACTTAGGAAGATTGACACACCTTCTTCAAGGACTGCAGTAGAGACATATGGAGGGCAAATTTGATTTTGTTTTAATACTGTTTTTCTTAAGCCTTTTAAGAAATATCACACCAAGAAGTGCAAATAACCATGAAGTTATTTCTGAGAAATTGAGCCAATGTAAAAAGTAAAACAGTATTGGAAAATTATTATGAAATGAGACTGCAAAGAAAACAGCTGAAGGACTCTACTCCTCTTCAAAGTTCCCTCTTATGGTGTAGGGTGGGTAGTAATATTTTCTAGCTTTGTATTTATGATCGACTTTCTCAAACACCTCAAAAACCTTTTAGTGTCTGGTCGACTCTCCTGCACTTTGGATAATCCCCACTTCTCTTACATAAAAGGATCTTACACTCTGAATCTCTTTTCCATCTCCCTCCTTTCTCCGTAAATGTTCTCTTGACTCAGTTATTGTCCATAGATGGCACTTTGGGTTTTGGAAGGATTTTCAATTTTATCAGTGACCTCTCAAATTTCAAAGAATCACATTGGGAAACCAGAATAGGGAAATGGAGAAGACATTTTGAATATGCATCTCAAGAGGTTCTTTGCAATATTTTCCTTGCAGTTAGTTGCAGACAAGCTTCTTTGTTGTTGAACCTATTAAGCAGACACATGTACCCTTTTCCCAGAGTCACACATTTATTCTGGATCCTTCTAGAATCTAAACTTAAATCAGTGAGGACCATATTACCTTACTTGACTTGTAATCATTACAACAACTCTGGGATTAGTAAGCACATGGATTTGCACAATAGAATCATATAATATATTTAATATATGACATTTCATATATGTCTTTCTGTACTACCACAAGTGATGGTCTGTATTGACCATTTTCATATAAGGAATTAATATTATATTTATATCTCCCAGAGGATTTGAGAGACTGCAGAAGAAGAAGGAAATAAGAAAAAAGAGTGGCCAAACTTGGAGTTACAGAAAGTATTTACTTAAAAAAAAAGCAATAAAAATAGCCAATTATACAAAAACAGTTAATACCGGAAATAGCAGTGACTCAGTTTCTATTTCAATTTCGAGTTACTTGAAGACCTTTTTGTTGTCCAAAGCTCTTGTTAATGTAAAATAAAATAAAATTACCTTGAAAGTTTTTACTTTCCTATCTGATTATTTTAACCTAGTACTTATATTGACTTGGAAATCTGCAAGCTTAAATTACCTAAATAACAAAGATGAAAGTTATAATTACAGTAGTACCTTCTCCTGTATTCTCCTATTCTTAAGACCCTGGAATTGTTAAGGAGACTCATCTGGAAAAGTTACCACTTAAAAAAACTCCTTAGCTAATAGGTATTAGTAAACTTAGTAAACCTTTGGTTTTAGAATAAATTCAGATTTACAGAATAAATGCAAAGGTAATACAAAGAGTTCCTTATATACCCCACACTTAATTTACCAAATTATTAGCATCTTAGTATGGTATGTTTGTCCCAATTAATGAAAGATTATTGATATCTTATTATTAACTCAAATTTGTACTTTATTCAGATTTCCTTAATTTCTCCCTAATGTTCCTTTTTCTTTTTCAGGATACAAGGTTAGGCCACTCTAGATGGTGATGGTTTCTCAGACTCTTCTTGCTTTTGATGACCTTGATAGTTTTGAGGAGTACTGGTATTCTGTAGAATAATACTCAGTTGAGATTTATCTAATGCCTTTCTCATGGTTAAACTCTGGCAATAGTTTTTGGGAAGAAGATCCTAGTAGTAAAGTACCATTCTTATATTCTATCAGCAAAACTTACTATCTGCGATGATTCTGTTGATGTTAATCTTGATCACCTGGCTTAAGACAGTAGCTTTCAAGTTTCTATGCCATACATTTACTCTTATTCCCACTTTCCTCTATACTATATCCTTTCAATAAAAATCATTATATAAATTTACAATTAAGGAGTGGGAATTTATGTCCTACCTCTTTGATGGTGACATATCTACAAAAATTACTTGGAGTTTTCTGAGGCAGATTTATCTATTCTCCTTCCATCTATTATTTATTCAAGCATTTACTTATGTCAATGTCATAAAATTGTTTAATACAGTTGCTGCCATGGCATCCATTTTTAGGCTTGACATGAGTTGTCTGAAACCTAGTCGTACCCTGTAACCTTTAGCCTAGTTAAAACTTCCCCTCGCCATGTAGTTGTTTGGGGAGATATAACTCACTTGTGCCTCATTTTTTTGACCCCAGGCTCAACACATCCCACAGCTGCTGATCATGATGAAACTTAATGGTCAACACCAGGCATGTAATTAAGTTTCCCCTTTTCACATTTTTTTTTTTTTTTAACTAGCCAATCCACACCCTAAGGGATACCCATGGCCCCATGGACCTTAATAAAGGCACAGTCCCCCAGGTGCTTACTCGCGCTCTCTCTTGCTCTCTACGGACCGTTTGAGTACCCTGTTGTCTCCGGCCTTCTCTCAGGGGCAACCCTCTGCATTTATGGATCAGTGAGTAATAAGTACTTTGGCTATTTCATGTTTTGTTGTGCTGCCTCCTCCGTGTTTCACCTAACAGGCACACCCATCCTAAGTTCCTCTCATCCCTAGGAAAGCTCCCTTAAAAAGTGACTATTATGGCTCATGGCCACTCTCAAGAGAGGCACCTCCAGACCAAATTAGAACAATATCACAAGTCATCATAAACTTTTGGATCTTTATTTTATATTTTGGGTTAAGATCCAAAACCACTTTACAGTTTTTGCCCAAATTATTCCAGCTTTGGCCACTGGACCTCTTTTAGTTATCTGCTGAGTCCACTGGCATACTCTCGTTGTGTTTTGTTTGGTTTCGTTTTAACACTTCGTTATTTTCTGGCACTGTGTGATACTCCAGGCTCATCTCGTATGGTTCTTTTCCAAGTCCTAGAATAAGTTATTTCTCCAAGGAGCCATGCAGGTTTGTTCTATTTAAGGGTCATATTAGAGACCAAATTTATGCACTAGCTGTGCTCATTGCTACTGATGTGTCACTGTCTCTGAGCTGACAGAGCAGGGAAAGTTATGTGTGTATATGAACCCTTGTACTTACACATATTTATCTATATGTCCATATGTAATTATTGGCATGTATATTAAGCTAAAATGAGTTCATACTTATGCCTTCTACTTTAATCCATTACTACATGGATCATTCTAGCCTGCTTCCTTGCTTATCTGTAACCTCCCACTCCCTGGAGTGTGATCACTGGCTTCTACCAGTTGCCATTCATTTACTTAATTGCTCAGTTCCAGTATACATATATAGTAGTTTTAGCATGTTACCTCCATGGGAGAAGAAAAAAAAACTTTATTAACTAAAGTGCAGTGCTTTGTACAATTCCATTTGCCTTTTGTCCTGCAGACTCCACTCACTCCCGAAGTTACTTAGGTCAGCACCTTACTATATTTTCCCCTTCAGTGAAGTTGTTGCATACATTTGTAATATATTTAGCTTATTTGGTTGTGTTCTGCATTTCCTTCAGGATCATCTGATCCATAAAGTATGTACATTTTGCAATCTGAGTGCATTAAGATTTACTGTCTGTTGTCAATTTCTGTGGGTTTTGATAAATGTTTAATGTCTTGAATCCACCATTTTAGTATCATACAGGATAACTTCGTCACCCTGCAAAAAATCTCATGTGCTACACTTATTCAACCTTCACCCTCCAACTCCTGCCAAACTCTTCAATTAACCACTAGTGAGTTTCCCCACTATAATGTTTCCTTTTAAGAAATTTCATATAACTTGAGCCCTATAGTATGTAGGCTTTTCATACTGGCTTCTTTCACATATGATATTCATTTAGGTTCAGCCATGACTTTGTGGCATGATAGCTCATCTAATTTTATTGCCAAAAATATTTTATAGCATGGATGCCCCACAGCTTGTTTATTCACCTATTGTAGGGCATCTTGGTTGCTTCAATTTTAGGCCATTGTAAAAGAAATTGCTATAATCAGTTATCTGCAGGTTGTTATATGGACACAACCCTCTCATTCAATTGAGTAAATACCTAGGAGTATGCTAGGGGAATCATATAATAAGACTACTGTTAGCTTTGCAAGCAACTGTCAAACAGCTTTTCAAAGTGGCCGTACCATTTTGCTTTTCCACCAGCAATAAATGAGAGTTCCTATGGCTCCCGATCCATACCAGCATTTTGCATTGTCAGTGTTTTGGATTTTAGCTGTCCTTATAGGTGTGTAGCACTATCTCATTGTTGCTTAAATTTGCAGTTTCCTTATGAAAAATGATACTGAGCATTTTTTTCATATGATTATTTTCCATCTGTACATCTTCTTTAGCAGACATGTTTTGCAAATGTTTTCTCTGGGTGTTTTTATTTTATTGTCTTTCACAGAGTAGAAGTTTCTAATTTTAATAAGCAATTTACCAATTCTTTCTTTCATGGATTATGCTAGTGGTGTTTTATTTTAAAAGCCCATCACCAAATCCAAGGTCATATAGATTTTCTCCCATGTTCAAAAATCTTACAGTTTTGTATTATGTATTCTCTGTATTCTATTTTTGAGCTAATTTTTGTGTAATATGTAAGGTCTGTTTCTAAGTTCATGTTTTTGTCTGGAGAGGTCCAATTTCTCCAGCACCAGTTGACAAGATTATTCTTCCTCATTTGATGTGTCTTTCTCTATCAAAGATCAGTTGACTATGTTCGTATAAGTCAGTTTCTAAGTCCTCTATTGTTATCTATGCATTAATTTTTTTCACCAATACTATACTGTCTCAACTACTGTGCCTTTATAATAAGTATTAAAATGAGGTATTGTGAGCCATTTAACTTTCTTCCACTTTGGTATTGTGTTTGCCTTTCTATAAAAAATTTTAGAATCAGTTTTTCAATATCAATAAATAGCCTGCTAGGATTTTGAGTGGGGTTTCATTGAATCTCTAGATTAAGTTGGGAATAATTGTCAGTTTAGAAATACTGAGTCTTCAAATTTGTGAACATCAATTATCTGTTTTATTTGGATCTGTTTTGAACTGTTTCATCAATTTTTGTAAATAGTATTCATTTTAGAATTTCAAATTTCAATTGTTAATTGCTGGTATATAGGAAACAATTGAGTTTTGTACATTAACCTTATATCCTGTGACTTTTTAATATTCACTTTTTAGGTTCAGAAATTTGTTGTTAATTCTTTGGAATTTTCTAGCTAGATAATTATGTAATCTATGAACAAGAGCATATGATCCTTTATTTTAAAATTTGTAGGATTTTACTTGTTTTTCTTGTCTTGTACTAGCTAGAATTTCCAGTATGATATTGACTAGAAAGGGTAAAAGAAGACATTGTTGCCACCTTTCTAATCCTAGGGGAATTGCACCCAACTTTTCACCATTATATATGACGTTAGCTATAGGTTTATGTATATATTCTCTAACAAATGGAAAAAGTTTCTCTCTTCCCGTCTTGCAAAGAGTTTTTACAATGAAAGTCTGCTGGATTTAGTGGGTTTTTTTTTTCAGTGTCAATTGATAGGATCGTTAGGTTTTCTTCATTAGTGTGTTAATGTAGTAGACTACATTGATTTTTTTTTTTTGTAATGTTGAACTAGCCTTACATACTAGAATAAGTTCCATGTGGTTGTAGTGTATAATTCTTTTTCTACATTGTTGGGTTTGATATGACAATATGTGCAGGGTGCAGTGTCAAAGTTTGATAGTTACTGGTTTGTAGTTTTTCTTTCTTTTTAATATCTTTATCTGGTTTTGGTATTAGGGAGATGCTGTCCTTATAGAGAGAGTGGGAAAGAGTTCTTTCTTCTATTTCCTGAAATATATTGTATAAAACTGGTGATATAATACTTTGTGTTTGGTGGAATTCTATTAGTTTTGCTTCACATATTTTGATGCCATGTTAGGTCCTTGCCCATTTAAAAGTGCTATGTATTCTTGGAAAATTGGTCTCTTTATTATTATATAATAATAATATATCCTCATAATTTTTTCTGCTATCCTCATAATTTTTTCTGCTATCCTCATAATTTTTTCTGCTATCCTCATAATTTTTCTGCTATCCTCATAATTTTTCTGTTCTGAAACCTACTTTGCTTGAAATCAATACAGCTACTCCAACTTAGTTGGCTAATACTAGCACAGTATGGCTTTCTCCACCTCGTTACTTTTAATCTATCAGGGTGTTTATATTCAGTGTGTGTTTCTTATGGGCAACATATAGTTAGGTCTTGTTTATTTATTTTATTTTGACGTGGAATCTCACTCTGTCACCCAGGCTGGAGTGCAATGGCATGATCTCGGCTCACTGCAACTTCTGCCTTCCGAGTTCAAGTGGTTCTCCTGCCTCAGCCTCAAGATTACGTGCAATTACAGGTTCCTGCCACCATGCCCGGCTAATTTTTGTATTTTTAGTAGAGACGGGGTTTCACCATGTTGGCCAGGCTGGTCTCGAATGCCTGACCTCAAGTTATCTGCCTGCCTCAGCCTCCCACATGGTTGTGTTTATTTTTATATACTCTGACAATCTTCTTAATTTGTGTATATAGAACACTCACATTTACAGTTATTGTTGGTGTATTTGCATCAATCATTATGTAGCTGCTACTTGTTGCCAAAGGTCTCTTTTTTTTTGCTTTCTCTTGTCTTAATTGAAAATTTTAGATGATTATATTTTATTTCTTGTTTATCAATTACACTCTTTAAAAAATTAGTGATTTCCTCAGTTTACATTCTAACTGATCTAACTCCATTTTCAAATAACACTATTCCATTACATTTGCAATGCTGGTATCTTATAACAATTCTTAATTCCTCTCTGTCATTTATTCTAGCAGTATTGTTGTTCTTCTAACTTATCTATATGTTATAATCATCATTTACATTTATATTTTAAGTGTCTTTTAGGTGAGTTGTCTTTTAAACCCTTTTACAAATAAGAAAAATAAAATATTTTTTATCATGTATTATCATTTATTCGTTTCTGATCTATATTTTTCTTCCATAAGAGACACCATTTTTGGTTATCAAAAGAAAGTTTTTGTCCTCTCTCTTGACTTTGGAAGGATAATTTTGCTGGATATAAAATACTACTCTTTTTCTTTTTTTGTTCAGAATTCCAAATATTTTACTCCACTTGCCTTTTCTTGCATGAATTCTGATGAGAAGTTTGCTGTAGCAATAATTATCCTTGTTCCTCTCTAGCTAAAGTGCTCTTCCTTCAGTCTTATTTCATGATCCTTTTTTGTCTTTGGTTTACTGGAGTTTAAATATAATATTTAACGGTTTAGTTTGGCATTTCTTCTGCTTGTTGTCCTTTGACATTCCTGGATATGTGACTTGATGTAGAAAGTTTTTTTTTTACCTCAAATATTTCATCTACTCTCTTCTTTCTCCTTCTGATATTCCAATTATGTATGTGTTACTGGTATATATATATATATATATACTTTTTTTTTGAGATGGATTCTCATTTTGTCACGCAGGCTGGAGTGCAGTGGCATAATCTTGGCTCACTGTGACCTCTGCCTCCTGGGTTCAAGCGATTCTCTTGCCTCGGCCTCCTGAGTAGCTGGGATTACAGGTGCCTGCCGCCATGCCCAACTAATCTTTGTATTTTTAGTAGAGATGGGGTTTAGCCATTTTGGCCAGGCTGGTCTCAAACTCCTGGCTTCAAGTGATCCACCTGCCTCGGCCTCCCAAAGTGCTAGGATTACAGGTGTGAGCAACTGTGCCTGGACAGCATGTGTTACTTTTGAAATTGTCCCACTGTTTTTGGATGTTCTGGGTTTTTCTATTTAACCTTTTTACCATTGCATTTTAATCTGGAGAATTTCTGTTGAACTATTTTCAGACTCAATGATGCTTTGGACTTGTGTCTACTGATAAGTCTATTTAAGGCAGTCTTCCTTTCTCTTACATTATTCTTTGATTTCTAGCATTTCCTTTGACTCTTTCCTGGATATTTTATTTTTAATTTTATTATCCATTGTCCTTGTGTTATCTGCTTTTTTCCATTACAGCCCTTAAAATATTAATCAGTCATTGTCAATTCCCTGTCTGATTATTTTAACATCTGTGTTATGTCTAATCTGGTTCTGATGTTTTCTTTGTCTCTTCAAATGGTGGATTCTTTTTTTTCTTGCCTTCTTGTATTTTTTTAAATAACTAATATGTGTTTTCAGGCCATAGGAACTAAAATAGATTTCTCTTATGAGGATTTAAGTTGATCTAAATTTGCTTTGATTAATGCTTTCTGTTGCTATAGTTAACCGAATTCAGATTCCTCTTGTGTATTTGTTTTGGTCTTTCCTCTTAACTTTGAGCTCCTATAAATTCTCCTCCCTTAAAAAATAAAAGTAGGTTTATTGTAGTTCTTTCAGCTATAATCAACTATTATCACAATGGACCCCTGTTAATGTGGTATAAGATAAAGGGGAGTGAGAACTTTCTAAACTTTTCCAGTGAAATCTGTTTCTGTGTTGGCCTGTGTCTCTGGCCTTTACTCTCATCAGTATTTCTTTTTATACAGCTTTTCCACTCTCCCATCTCCTAGGTGAGACAGGAAGTCTGGGTGGGGCTGAATGGGAGGAATGCCTTTCTTCCCTGGCTCAGTGACACGGCTCTGGTAAAATTATTCCTCTGGAGAGTAGGCCTTTGATAGGAAGAAGAATATAAAATATTGTACAAAGATTACTCTTCTTTCCCCTACCAAGCTGAAGGTGATTAGCATACAAATTTTAAAAACCCAGCACATCCATTTGAATACAAACTGAAATTCTTGAAATATAAAATTAAACAATTATTCTTATTCGATATTTTCTTTGATGAAAGAGCTCTCATTGGTCATTTTCTGGAATCTATAGACAAATAATTTAAAAAATAGAAACTTCAGAATTTAGGGTTCCTTTTAAATCCTGGCTACATCTTCTATCGTCACATAAAACACAAGACTGAGTGTTTAGGATAGGAGATATTACAACATGTTGGCATAAGGATGATAATCCAGCTGAGATGGAAATCTTGATGATATGGATATGAAATGGGTTGATTGCAGAAGGTGTATTCTTCAAGTGGATAGGATTCAGTGTGAAAGTACGGAGGTTTGCCTAAAAGAGAAATGGGATAATTTGACTACCATAATGGCCAAGTATAGCATGAATGGTAGATGTAGCTTTGGAAGAGCCTGAAAGTTGTATTTGGTTTGTTGCTTTTTCAGTGATGTGAGAAACATACATATTTTTGAAGGGTCAAGAGTTGGGAAGTAGATTTGAAAGTTTAAGAATAGAAATTATTGTTTCTGATATAGGAAAAAATGGCTAGGGAGAATGAGCAGGTTTTCTCGGCAGCAATAAGAACTCACTTGAAACTAATACTTAAAAGCTAAAAATGATGTGTGCTATGGTTGTCTATTTTTCTCCATTTGCATTTAGATAAGATGTTTCTGGTATTGCATAGATGAAAAGTTATCATTCTGGGTTAACTCTATATACCGTGAAAGAATTCAAAGGTAAATGTGTTTGGGGTGACAGGATAAATACCAGGATGTAGGGATATATGAGGATTCTTCAGGTACTGTGGGGAAGGTCATGAAGGTAATCAAGCCATTTGTATGGACATTGCTATTACTTCCAAAGGAGCTGGCAGAGAAAGCCTGTAGAAGAAAACTGAACCACCTTAGTAAAATATCTTGCAAAATAAAAGAAAATGACCTAGTTAGTCAGATGATATAAGAAGGGGAGTAGAGTAGTTTAGCCAGGTGATATCTCAAAAGGAGAGGGAGGCGGCATTAGAATATGGTGCTGGAGTTTTTTTGTTTGTTTGTTTGTTTTAGAAGTAGCAGTGGTGTGTAAATGTTAATGTTTTTTCCTCTATCTGACATTTGTACATCGGGGCAAAAAAGTGTATATTTATTGAATCATACAGGAAATGATTAGGTGACTAGAGGAAATTTGTAACTTTAGTAGATTGTCATCAAGTGAAGTCACTTTTGAAGACCAGCTTTAAATGTATAACATAGCATGACAGAAATTAAACTGAGAACATATTTTTCTGATTAGGCAAAATGGTCTCATAGAATAAGTAAGAAGTGGGCATATTCCTGGACAGAACAACAACCAGAGGCTTGTTCTCTTGGTCCAATAATAAGATGCAGACAGACTGAGAAAGAAGGGAGTTTATTTCTACAACCAATTACAGGGAGAAGGTCAGAGTAACTCACCAGGTGAACTCAAAGTTACAAGTTTGTTTTTAAACATATTCTAAGCCCGATGCCTACGTGTGGGAGTGTACCTACAAACGGGAATGTTTCATTCAATCTATATCTAATTTTTAACTAGGATCTGGGGTCTGGAAAGCTTTCTCTATAGTCCTGGAAAATTTTTTAATCGTAAGTCGCTCTGGTACAAGGTGTATGTGTAAGCATGCTTTCATTATTCTATCAGACTTGAGGGTCTGAGAAAACCCAGGCAAGGTTCCATTGGGTTTGTTTTCACATTCCACACCTCATACTCAGGCAGCAGTTTCTCCTGTTCTTTAATGTTTAACTTATGCCTTCATCACAATTATAGTTAAGGGTTAGTGGAAACTGATTCTTCTGGTTGCTAAGGGGAACCTGGCTTGCCGCAGGTGGGAACGCAAATGGAAACAATCATTTTAGAGAACAATTTTGTGTTAATAAAGAGGTGCATTCTCTGAGACCTATCAATCAAAATTCACAGTCCTGGGAAACCCTGCTGCAAGTGAAAGAGAAAGCAGGCCCTCTTTCACATGTTGTTCTGAACCCTTAGGATTACTGAAAAATGAAAAACATAAAAGGCAATTATTGGCCTGAATAAACGGTATTACAGTAGTATAGTATAATTGAAAGCAGGTAAGGAGAATAATATACATTTACATGTGTCATATATAAATCTCTAAAAATTTCATGCTAATGAAGACACCAGTTGCAGGAAAATATATACACAATGATACTAACATAAGTAAACTATAAAATGTTTCAAGACAATATTCAATCTTAAGATTGTTTATATAGACATTTAGTAAATTTATAACTTCTGAAGGGAAAGATGCATAGGAATTTCAAAATGAAGGTTACTTCTGATTTTAAAAGAATGACCATGAGACCAGAACAATGTTGAAAGTTTTAATTATATCTCTTGGAATACATTTTATTTCCTTGCAGAAAGGAGAGAGGGGAGACGGATGAAATAGAAGTAGGAAAAAGGATGAGCTGAATAAGCAATCTAAAATCTGCCACAAAATGCTGGGTAGGAGGCCTTACCTAGTCTCTTGAGCTACTGAGTTGTTTTGCTTAGAGAAACGAGACCAGGAGAAGTCGTCTTTATCCATGACATCGATTTCTTATTTTTCCTGCATCAACTCCATTTTCTATCTTAACAAAACATACAAAAAAAATCTATTTGTGCTACTTCTACATACTTTCATTTTGTCTAAATGTCTGAAGTATTGTTTTCTGAAACTATGAAGATCTTTTCATTCCAAATAATGGTAGCTAAAATAAAAATAGCACACAATTGGGGAATTTAATGTAATAGTTAAGTGATGAAAATTTACTCTGTGCATCCAATGGAGAACGCATGCTAAATTCTGAGATTTATTTTTACTTAAAAACACAAAAACTGAATCAAAAAGCTTTCCCGTAAGCCTATAACCTTACATACTTTTCTGTATGAGACAAGCACAGGATCCTGAGGTTGCAGCTTCTTAACTAACTGCCATGAGAATGTTTACATGTGAAATTAGTCACCAGAGGGAGCCCATATTATTCCTCAAAAGCAATCTCAAAAGACTGAGGACAAATGAAAATATATGTAGAGACTGGGGCAGAGAAGTTCAAGGAGAGTACAGAGTGTTCTTTTACTGTTTCTTGAATTGCAGTTTCCTCCCACTTGCAGGCTTCAGAATGAACTATCTTTGATAGATGCAAAGGCTAATAGCAATGGCATAGAAGGAAACAAAATCCATTTTTCCCTTGGTTTCTATTCATCCATTGACCTTCACATTTATTTAACATGAAAACGACTTTTGCACATGCTGATTCAATTTACACAAGAATAAGACATTTTATTAGGCTCCTGGGTAGGTTAACTGTGATAGTTTCTAAACAATGCGAGTGTCAATAATTTGCCCAGTTCTTCTCAAAATGAAATCAATCTTGGTCATATATTTAGTAAGTAAAATTGTCTACATATTTTGGTCTTCTAATCAAGTATGAAAGAAAGCAGAGTCTGAAAGCAGAAGAAACTCCTCACTCCAAAACACTTCTCATGGTAAAATTCTATGATTTTAGTATCCCTTGAAATGGGTAAATGTAATCTATAAATGGTTGTCAATCAATGAGTTCAAATTGGACAAACAATGAAGCTCTTTTTAAAGAAAACTCGGACCAAAACCTCAAGCACGCATTTTGGTACTGTACAATTGAACCATTTTTATGCTTAACTAGACTGAAATGGAACAAAATGCCATACGCGGTGTACCCTATGACCTCTACAGGCTTTTGTTACCCAGATTTTAAACTCAAAGAACTGGAGCAAAATCAGATTATTCATATCTTTTAAATATTATACTCATATTTCTGTCACCAAGAATAACTTAAACTCTACTGGAACTTGTATGTCTGGTAAGTCTTCAATAATGACTTGAATTAACTGACCTGCTTTTCCACGTTGCATTCTGTAGAAACTGTTTTAAAAAATGTCAGGCAAAAGAAAGTGAGAGCTGGCATTGCTGTGTAAACCCTCAACTGTTGAATCCTAAATGTTAGTTTATTTAACTATTGCTATCTGCTCATTTATTTACATTACTCTTTTTACCATCTGTGATTGGAATAAGACAGTAGCTAAGGAGACTTCATGCATTTAGCCCATTTCTGAATCTATATGTTAAATACATTGTAATGATTATTGGATATGTGCCCTGGATTGAAAGACTTTAACTCCATCCAGATTCTAGTTGTGTGACCTTGGGGGATGTACTTAATTTCTCCTTTCATTTTCTTTTCTTATTTTTTTCTTTTTCTTTTTCTTTTTCTTTTTTCTTTTTTCAGTCTCACACTGTCACCTAGGCTGGAGTGCAGTGGCACAATCACTGCTCACTGCAACCTTGACTTCACATCTCAGCCTCCAAAGTATCTGAGACCCCAGATGTACACTATCATTCCTGGCTAATTTTTTATAGAGACGGAGTCTCCCTATGTTGCCCAGGCTGGTGTTGAACTCCTGGAATCAAGTAATCCTCTCACCTCAGCCTTCCAAAGTACTGAGATTACAGGTGTGAGCTACCACGCCTGGCCTGTTTTTCTGTTTTTAAACTGGGTTACTGATAATTCTTACCTCATGGGAAGGTAGGGGGCATTAAATGAGGCATTAACATGGAAGAATATTGTCAGGAACATGGGAAGTTCTCAATAAATGTTATTTATTATTGCTGCTGCTGATCTTTTGATCATTGCTCTTGGTGGTGGTATATTAGACAAAGAGACAAATTATGACCATCTCATATTCTTTTTCTCTCCTCATATTGAACTGACCTTGCTTTATTTTTAACTTTCTTCATTTTCTTGGTTTAAACTTCAGACTTGAATGAATAAATGAAATGTTGCTTTTCTCTTTCCAATTAGAATTCTTGCCCTAATGATTTTAAATGTTAGACTTGACCTCCTTTCCAAATATTTGGTTAGGTATAGATTCCAAAGTCATAGCTATCTATCCACTGCTATTAGAATGTGAAATGGGAGAGTATACATGAGGAAGCTTCTGTAACTTCATGCATTTGAAGCTATTTATAGGGAAATGCTGCTGCAGGAATTATATGGGCACGATTAGAAGTAAAGATCTTGATCTCAGTTTGAGGAACATTGATTTACAGACTGGTTGTAGAGAAGATGGGAACAGTGCTGGAGGTGGTGGGGAACTAGAACATAACAGGATGATATGATCAAGAGATCACGGAATCTCTGAAAAGTTCACAGCCAGGACGTTTTTACTATGTGGCTGCTAGAAAGTGTTGTAGTTGATTGACCAAACTCGTTCATAATGCAAATTTAAAACAACTAGAAAAATTACAATGATGTGTATCTGAATTAAATGTGTAGCAATATAATGAATATATACATATAAATATTTTTTTCAGAAATGCCATTCAAAGAATTCTCCTGCCTTGTAGTTGTATATGACCAGAAATGTCACTTTGAAATATGAAACTCTATGTTCTTCCAATCTTATAAACTATTATTAGTAGTTCATTGACAGCACTATAGATATTTGCTGTCTAATTTTTATGGTCTAGCACATTTAAAAAATGATTGTTGTGAAGAGTGATAATGATAACATGTGCAGGCAGTTCTCACTTCTATGGTAGTGCCAGATCATAAACATGCCCATACAAATTAACCTGTGCAAATTGATCATAGCCAATGGAAAAACTATGATTGTTCCATGACCTTAAAAAAATTTGCCAAAACATCAAAAACTCTATACTGTCAGTGGTAAATACATACGGAGATTTTTAAAAATAGTAAAACTAGTTTATTTAGAATACTGTAATTTAAAATATAAGAAATGAAAAATAAAGTAGTTATTTGAAAAATCAAGAATAATTTGAAAAATGATTGCCTTCCTTCTCATTTTACGACATCTGCAATGGAGTGAGCACCTTTTCTATGCCTTGGTGAATCAGCATGCTTCTTTTTTTTATTTTCAATTTTTTTATGCTTGAATAATTTCCAAGGGATTTTTTTTTAATACTTCAAGTTCTGGGGTATATGTGCACAACGTGCAGGTTTGTTAAGTAGGTCACTGGTCATTAGAGAAATGCAAATCAAAACCATCTCATCTCCAATGAGATACCGACACCATCTCACGCCAGTTAGAATGGCGATCATTTAAAAGTCAGTAAACAATAGATGCTGGAGAGGATGTGGAGAAATAGGAACGCTTTTACACTGTTGGTGGGAGTGGAAACCATTGTGGAAGACACAATGGTTGTCTTGTGGAAACCACAACCATTGTGGAAGACATTGTGGTGCTTTCTCAAGGTTCTAGAACTAGAAATACCGTTTGACCCAGCATGCTTCTTATATTAGGATCAGCTTCTAACATTTTATTGTTTGTGCTTCCAATGTTATGATATATTTTCAAGACTTTTAAAAATGTGAAGTTGTTTTTGTTTTGTTGTTGTTTGCTAGTGTCATTTCTTCTGGGACATCTTCATTCTTTGACACATCCACTTCATTTATGCTGAAAAAGTAGCCTTCAGTAAGTTCTTCTAGCTACATATCTAAAGCAGCAATGTCAATGTTTCCACAGTTAGCTATTGCTTCTATAACTGCATTTTTTTGATTAAAATTTCAGTCACTATATTATCACCCTTATCTTTCCTGCATTTTCATTTTTCTTAGCCTATTTTGATTTTTGTAAGATGGCATATGAATTTATAACTAGGAAACAAGGAGACAACACAATTGTATGATTTGCTTTCTGTATGCAAACTGAGTAACAGATGTAGAGGGCTCAAAACCAACAGACTTTGAAAGAAGTGATTGGTCTTTGATTATAATTCTTAACTGTTATTTAGGTATTTGTGGACTGAAGAGCTATCAGAAAACTTTGCACTTTTTGCAATTGTTTGCAGTGAATATACCTTGATAACTAAGATTTGAATTGTGAAGGTAGGAGACTGGTTTTATCTAACTGAACTGTGCTAATTAAAACTTGGCAAAATTTAAACAATTAGTGCTTCTTGGACTTAATTTTATTAGCCATTTACTTGCTATACCTATTGGCCCAGGCAGAATCTCAATATGCAGATTTCAATGGTCATAAAATATACATCACCTATCTCTAGGGTAAATGGGTAATATTACCTGCCCTCTCGGATGTCACAACATTTGGAGAGAGATATAAGAAATATAATACAAACCATAGATATTAAACAATATACTAAGTGGTAATTGCTACAACTGAGGAATGGATGTTTAAACAAAACAGAAATAAAGTGGCCAGAATGTAGTCAACATTCAACACATTATATCTATTTTGTAATGAGAAAAATTACTCGTGAGTAAATTCTAAGATTCAAAATCAATTGATTTGTTTTCTTTCACCAATTCAGGATAATTATGCTCCAGCTTTGGTGAGGAAATAATTTCTCATTTGCATTAAATCTGGTTTACTACTGACTAGTCAAGTTATTCAAGACAGACTTTGAAGCTGTGTCATTACAGTGTACTTGAGCTATCTCATTTTAATTTATCTGCTTTTGAATAGATGCAGATAAAGGATCTCAACACTTCTGGGACCCTTTAAGTGCAAGCAAATCATTGCTGGCAGAGTTAAATTTTTTCTTTTAGGGAAAAAAATTAGTGCATCTCCCTTCAGCTTTTCATTGAAAGACAGTAAGTTTCTTCATAGTTTTTACCACTGCTGCCTGGAGAGAACCGTTTCTTAGCTTCTCTTTCCATTTTGAGGTATGAAGTGTGCATGGCCTGGCAGTACTTACTGGGTCTCCATGCAGTGTAGGCTCCCAACCCTCCATTCTTGTGTGCATTCTGTATGGCCTGATAGTGTGTGCATTTGTCACAGTGCTTGTAATAAAAAATTAATTACTTCCTTAGTATATTTTCTGTGGATGCTTCTCCCTCTGCTGTGTGTTAAAGATTTGCCTGGTGTGATCAGCACAGAAATTAAGTAAAATGCCTTCATCTCCCAGAAGGACTGTATTTAATATCTCACATTTAATTTCAGGTAGTACCTGAAGCATTTTAAGAGACACTCTTACCTAATATAAAGAAATTATTGAAAATAGTTCCAACATGCTAAAGTTGACTACAGTAACATAATGATAGTACCAAAAGAAGTGTTATAGGCCAGGTGTGGGGGGCTCACGCCTGTAATCCCAGCACTTTGGGAGGCCGAGGCAGGTGGATCACGAGGTCAGGAGATCGAGACCATCCTGGCTAACATGGTGAAACACCGTCTCTACTAAAAATACAAAAATTAGCCAGGCATGGTGGTGGGTGCCTATAGTCCCAGCTACTCGGGAGGCTAAGGCAGGAGAATGGCGTGAACCCGGGAGGCGGAGCTTGCAAGTGAGCTGAGATCGCGCCACTGCACTCCAGCCTGGGGGACAAAGCAAGACTCCATCTCAAAAAAAAAAAAAAGTGTTACATTTTATATACTCAGACTTTTTTAGAATTTAATATTCCATTTAGTCCAGGTTGTCTTAGTTGCTCATTAATAATTTCCAATTGAGATTCTTTTATTTGCAGGCAAGCAAATGAAAACATAAACTAATAAACTATAAAAAAGCACAATGTATGTTTGTGGAAATAGAAAAATATATTTGAGCTAATGGCCTTATTTACATGGGATACTAAATAATAACTATATTAAATGTGCTAATATTTAGAAAGACCTGCTTTTACCTAATAGTATGCTAAAAAAAACTTTGGATATAATAATAAACTTAGGCTCTAATTTCAATAAGAATAAATTCTTGGAAAAAATGTACTTGTCAACAAACATTTGAAATGTACAACACTGAAAAGAAGTGGTGTCAGAGGGCAGTTATCAACTTTCCACCTAGTCACGAGAGGTAGGCTGATGCAAGAGAGGGTGGTATCAAATGGGATAACTTTGCAGAGTTTGAATATGGAAAAGGACCTCACCTGAGACACAGGGTGAGTGAGGGGACGGGAGTAAGAGGGTTTGAGAAAGCATTTCAGGCCACAGCAACATTGAACAAAGGCAGAGGGTGCCAAGCAGAACCGTGCCTTGTGCACCAACAGTGGTACTGATGGAGCATTACAGTGATGCTGAGCAGAAGATGAGGCTACTGAGGCAGTCGGTGAAGGCAATTTTGGAATTTTGGATGTACCATAGTATGAGTATCAGAGGAACTTGGAATGGGTCTCAGAGGAGAGAGAATCTGAAGAGATGTAGCAATTCAAGGAATGTTGCTCTGTTCCTGTGTTAATTTCCTTAGGATTACAGCTCCAAGCTTCATTCATGTTACTGCAGAAGACATGATTTTATTCCTTTTCATGGCTGTGTAGTATTTCGTGGTATATATGAACCACATTTTCTTTTTCCAGTCTAACATTGACAAGAACCTTGGTTGATTCCATGTCTTTGCTACTGTGAACAGTGCAACGATCAACATATGGTGTATGTGTCTTTTTGGTGGAATGCTTTATTTTCTTTTGGGTACACACCCAGTAATGGGATTGCTGAGTCAAATGGTAGCTCTGTTTTAAGTTCTTTGAGAAATCTCCAGACTGCTTTCCACAGTGGTTGAACTAATTCACATTTCCACCAGCAATATATAAGCGTTGTTTCTTCTCTGCAGCCTTGCCAGCATTTGTTGCTTGACTTTTAAATACTAGCCATTCTGACTAGAGTGAGATGATATCTCATTGTGGTTTTGGTTTGCATTTCTCTGATTAGTGATGCTGAGCATTTTTTTTTTTCACATTTGTGAGCCACTTGTATGTCTCCTTTTGAGAAGTGTCTGTTCGTGTCCTTTTCTAATTTTTAATAGGGTTATAAGTAGGAGTTAAGCATTGGGCACACATAGACATATAAAGGAACAGTAGACACTGGATTAGAAGACAGTGGAGGAGTGGAGGGAACGGGAGTTATAAAAAAATTACCTATTCAGTACTATGCTAACTATCAGGGTGATAGGATCTGTACTCCAAATCTCAGCATCGCACAATATTCCCAGGTAATAAATCTACTCACATGCACCCTCTATTTAAAATAAAAGTTGAAATTAAAAAAAAAATCTAGTTAAAACTACTAGAGTAAAACCGTAATCCTCAGCAAACACAGGAACATGAAAAGAAACACCACAAGTTCTCACTCATAAATAGGAGTTAAATAATGAAAACACAGGGAGGGGAACATCTCACACTGGAGCCTGTTAAGGACTGGAGGGAAATGGGAGGGAGAGCATTAGGACAAATACCTAATGCATGCAGGACTTAAAACCTAGAAGACAAATTCATAGTGCAGCAAACCACCATGGCACTTGTATACCTATGTAACAAACCTGCACGTTCACCACATGTATCCCAGAACTTAAAGTAAAATTTACAAAAAAAAAAAAAAACTTCAACCACAAAAAGCTATTAGAGTATATTTTTGATAATTTGGCGTTAAAGAGTCACTACTTCTTATGGTTCAAACTAAGGCCATTTTATTTCAAAATATGGACATAAGTATTACAAATTACACTAAACAAAAACACAAAATATTAAACACAGCATAACAATTTACAGTCTAGTCACATTTTAGAAGTTATTTACTTCAGCTTCCTATAGAAGTACAGCATTTTACTAAGAGGAAAACCACTTTTTCAAACTCTCCTCTTCTATTTTTAAATTTTCTTTTGTTTTATGGTATTACTTTATATAGCAAACAAGATACTTTTTTTGAAAAAATGCATAGGACAAATATCTGTACATTTCTCTCTGTATATTTATGTACATACACATATTCACCAAGTCTTTAGTACTTTTATATGCCAAGTTTTAAACAAAATGGGCTCATAATTATAGATTTTTAGGTTTCTCTTAGCAAAACATAGCATGCTTTTCCCATTAACTTTCAAATGTCATTTGTAAGTACATTTTCTAATCATATTATCACAGAAAGTATAAAATAATAGTGTAAACAAAACTTACTCTCATACCTTTTATCTTCCAGTCCTTTCTTTCAAAACCTATAACATTTTTTGGTATCATTCCAGTAATTTTAAGTGCATTCATCTGTGTAACAACATATTCTTTTACATGAACAAGTTGGTGCACAGTATGTACAATATGACTTTACATGTAAAGGATCCTAGATTTTGACAAAATGAAGTAGCTAAATACAATTTAAAAATCCTAGATATTTTACCCTATTTGTGTGTGTGTGTGTGTGTCTCTTATACTTTCTTCTCAACTACTGATTATTATATTTTATGGATTGTGTGGATAAATTATATTTTATAATGTTCCTTAGTATTTAGGTACATCTTAATTCGTTTCAGAATGCTGCAAATAAGTTTATATATACAGTTTTGCTTTCTTCTAGATATCTGAATACTTCATATAAATGAGTTGCTGTGTTATAGGGCATTTTAGATTTTGATATATGGTACCAATTAACTCTCCATGTACATTGAGTCAATTTACACTTCCATTGGCAAAAGAGAGGGGCTATGTCTTCATATCCCTATCTAGATTAGAGACCGGCAAACATTTTCTTCTTAGTCACTGTGGCAGTTAAGTAACTGTGAAATTCTATTCTATATATTTGGCTCTCATTGATTATCTAATCATCTTTCATATGTTAGTCACTTTTTTCTTTGAACTGCCTGCAAGTACACTTTGCCTACTTTTTGTTCTATTCCTGTACTCATGTTTTTATTTATGTAGTTGACAACACTTTTTAATCTCATAAGTTATTTTTCCTTATGTGTCTCCTTAATTTTGACTTTATTGGTGATTTTTAGCCTTTATAAATGGTTTTCATTTCTTATAAATATGGTCTGTGAATCTTCCATTTTGCAGAATATGCCTTTAGCATCATGGTTAGAAAATCTAAATCATTTCGTTTAAAATAATTGACGTTCCACAAACTTTAATCTTCTATCTTTCCTCAAATCTTACTTGAAAAGACTATAAATGAAGACCAAAAAAATGGAAATGAAAACCTCAGCAAACAATCATTTCAATACTTCTTAGAAGACTGAATTCAGATAAATTAGGATAATTGGTTTAGCAGAAGGGAGTAGACTACGTGCTAATATTCTTGTAAATGGATTATTATGTTAGTGCAAAAGTAATTGCAGGTTTTACCATTTCTTTTAATGATAAACTGCAATTACTTTTGCACCAACCTAAAGTAAGCCTGAAGAATTGAGAACAGGAAGGATTGGGTACCTCAGACCTATTATACCTAGACCCAAACAGCGATATGCCTCTAGCCTTAACCCTAAAAAGTCAGGAAGGAAACATGGTTTATCCTCAAGAAAATTTAAATTAGAGAGGCCCTACACTCAGGCGTCTCAGCCCAGTAATTGACAAAAAATAGCCTCAAAATGATAAAGATGTGGCCTGTGAAAGTCAATGCTGAGACCGCCCAGACTTTTTCCCCATGCTTTGGTTTTAGAAGTGGGGCAACCATCCTAATCTCCCAGACAAGAGGTTAGGGTATTCTCCTGTGGAAAACTAAATTGCTTCAGAAAAAGACCTTGTAATACAAATATTTAGAGATTTCCTAATAAAAAGCTATTTTGAACATGGGATCTTCACTTGATGTGGAGAGTAAGTACTGCTTACACACTGGCTTTATCAGGAGGATTTTCAAAATAATCACATGTAGGGGGAAAATCATAATTGTGAAGGTGGGGAGGGTTATGGTTTATAAAGGTATTATGAAAAAATTTATCAGAGATAAATCTATTCTACTTTAAATGAAAGCAAATAAGTATTTATATTTCATAAAATAAAATATGATAATACAGGTTGAACATCCCTAATCTGAAATGCTCTAAAATTGGAAACTTTTTGAGTAACAACATGCCTCTAGTGAAAAATTCCAAACCTGCCTTCACATGATAGATAATGTATATTACTGAAAATATTGTATACAATTATATTCAGAGTATATATATCAAGTATATATGATACATAAGCGAATTTGTGTTTAGACTTGGAACCCATCTCCAAGATATCTTATTATCTATATGCAAATACTCCAAAATCCAAGGAAAATTGAAATTAGAAATATTTCTGGCCCCAAGCATTTCAAATAAGTCATGCTCAGCCAATATATTAATACTATTTAAAAACACATAGGTACAGATCAGAAAAAGCACCTGCACTTGGTGATCTGCTGATTTTTGTTTTAAATGTTATCCAAAATGTAGATAGCATTGATTTGATAAAGTCACATTGATAAAAAGTATTTCTATACATATTAGTATTTTATATTTTCTTTGACAACTATTTTTTTGTTTTTCTTATTCATTTACATCTCTGATCAGTATGAATTTCTCTTTTGATGAAAAAATATTTAAGGACATACCTTTGTCTTTAATTCCAAAAAGTGAGTCAGCTATACGATGAATACATTCTAGAGATCTAGTGTACAGAATGGTGACTATAGTTACTAATGATACATTGTTTATTTGAAATTTGCTAGAAGAGTATATCTTGTTTCCTCACCATACATACACACACACACACACACACACACACACACACACACACCCACACACACACTCACACGGTAACAGTGTGGTGATAAATGTGTTGATTAATTTAATTGTGGTAATCATTACACAACACATATGTATATCAAATCATCATATTGAATAGCTTAAATATACACAATTTTTTTGTCAATTATACCTCAAAACTTATTTGTTTTGCCAGGAAATCACTCCAGATATCCACTTATTTCCTTCAATGCTGCTACACTGAACCAGATATTTAATTAAATGTTACTTGTCAATCATTACTTTCCTGATTATTCTATTTAAAAAAAAACCCATGAGTTTTGTTCACAGAGGAAAAAAGTAGAAATTACTTAGAACACAAAGTAAAAAAGAATAAGTCCACATCAAACACATGCAGACTAATTCCACAAGGGATAATCATTTCAGTATATAAATTTTCAGAAATTTTATGACTAAAGCCTTTGATAAAATATTCCTTTCTAAAAACCTCAGTTATTTTCATTCTTCTGAGATAATCATTTAAAATACACCGTTTTCTTCCCTAAAATTGTCCTTCAGGCATTTAAAAGAATTGTCGCCACTTTATCTTCTTTTTCCAAAAAAAAAATGCCCCTCTTTTTTACTGTCTTCCAATTCTGTATGCTTAGAAATAAAATATGTTGTCATTTTTTACTATATTTTCTCATCACTTTTAAGTTTAAATTGTATTTTTAGCTTTCCATTTTTAAATTCATTTAGTAGCCTGATAAACCTTTGTCTGAGCCTGCATACTAAAACAAGTTGGAACTGTTTATATCCAAATTACCTTGAATTTCAATTTTCTATTTATCATGTTTTTTACCTTTTTGAACTTTCATTATATTCTTCTTGCAAGAGAATATTAAAACAAAGTTGAAGCTCATTTTCTCATCATACCGTATTCTATCCATGATACATCGCTGTACCTTTTCTTCAAACAATGAACCTATCCCTTTCTCCTACTTAATGAAAGAAAAAACAAAAACAAAATGTATGTGAACAATGTTTCTAGTATTTCACAAACTTTGATTCATTCTGGGTCTGGTCTTTTTTCAGGATCCTGGAATCATTTATCTACACCTTTTTCCAATTATGAAAAAATCCATTTCACAATTGGCAGAATTGCCACAGGGCTTGAGTGTTTGCTTTGGTCAAATTACCCTTTTTTTCAGGAATTATTTGTTACTGTATAATGTAAATTTTATTCTTTAGTACTTTTAATATCTCTCTTATTCTACTTTCTCGGTTGAAAAGCTCATTTACTACTGTATTCCAAAAGCAAGGCTTGTAATCTAGATCTAGGTTGAATTCCTAGCTCTGATGCCTGTAAACTTGGACATGCCCTATAATCTCTGAGTCTGGGACTCTTTCTCTATAAAATGATGAAAATAATGTGTACCCTGAAATTTGTTAGTAATTTTGTTTGAACTAGTATTTTTACAACACTCTTGGACAAACTAGGTGTACAATAAACAGATAATGACAGTCATGAGATTATATCTTTATAATGTTTAAAAATTCTTTCTCTGCTTTAAAACATATGTGAACTATAGCTCGATTACTTGATTTTGTGCACGTATATTTTGTATTCTACTAAAAATCTCAAGATGTGATGTAATAATTGTCTTTTATGAATGCTATTTATTCTTATTGATGTGAATTAGATCCAGATCAACAGTTTTCCTATTTCTATTTCCACATTTCCATTCTTTTTCTGAAATGTGAATTTGCCAACATTTGTTAATTCAGTTTATCAGAGCATCTCAACTTTCAGTAGACTTATGAAGATTATAGTTCCCTAATTATTACAAGTCTTGTTTCTATGTGGGTAGTATACTTTCTTTTAAATAAGCATGCCTTGATTGCCACCTTTAAAAAAAAATTATCCTACTGAGATATTGCTTTTGCTGTATCAGATCAAGTCATCCCTAAAACAAGGTCTTTCATTTGGAGAAACAAACTGGATTCTTTTCATGAGTCTGTCATTCTGGTCATGAAATCCATGTGATGGAAGAAAACAATTTCTAGCATTATACTGAGAGATTTAGGAGTAGAAAACTCCACATACATAAAAGAGGTGAAAATATCATCTATCCCCGAGTACCCTACAGTTCTCTACTTAGAACTGTAGAGTTGACTTGAATTTTTGGTTCTTTCAGTTCCATCCTTTGACTCCTTACTGTACCAGAAGATGAAGTTTTTATTCTTGTCAAAGGTGGTTTATCTTAAACTTGGCACATAAGGCTGGTCTGGTCATCATAACTATTTGCCACATGCTAGCTGTGTGACTTTGTCCGAGTAACTTTTCCTCCCCAAAGCCCAGTTTTCTCATCTGAAAGGGATGCCAGCATTCATACATAGGAAATATCATTGTTAACAGAAAGAGGTCCCAATCCAGACCCCAAGAGAGGGTTCTTGAATCTCATGCAAAAAATAATTCAGGGCGAGTCCACAGAGTCAACAAGTGAAAGCAAGTTTATTAAAGCAAAGGAATAAAATGACTACTCCATAAGCGCAGCAGCCCCAAGGGCTGCTGGTTTACTATTTTTATGATTATTTCTTCACAATATGCTAATCAAGGGGTGGATTATTCATGAGTTTCCCAGGAAAGGGGAGGGAAATTCCCAGAACAAACGGTTTCTCTTCTTTTTAGACCATATAGGGTAGCTTCTGGACATGCTATGGCATTTGTAAACTGTCATGGTGCTGGTGGGAGTGTCTTTTAGCATGCTAATGCATTATAATTAGTGTATAGTGAGCAGTGAGGATGACCAGAGGTCACCTTTGATGACATCTTGGTTTAGGCAGGTTTTTTTCAGCTTCTTTATTGCATCCTGTTTTATTAGCGGAGTCTTCGTGACTTGTATCTTGTGATACCAGTCCTGCTCACCTCCTATCTCATCCTGTGACTTAGAATGCCTAACCTCCTGGGAACCCAGCCCAGAGGCCTCAGCCTCATTTTACCCAGCCCCTATTCAAGATGGAGTCTCTCGGGTTTGAACACTAGTGCCATCATAATAGTTATTTTTAAAAGCTTATTAAAGTCACCTAATAGAGTGCCTGTTAAATATGGTGCTAATTCTTTACTTAGTTTTTTTCCCTTTAATGTGCCGGACTTTCTCTAAAGTTTTAATGAGGAACCAAAGAGAACAAAAGATGAATCTGAATACTTGAGAAAATTAAGATTCCTGGGGTGGGGTCGGGGTACACAAGAATGACAATAGCTAACACATAGGGACTTACTGTATACCTGACATTCTCCTAAACTGTTTTATATATCTACCCATTTCATCCTCAAACAATCCCAGGAGGTAGGTGCCATTATCATTTCTTGTTTATGCCTGGGGAAATGAGGCACAGAAAGATGAAATATCCTCCCAAGTTTTAGGGATAGGAAGCAGTGTAACTGAAATTTGAACCCAGGAAGAATGAGTCTTATGGCTGTGCTCTGAATCATGACACTAAGTTATCTTACTGTCAAAAGGACCCAAACCTCAGTATTTTAATCTTAATAGATGATTCCCTCAATCTAGTATACCAACATAAAAATAGACAAAATTGGAATAGGAGCCATTCCTTACCCCTAAAAATAGTACTGCTTTGATCTTTCTGTGCCAGGAAGAAATCACTGGCTAAGATCTTTGTGTTCCCAGCTCAGCAGTTTCTTTTTTAATCCTCTCCATTTTGGCAAGTAGACAAGGTCACAAAATACACAAGTGCCTTAATTTTATTTTTTTATTTTAAGGTAGACTTCTGACCAGAGTCAGTGACATTTGTAGCTTTTTAATTATACACACATGCCCCTTTCATCTTGCATAATGCTGAGCAATAAAATCAAATGTGCCTTCTTACCTCCAGGTGTCTATTTGGAGCATAAAGCATTTGTATTATGTGTTAATCAGAACATCCATATTTTGGTGGGGTAAATATGGACACAAAATGCAGGAGTTCACTTACTCTATTGTAATGAATTTTTAGTCCTGAAAAACCCACAAAGGGGTTAGAAAATGTTGGCTATTATGCTCTTTTAGGAAAATATATTGCCTAAGGATAGAGAAGTGCTGAGTATTGGGAAACCAAACTTGATTTAAAGGAAGCAAATAGCATGACATAAAGTAACATTAAAATAACTTATAAGAATTTGATCATGAGACATGGAAATCAAACAAGGAGGATAAGAAGAGCATTACTTGCAAATGAGTGCTTCTGGCAAAATTTAGAGATATGTCAACTTTAAGAAACAGACAAACAGAAATTATATTTTCACTTGGTGCTTAGACCAAAACAAGCAAACAGAGTTTAAGGAGCAGGTTTGCATGTCTTATTTCATAATCCAAATAGCCGAATCAATATAAAAATTTTGCTATCTCCTAATGTGCCTTCTGATATGGTTTGGCTCTGTGTCCCCACCCAAATCTCATGTTGAATTGTGATCTGGAGTGTTGGGCCTGGTGACTGTATCATGGGGGTGGTTTCTAATGGTTTAGTACCATCCCTCTAGTGCTGTCTTGTTACTGAATTCTTACAAGATCTGCTTGTTTGAAAAGTTTGTAGCATTTCCCCACCACCATCGACCTGTATCTCCCTCCTGCCACGATGTATTTGCTTCCCCTTTGCCCTTCTGCCATGCTTGTGAGTTTCCTATGGCCTCCCCAACCATGCCTCCTGTACAGCCTGTGGAACTGAGTCAATTAAACTTCTTTTCTTTATAAATTACCCAGTCTCAGGTAGTTCTTTATAGCAGTGTGAGAATGGACTAATACACCTTCCCTCCAAATTTTAGTACATTCTCTAATATGTCCTCAAAGGTTCTCTAAGAAATTATTTATCAGATAAGAAGTAACTTATTTTCATAAAATGTAGGAATCAGAGAATTTAGAGTATTTCATAATTTCAAATACCTAGATTCCAGGCTATTTTGAATACAAAGAGTTTATTTCAAGTCAGCAAATATTTAAGTAGCTGAATGAAAAACTATGTAAAATACTGTGTAAATTACTTGAGTTCATAGTATGTGCTCCACAAACATTGTTATTATTTTTCTTCAAGCTGAGTTTTATCTCCAAGTTAACTATTCAGGGTTACTTTTTGTTTTCTTCTTTTTTTACTTGAGCTCTATATTTTTGTCAAGTAGAAAATCTATTAATTTATGACTATATGAAACTATCTTAGATTCTGTGGTAGAAAACAAAGATTTAACTTAATACTTCTTCCAATAAATAAGTTCAAAGTCTAGTTGAGGACATAAGCTTAAAATAGGTTAAAAAAATACATATCAAGGCAGTATAAAGTCATTTCCAAGTGATTAATGAATAATATCTCTAGGAGTTGATAGGAAGGAAAATAAATGGGGTTATCATGATCAGTGAGAACTTTATGATAAGTTTATCATTAACTGAGTCACAAGGATAGGCAAAGTCTACGCAAAGAAAAATATTATTCAGTAATGTTACATAGGAAATATTTCATATAGCCATTGAATCTTAAATGTTATTTGAATGAATGGCTTGGATTTTTTTTATTCAATGAAGAAGAGGTAGGAAGGGATTTAGAATCAGATAGAATTTTTAAAGGTTTGGGGTCATTAACTATTATATTATGTCATCTTAAAAAAGGACTGGATATTCCTTCCTTGCAGACACTTGTTGCCTTTTACCATGATACATTGTTGAATGTTAACTTGATATATGGTTCTTTTCTCCATATGTGATGCTTTCATACCTCGCATAGAGCTAGGCAGGAAAATTGCTGTCAATGCCTTAATATTCTTGCTTCTCCATGGGGTAGACGGGGAAAGTTCCATGCACTAAGAGACTGTGCTTAGAATGGGACAGAGTTATCAAAGCACCACAAAACTCAAAGGAATACAGAAAAGAATTTATAAGATGGAAAAAATGTGATAACAGAAACTAAAAGAACAACAATCGCAATAATTATACTTATGTGACTTTCATCAAACATATAAAGATAAAACAGATAATTTTCAAGCTTTTGGACATAGCAGAATATTACATTTTGGCCATTTCTATAGACCATGTCAGAACTATTAAAAAGATTTATGTGATCTATATATTTGCTTCTTACTAATTAAATGTGAATTTAGTCAAAACAGTGAAATCATTAAACGTAAAAACATCTCTCTAAAATTCCCAATACAATCTTTAAAATGTTTTCAAATTAAAACTATAAGCCAAACATTTAGCTTACAGTTTACACTTAAATGGACACCTAGCTTACATTTAGGTATAGTAAATGTATTTTTGACTTAAATATTTAAGACATACCAAAAATCATAGCTTAGCCTAGTCTACCCCAAATGTGCTCAGAAAACTTATATTAGCCTACAACTGAGCAAAGTTTATCTTATAATTAAGTATTGAATATCTCATGTAACTTAATGAATACTGTAGTCAAACTGTGATTTAGGCAGAACTGCTCTGAGTAGTGTTTAGAGAGGAAACCGGAGTTCTATCAGATGAGTAGAATACAGACTAGACAGTATCTGTTATCCATACTGCATAACAAACCATTCCAACATTTAGTGGCTTAAAGCCACAACAATTCTATTATTTTTTATAATTCTTTATCCTGGACCAGATACAGTTTGTTAGTGGTTCTGCTGCTCATGGTGTATGCTAGGGGTAGAATGTCCCAGGGATATTTCGCACTCACATGTTTTGTGCCTCGTGTGTAACTCAAGCAGCTAGGGGTTTGCTGGTCATCTCTCTTTCTATGTTGCCTGTAACATGTTTATCTTGGGCTCTCTAAAAGAATAGTAATCTCAGGGTAATAAGATTTTTACATGACAACTACATTTCCAACAGGAGTTTTGCAGAAGGGCCAAAGCTGAAAGCTGTAAGTCTTTTACAGCTTGATGTTGGAAGTTAGAGTCACCTCCACCACGTTGTCTTGGTTAAAGGAAGCTCTAAGACCAGCTCACACTGAAGAGAGTGGAAAATAGATTGCACTTATTGATGGGGGCAGTGGTAACATAGTTGCAGTCATCTGCCACAGAAATCTAGGCTCTTTTTAGCTTATTATAGTTATGCATTACTTAAAGCTGGAAATGCCTTCTGAGAAAGGCATTGTTAGGGGGATTTCATCATTGTGCCAACATAAGAGAATTTATTTACTCATACCTAGATGGTATAGCCTACTATATGCCTAGGCTATATGACCTAACCTATTGTTCCTAGGCTACATACTTGTACAGCATATTACTGTACTGAATACTGTAGGGAATTCTAACACAGTGGCCAGCATCTGTGTATCTAAATATATCTATACATGGAAAAAATAATCCATCACCAACCAAAACATTGTTATGACACATGACTGTAGCTGTATAATTAGTATCCATTCCTAATGTAACCTCCTAGTATAAGATACCCATATTTGCACCTGACTAGAAGGTGAAATGAAAAGGGAACACCCTTTCCTCAAAGGGCACATTGAAAATTGCCCTAACCACTTCTGCTTTCGTCTTGTTAGCAGAACTTACTTGCATGATCGCATCGAGCTCTAAGGGAAGCTGAAAAACGTAGTATTCAGGCAGACATGTGCCCAGCTATCAAATCTGGGGCTATTTTTCTATTGAGGAAGGGTATAAGACATTTTTAGACAACTAGAAGTTTCTGCCACAAAACTTAGTAAGGTTGAAATTTTATATTTTTCTTAATGTCCACAGGTAGAGACTGTGTCTATTTTGTTGCTGCCTACTCTGTAGGATATTCTTCAGAAACTGCAGTATGGAATAGTGCCAGATGACTGTGGAAAGGAAGGCAGCTTTACTGAAGGGTATTTTCTTTCAAAGGCGAACCCAGTGAGAACCTGCTTTTTATAAACCTAGTTTCTGGATGGCAAGCTCCCATCCATCCTCTCTTAGGAGCTGTAGGCATTTTCCTAATTACATGGTATTCTTGGATAGATATAAGTACAGCCAATTGGTTCTCTGCATGCAAAGTTCATCTGAGCTACCAGGAAAATATTGCACCAATGTGTGTCTCTTCACAGTTTAACCATTATTTTAATAAATCTTGAAAACGTTTGCTTCCTATTCGATACTGACAATCCCTTTTCTTCACACACAAATGACTTGTTATAGGCATTTTATTTAGGGAGAACATGATGGTATCTGTCTGAATAAGAACAAAGTAATTTCCCTCAAAGCATTTGCCAAGTGCCTTGGGAACACATACTCCATCACTGGCCAATACACTCTTCAGTTCTCATTCCCTAAACTCATCCACATAGTATATGCATCTAAAAAAGGCAAAATAGTTCTGAATTCAGTTTTTTCAATAATTTAAAATGAAGATTAAAAGGGAAAAGGAACCCAGAGGTCACTAGCTAAATTTTATAAATTGATTCCTAATATTACCATGATACTCAACATTTTCTTTACATTTTACCTATATATTTAAAACACTCTCCTTTTTGCTAATTTCACAATAGTTTTGACAATTTACCTTAATCTTATTTTCCCAAGTTTTCTCACAATAGTGAACCTACACAGACCAACGGTTTAAGTGACTTTTTAGCATCCAAATGAATATTCTCTGCCCTGTGTTTTGCTTTTGAGGACCTGACTAGGTTTTTCTACCTCTGAGTTTTTTGTATTATGTTAATTCGGTTTAGTTTCCCAGAATCATCTTTTCTGCATGGTTCTGGGTTAGAGTTGTCCAAAAGAATTCACAATACATTTGAGGGAGGGCACTTAGGCAGCAGCTCTTATTCTTGGATGGTCACCAGGGTCACTTGCTGTAACAGGCAGATGCAGAGGTGCCAGTGGGTTCCTCTCCCACTCCCTTCTTCTATGTGTCTACCTTCTCAAACCCCACCCCAATTAACCAGCAGCAGCTCTAGGCCCTTTCAGAAGTTTGGCAATAGACCCATAAAGATGGTAGCTACGCAGAAACAAGGTTTTTCATAGGCCTTTCTACCTACTTTTTCTATGGTCTCTCAACTTTCTCCTGGACATTTACTTCCCAGCTCTTTCCAAAATTATATAGTAACTAATTCCCATTGGATATCCCTTGATCATTCTGACAGGGTTCAACCACAGGTTCAAGTGTTTAAGCTGAAAAAAACTAACTGTTGGTTCTTTAGGTGGTAGGGAGCCACACCAGCAACTGGACTGACTGATTCCTCCAGATGACAAAAATAAACATTTTGTAAAATTTAAGCTACTATTCATTTACTGGTGTCTGTTACTCACAGGTAATGGTCAAAAGTAATATGCAGGCTCTCTAAAACTGTTCCAAATAACAGAATTCCCTTAATGCCAAAATTATTCCTATCTTATCCTGGCTAATGTATAGAAAATCAATTTCATAGAATTAACTACAAGTTCTATATTCAAGAACAATATAACAGTATCTATTTCCTCACAACTGTATCCCTAACATATAACAATAAGAGATATATAGTCAAAGATGAATAAAACACTTATTGAATAATGAAATGAATCCTTTTTGAAAATACAGTCCTTTATGAGTACAACACGGATAATTTGAAAAAATATGGTAAATATTTTACACCTCTAGGTATTTAGTTGCCGAAAAAGGAATTCATTTTATGAATCACTTAAGTATTAATGTGCAAATTTTCAATTGTACTTCCATAGCCTAGAGATTAAGAATTAATTCAGATAATAAGTCCCACTGAAATTCCAAATTGGAAGTCATATTCCTTAAAGCCGTGTTCTCTACTCTGAAGTTTAGTCTTCTGAAGAGCAGGGGCCATCAGTTGTTGCAAGGAGTTCATAAATCCATGTAGGCATCAAACATTTTTAGAATATTTAAATGTCTAGTATAACATGAATTGCTAATTTTAAAAAGCATGTGAATGTTACATGTGAATTAAACAGATTCACATATATTTAAGATTTACTAATACTGCCTTTTTACTATATTCTCAATCATTATCTACTAAAATCACAAGTACTGTCATTTCTCTTTACAAATCATTACAGAAAAACTTCTAATCAACTTAGTCATACTCTCTCAAAATGGTAAAAGTGTATGTGTGTGTGTATTCTCATATATGTAAATACATATATGAGGTTCTATATCAGTACTGGGAAACTGGCAAGGACATCATCTGCCAACCAAAAATTTCAAACAAGACTTATAAAAATATAGTTCAGATAAGACCAAATTAAGAAAAGGAAATTGTCTAGGAGTCATTAAATGCGGTAGTGGGGAAAACACTCGGATAATAGGTGGGTGGATCATGTGTTAGAAATCCACCAAGATTTCTAGTGGTGGCAAGGTGGAGGTAATAAAATGGCTATTGTTAGTGGGCAAATTTCAACCATATAAATAAATGGCAAAACCTTCAACACAGTGGAGCAAGAATATGTTATGATTCTCCTAATATGATATAATGTGAAATGTATTGGATCATCTGACGAGTATTTTTCTCAGATACATTAATCTTGAATCGCCTTTGGCTTTTAGCTCCAGCTTGAGATTAAAAACAAAAAGAACATCTTAAATCTCAACACGAGGAAACAGGAGAAAAACAATTCATAAAGTGGTATATTCTGTAACGGTAGACTGGATATTTTCAACAAATCAATTGCATGAGAAAAAGTGGACATGATAAGCCTTATATACATTAAAAATTACTCATGTGACGTAACTAAACAACAGTAGGTAGATCTTATTTGGATCCTGATTTAAAAAAAATTGCTGGTACTGTGGGTACATAACAACATACCTTTAATTTTTAGAGACGAGTCACTTATGGATGATATCTCTGTGGCAGGCAGAATAATGGCCCTCCAAAGTTGTCTGTATCCTAAAAGTCCCTTTCTCAACTGTGAATATGTTGCGCTACAATGAAAAAGGATAATTAAGGCTACATGTGAAATTAAGGTTGCTAATAAGGTCACTTTAAAATAAAAAGATTATTCTGGGTTATTTGGGTGGGCCCAATGTAATCACAAGGTCCTTTAAATGTAAAAGAGGTAAACATGCAGTGTCAGGGTGATATTATATAGCCCTGTCAACACCCTGATTTTATCTGTGGGAGACTCATTTTGGACTTCTGACCTCCAGAATTATAAGGTAATAAATCTTTGCTAGTTTAAGCCTCTAAATTTGTGGTAATATTTCACACCAGCAATGAAAAACTAGTACTCCGAGATTTGAATTAAACATTTTAGTATAATAATTTTAAAAATTTAAATAAAGCAAGCATAAGTAACTATTTACTGCAGGAGGCCAGTTTTAGTCTTTGTATTTTTAGGTATGTTTGAAAAATATACAACTTCTATTTAAAGTTATCATTTAAATATATTATAAAATTTAGAAAACTAAATAATATGAAGTGTCGGTGAGCTGTGAGAATATAAAAACCCTCATCCATTTCTCATGGAAAGTAGGCCATGGTAGGCAGTCAGGAGATACACAAACAGACTATGCAACTGAAATTTGATTCTGGATATATACTGCAAAGAAAATCTCACACAGCTCCTTTCAAGGGTATGAATGATTATGGTTACTGAGGTACTTTTTATGATTGGGCTCAGTGGGTTGGTAGTCCATAATTAGCAGAATAAATAAGGTTGATTCATATAGAGGAAAACAGCAGTTAGGTACAACAACACAAGATGAGATAACACAATATTATTTACATAAAAGTATACACTCATCAACGATATGCTTTTTAAGGAAATCATGACTTATCTGGAAGCACAGAAAAATAAACAGAAAATTCAGGGTAAACTCATTAGGGATCTGTAATTGCCCAACAGATTTTTCCTGCCTGGTGCACAGATAAAACCAATTCACTGAGACCATACTATTGCAGTAGAGAAAGAGTTTAATTAATGCAAGGCTGACCAAGTGTAAGCATAAGACTTGGTTATTGTTCAAATCTACCTCCCCGAGAACTCAGAGGCTAAAGTTTTAATAATTTAGTGAGCAGAGACCTAGAGAATGGGTACTGCTCATTGGTTTAGTATGAACTCACAGAGGTGTGAGAAAAGGTCCTCTTGTGCTTAGTCCACCTCTGGGTGGGGTGGCCACAGGACCAGTTGAGTCATGAGTCATGGGTCTAGGTGGGGTCAATTACCAGAAAGCAAAAGTATGAAAAACAAATTAAAATGTCAATATTAGGTTCTACAATAGTGATTTTTTATATAGGAGCAATTGGTGAAGTCACAAATCTTGTGACCTCAGGCCACATGACTCATGGCTAGTAAGGGATTATAGAAACTATGCCTACATCTTAGCAGAATTTAGCCCTCTCCATAATCCTAATTATGTGGTTTTAATTAGTTTTACAAAGGTGATGTCAGTCCCTCAAGGAGGGGGTTAGTTTTAGGAAGAGACTGTTGTCATCCTTGCTTCAAAGTTACTCTATAAATTCCTCCTATGGTTAGCTTGGCCTATACTCAGGAATGAGCAAGGATAGACAACCTGTGAGGATAGAAGTAAAAAAGAATCAGCCACACTATACTTCTCACTGTCATAATCTTTGCAAATTTGTTTCACGACCACAGAAAAATAAAAGGGATAACAATATTAATTTTTAAGTAGGTACATCTCAATTTCAGAGACTTAAATGAGAATAACTCCCTTCATTTATAAATGGTAGTAGAGCTTTAGCCCCTGAATAGTCTTCTGACATCAAGTCTTGCCTGTCTTCTCCAAACCATCCTGCACATTGCAAACGGATTTATTTGAAATAGGGGGAAAAATGGATCATATTGTTTCTTAAAACTGTTCACTTGTTCTTGGGAAACAATCCAGAATCCTTAGCCTGTCTTCCAGGCAGAGAATTAGCCTTGTGTGCTGTCATTCTCTCCTTTCTCTCTCCACTCCAACCCTCTTTACTTGCTTTCATTTCTGAAGTTTCATGCTCCTCCTCGCTCAAGGCCTTCACACTTTTGCTTTTCCTTGGTCTGTAATTCTCATTCTGCCACCATCTTTTCCTCAACACACAAGTCCTAGGAAACCGTAGATTACATAGCACCTAACACAAAAACAAAAAGGAAAAAATGTTCTGACTTTTCAGGTAAATTCCATTATTGCACATCTAAAGTACCCTATGTCTCCTTTACAGCCCTTACATGAATTGAAATAAAACTATATAGTATATAAAGAGTTTGTTTCACTTTCTTTTGGTTTCCATAAAATACTTCCCATCATGAGCACTTCATAATAGCAGGTATTCTGTATTTAAGGGGTACAGATTAGGTGCTCCTGAAATATTTGCTGAGTGAATTTTAAAAATCATTTATGTATCTAAACCTCTATTAAAATGAGTTTAGTCAGAAGTGTTAAGACAGCACCTTCCACTTTTGACAGATGAATTATGCAAAAAATAAGAATAAAAGTATTTGGTAATCATATATAATGAATATGAATTTATTTTAAGATTTCTAAATGACATATATTGAAACTCTGTACATGGCTAAAAATGTACATTCTTTTTAAAATTTCTCATTGGTTTTCAAAAAAGGATTATATATCATTTTTACAGGGTTAGAAATTATATACACCATGTTTTCTGAGTTCAGGGCAACATATGCAAGATTAAAAACAACAGAAGAAAAGGCAAAAAAAAAAAAAAACCATCTGAAAAACCCAGAAAGATGGAAAGCTCTTCTAAATATCTCATGGGTCAAAGAAGAGGTGATTATGGTAATTCTAGTCTATTTAGAAAATTACAAGTATGAGTTCCAAGAAAGATACAAGAAAAAGAGCACATTGGCATATTTCAATATACTGAAATTAGCAAAATTGAACACAAGTAAAAATTTGAAGGGAGGATACCTTTATTAACTAGAAAACAGAAAATTACTAAAATTCCAAACTGTCATCCTGTTGTAATATAATTTGCACCAAATAAACAGAGGTCATGAGAAACTTACGTAGAGCAGGTATGCAAAAACTTGTTCTGGAAAAGATTAGGTTTTACAGGCCATATATGCTTTTTATGGCAGCAACTAAATGCTGCTGTTACAGTGCTAAAGCAGCCAGACAATAAGTAAATACATAGGTGGGGCTTGGTTCTAATAAAGCTTTTCTTTCCTTTTTTTTTTTTTTTCAGGCAAGTTCTTGTTCTGTCACCCAGACTGGATAAATTGGCTCAATCTCTCAATCTTGGCCCACTAGAACCTTCAGCTTCCAGGTTCAAACAATTCTTGTGCTTCAGGCTCCCAAGTAACTGGGATTACAGGCATGCGCCATCGTGCTCAGCCTAATAAAGCTTTATTTATGGACACTAAAATTTAAATTTTTTTTTCACATCCAATATTCTTATTTTACCTTTTTCAACCATTTAAAAGTATAAAAATAATTCAAAGCTCTCCAACTCTACAGAAACAAGTAGAGGAAAAGGGGCTGTAGCTTGCCAATACCTGACAAACTTTCCCTCTATCAAATATAAACAGTAAAGGTGACAATTGGGGTCTGGGAGCAATGCGTAAAACAGGAACTATTCTGCAATTAAATTCCACAAGCAGTTGAATTTAGGTGTTCCTATACTTACATGTGTGTTGTCTGACCGACAACACAGCATAAATACAATCTATTCTTTTTTTTTTTTTTCCTCTTTTCTTTGGACCAACATTTTTAACTGGAAGGAGTAAGTCCTGAAGATGGCAGTGGGCTGCAAGTAAAATACGACATACTGTATTTCATTGATTTTTGTAAGATTCACATTGTTTCAAATATCAAACATAAAATGGATTTTTATCTTATTGATGTCTTAAAATCTTTGTTAGCCAATCAGGAGCCATAAAATTGTTTTCATTGCCTTCATGTTCACAGACTTGATAATTGCTATTTTTTTCTTCATTGCAATTGTTCTGTGTGCTGCATTGTTACTATATATATATTGAGTTTAATTGCTTTTTAAAATGGCATCAGAAAGATTACACTGAGTCATTTTTTAAATGAAATGTTTGATTATGCAGGAGGGTTCAGAAACAAAGCAGCCATATTTATGATTAAATTTCCAAATTTTTTGTGTTCATAATCATACATGAATTAGTGATGAGTCTTATAATCAATTAAGTGGCAAAATTAATGAAATATAATAATTAACCTACAGGTAACCTTAAGGTGGCTTTCTAATGTCAACTTAGGGAAAATAAAACTTGCAATATATACATGAATGTGTAGATCATTATCTTTTCTCTTCTCCTGAAGATCATTTAATAGCCACAATTTTTGAAACTTGTTTCCAACTGTTGGTTCTGGAAATCCTTCTCTCATCTATATGTATAAAAATTTGTTTTAGCTTATACTATTTATATTTAAGTTCACATAAAGATACCAAAATACAGATTACACATAATACAGAGACAAAAACTGGAAAACCCACTGTTGGGTTCTATAGTAGTCTAGAGTCCTTTCTCTTTTCTTTTTATTTTTTTAGAAATTGTGAATTTTTTTGTTTCTTACATTCTATATTATTTTATCAATTTTTTAAAGTTTCTGAGAATTAATAATTGTTCATACTTACCAGTTTATTTTTTTCTCATTCATTGTGTTTGAAATGCTTGTTCCCCAGTGCCATAAAGAAATAGCACTTGAACATAAATTTAATTTAGTAAGGCAATTTTTACCTCCTGCAGAAAGGGTACACTCGCCAGCAGTTTTGCCACGAGAGTACACTGAACAAAGGAGACAGGGTCATTTAAAACCTGACGCGTCCACCCTACTGCTGTGTCCGGTTTCCATTGGCTGGAACGGAACCTCACATTCTGTATTTGTCTAGCAACTTAGAACCTTTTAAAAGAGGCAAAGGTAGATGAGAACAAAGGAAGGAGGAAGTAACTTGTGGAATGCTGAGAAAGGTAAACCCACTTTTAAATAAGGAAGAGGAACAGGCTATGACCTAAAGCTTGCTTGGACCAGTATAAGCATGCCAGGGCAAATATTTAGGCTAAGGTGGGAGCTAAGAACATAAAGTACATTGATTTCTTTATCACGGCTAGCAGATATTTAAGAATGTTAGCACAGGTGTTTGAATAAATTTTGCTTCTATGAGAAGTTACTATTTATTCCTAATTAGACGGGGAGGAAAGTCTTTGAAGAGGAACCTCTACTTTCCTTTTTTTACAATTGACTTGTTTTACCTTTATCAAATTCTTACCTTCTCCCATCAATAAAATCAATCACCTTATAAAGCGTGTCGTCAATCAAGCTTCTGATGGAAATATCTTCTGATGTTTGTATCCGAGACATCTCCCCTAGGTTCCTCTTGACTCGTTTACTTGTTCACTTTGGAAACAGCCAGACAACAATCCCTAATTGTCTTATCTAGTTCAGAGTCAGGTATTGTTGTAGTAAATTTCCTTGTGTAAGCATATTCCTAATTAGATAATTAGGAATTCAATAAATGAGTTATATAAATTGTGGATATAAAAATTGTCACTGGATCAGGAAATCTTAGAAAGTATAATAGGATGAATATATTAAAATAGAAAAAACTCAAAAAGATGAGAAAATGAAGACATCTAAGTAAATGTGTTGCAAAGAAAAGGGACTGCTCTTGAAGTGGAAAACAATGAGACAATTTATGCAGATGTTCTCTATTCATTTGTTTGAAGAATGTCAGATAGCTGCATGTGAAGAACTTGTGAATGTCTGTAGTTATATCTGAGTAAACTATTTAAAGAAATGTAATACTGTCTACCTGACCAATAAGAACAAATGGAGTTTAAAACAAACGTTTATTTACATGAACAACAAAGAGACAAGCGTTTCTACTATAATGGAGACTGTGACTGTGTTGCCGAACCATCACACACACGTGAAGGCTGTTGAAGGAATAGACTGATTACGGAGAGCTGGGTGAGCTCAATCTAGGTGGGGGAAATAACATGATTTTAATATAAGGGACAGTCAAAAGTTACTGTTTTCTTTTTTTCTCTTCTTATAAAGTTTTGCCTCACACTTCTGTGCATCTCAATATTGCACCCCCAATTTATTTTATCAGAATGTTTGGAGATGTTATTGCAATAGTTAATATGATGTCGGCTGTGTTGCTTTAACTGGATTGGGGCAAGTTACTTTGTCCCTCTGGGCCTTTGCATATTTAATTGTAAAATGAGTGATGCTGCCCAGGAAAAATCTCTAATGGCTAGTGTTACACAATCATGCTTGTGAATTTACCCTGGATGCATTTGGAAATACCTAGTAACACGGGGTGGGGGAGGGAGGTTGGGGAAGAAGTCAACAAAATAAAACTAAGAATTTAAAAGATTAATAACATGCAGATTTGGGGAAGTTATGGGAAAACAGGTTCTGTGCTGTTGGCCAAAAAGAAGAAGAAAAAAAATCAACCTAGCATCTGTACTGTTTTTTAAATGGGAACCAATAGGTTAAGTCAAGGTACAACTGTCTTGGACAGACACCATACCATTTTTCTACTTCTCTCAAGAAATGAAGTTTCCTCTCAGGCTCCCATTCAAGGGGGAGATAAAAACAAAACTCCAAATCATTTTTATAATTTTTATAAAAATTTTATAATTTTTATAAAATCATTTCTATTATTTTTTAATATAAGTTGTGAAGGTCCTGCCCTCAAAAATCAGTTTTACCCTTAGGGGTTTGAATCTTAGTTTAGGTGCAAGCATATAAATTAATTGGAAGTAATAGGACTTGAAATGACACTAGATGCAGGGAAGAGCATCTGAGTGGGGTCAAGGGATGGAGGAAATAGATTTCAAGAATCCTAATAAGGCACGAGCTACATGGGAGGCAGAAGACATGGTATGATGATTTTGCTATGCCTCTCTAATCTGGTATAAAACCTTAAAATTTTCAATGCTTACTACTCTTTTCTGTTGAAATGAGGAAATACCTGATCTGCCTAACACATGAGATTGTCGCAAAGATTGGATTCTAAGTGTTGAAGGTGCTTTATAACCACAAAGCATTGCACAAATGTGACCAATCAATATCTTACTATCATTTACATTCAAGACTCAGGCTTCCACAACTCAGTACGGATTTCTGAGAATATATTGACTTTCCTGTTCTAATAGCTCACAAGAAACGCAGAAACCAAGTATAACATATTTTCCCTTCCTTTAAGAAATTTTCACACTACTTGAGAAGTCAGTACATACTATCATAAAACGGATAGTATTCTGAAACAAGTTTGAGTAAGAAGGTGAGTGTAAGCCTAAGATCCACAGTTGTTCACTAAGTGATTAGAAAAATAGTAAATTATACTACATATCCCTGTGTTCCACAGGAAGCTTAAACTTTACAGCTAAACTCATATTTACAAGGATTCTTGTTTTCTTTTTTTGAGACAGAATTTCGCTCTTGTTGCCCAGGCTGGAGCGCAAAGTTGCGATCTTGGCTCACTGCAACTTCTGCCTCCTGGATTCAACCGATTCTCCTACCTCAGCCTTCCAAGTAGCTGGGATTACAGGTGTGCACCACCATGCCTGGCTAATTTTGTATTTTTAGTAGAGATGGGGTTTCACCATGTTAGTCAGGCTGATCTCAAACTCCTGACCTCAAGTGATCCACCTGCCTTGGCCTCCCAAAGTGCTGGGATTACAGGTGTGAGCCACTGCACCTGGACTTTGCAAGGATTCTTATCCCCAAAAAACAAAATGCAGGATTCCATAGTATAATCTCCCTTGGTAAATGTTAACAGCATTAACAAGTCAGGCAGAAACCTTACAAAAACTTATATATGATCAGTCACCCACTTTTTTTAAGTCCATATCCTTTATCATTCTTTTTATGTTTAGGCCTTTATAAATTTTAACCTAAAGCAGTATAAAAAAATCCCAGTTATGGACTGTTATTTGTGTCTTCCCAAACATGCACATGTTGAGTCTCTAGCCCCCAATGTGATGGTATAAGGAGGTAAAACTTTTGGAAGGTAATTAGGTTTAGATGAGGTCATGAGGGTGGGGCTCATGATGGGGTCTTATAAGAAGAAGAAGAGACACAAGATCTTCCTTTTTCAGCCATGTGAGGACACAGTGAAAATGTAGTCATCTGAAACCCAGGAAGAGGACCCTCACCAAGAACCAAATCATTGGGCACCTTGATCTTAGACTTCCCATCCTCCAGATTTTGAAAAGTAGCCTGTTTCAGTCACCTAGTCTATGGTATTTTGTTAGAGCAGCTTGAGCAGGCTGATACAATTACTATAGAGTTTTCTCACCTGAATTTTTTTTTCATTTTGTTTTACTGCTTTAAACATTTCAGCTATTCCTCATACTTTCAGGATAAAAGTAACCCCCTAAAACTAAAACATAAGTCTCTTCCTCAACTGACCCTGGACGCCTTGTGCAGTCTCATCTCTAACTGTTCAGCTCAAATGTTTTTTGCCGTAGCCATCATTCAAAACCACATAGGGTCGCACATTCACTATTTTGAGTGTCCATCTTTGTGATATGTCCTTCCCTATTTCTGCCTTTCATGGCCCAAAATCTGTCCTTTGGTATTAAATTCAAAATCATCAGCATCAATCCCGTTCTTACCAACAGATTTTTAAAAAATTTAAATCAAAATGAGTTTATTTCAACCACTGCTCTCTGCCAGACACTATGTATGCATTGCTGATATAAGACTAAATAAAGCAGGCATAGATACTTACCTTCATTGAACGTAAAATGTATCTGACCTTCCACTTTATTCTAGTAACAATACATTATCTCAACTTTCATACTTCCTGCAAGTTTATCCCTTACACCGGTATAGCAGTCATAATGTTTTATTTGCCTTTTTCTCATATCTGATACCTAATAAAAGTATCAGTGAAGCTTTTATTAAATAGGTTTTATGATTTTTGTGGATGAAATTGTTAGGAAAGTCTATATGAAATATATTGAATTTGAGTTTTCCTGAAATAGTTAATTTGGATTGTAGACAAAAGGAAGACACTGCAGAATGGGGGCATAGCATTAAAAGCCAAAGAAGAAAGTTTTAACTCAGCTTCTGGGGCACAGAGTAAAGTGTCCAATCTGACTAGGAACAAGAGGACTGGGACATGTGTTTAATGAGTTGATTCAGAACAAAAGATTTGAAATAAAATGTTCTAAAATTGATGGTAGCAATGGTTACAGATACCGCATATTCTCAAAACTTAATATAGATCCATGATCTTCTTTCTTAGTGCATCATTCTCAATTTTCTCCTCATTTCTAACCAAACACAAATTATAAATATTTGTGGTTGACCAAAGCCCTGTAAACGTTAAGATAGCATAGGTTTAAAAGCCAAGTTTGAATTCAAACCCTACCCTTTACTAGATGAATAAACGCCTCCTCCTCGAAGTTGAGTTTCCCTCATCTTTGAAATGTAGGTAATGGCAATCTGAAGGGCTTATGGTAATATTAAATAATGCAGATACAAAATATATAGAACATGCCCCAGAAATGTGTTCCTTTTTTGCTCGTTTCAATTACCTCATTTACATAAATGAAATAGTTAATATTTTGATCTGTTCTGAAGCACTCAGCTGACTAACCTGATAGGCCAATAACAGCTTGATGAATGCAGGGCATCCTTGTTGTGTTCATCATTCAGGAGTCCACAGTAGATCTCGCTAATCAATCGTTTCACTCCTTCCTGCTGAGAGCAGATACAGCCTTAGTTAGAATGTAGCCCAAGTTGGCATGTGAGTTAAAACATATTTGCAATCCTTAATTAGGTTCCCAAGAGAAAGGGTTAAATTCATAGTAATAGCAGCAAAGATATGCTATTTATATATGCAATAGCTTCTGGAGACAAGGCATTTTCCTTTACTTCGTAATGCATATTGGATCTTATTTTAGCCCACACCAGTTAGGAGTTAAAAGTCTAATAACAAAAGGAGCACACGGGAACAGGATGAGATAGTAGAACATATATAGGTGGTCTCTTATGATGGTTCAAATTAAGATTTTTAGACTTCATTAAGGTGCAAAACCATCACAATTTTGGCATAACATACAGTTTTCAATAACTACATGAGATATCCAATATTTTATTATAAAACAAGCTTTGTGTTGAATGATTTTGTACAACTGTAGGCTAATATGTTTTGAGCATGTTTTTTAAGGTAGGCTGAACAATATTTGGTAGGTTAGGTGTATTAAATGCATTTTCATCTTACCATATTTTCAACTTACAATGGGTTTGTCAGGATGTAACCCCACTGAAAGTTGAGGAGCATATATATATATGTATGTGTGTGTATGTGTGTGTGTGTATGTATATACTTATATGTATGCATAAGCACCTACTAATTGTAGGCTAAATGTAATTTTTGCTAAGATGACCAAATAGAATAAAATACAACCTGATTGTCTTTAATTTCTAGGTAAATTAAATATGAAAGTTTAATGTAAATCTCAATCAAATTGTAAGGACTAACAAAATATAGACCTTGAGTTATATAGGCCCAGTATGCTTATAACATTTGGATATATGTTTAAAAGATGATGCCAATATTCTAAGATATAATAATTGCATGAGCAACTGATAATCCTATTTAGGATAAAGAAGATTCTACCATGGACTGGGGCTCGGAGGAAATGATAGAGTTACCAAAGCCCGAGATATATATCCAGAGATACATATTTGCAGTACAACATAAAGATATTGCAGACAAGTTATGATTTATCTCCATTTAAATGGTGAATATAAAATCCTGTTTATGTGATTTATGGAGTCTCAGAAATGCACATTTCCTTTTGGAGCACTAACAAATGACTGAGCACTCTGGTCAAGAGAACCATTAATTTAGGAAGAGGATACACTTGATCTTGCACTTAATCGAGAAATACATTTCCCTAGATTAAGAAAAGAATCCCAGAGAATTAGGAATGCAAGGTTGTCTCCCATGCAGAAAGGTCAGAGCAAACCCAAGGCACTTTATAAAAATGGCAAGCTTGGCAGAACAGTATGCAATGCCTACCGTTTCCACAGCAGTGTTCAGGATGGCCAGGGGGAAGAGAGAAAAAGGATCTACCATGTTAATCTCTTGCTTAAAAGTCTCCAGTGATAACTTTTTTCTAAAGCAGAGGTTTTCAAACTTTTTCAAGCATCTGAAGCAGAATTTCTCAACCTTGGTGCTATACATATTTGGGCCCAGATAATGGTTTATCAGGGCCTGTACTGTATATTAGGGAGAGTTAGCAGCATCATTGGTGTCCACCCACTAAATGTCAGCAGCATTTCCACCCCTAGTCGCACAGTGACTCCAGGACTTTTCCTTGGGAAGGCAAAATTATTCCCAGTGGAAAACTGCTGAACTAAGACTCGTTCATATCCTCTCGACCTCAAAAGCATATCAATTATATAGCAGAAAAAAAAGCAGAGTAGATTTCAAATCACTGTCACATATGGACTCCTTTTACTACCTATGTGCCCTAAGAAAGATATATCCCCTTCTCTTTTCTCATTCAACATGTCTATTACAATTCAGCTCAGATCCCAGTTCCTCTCAAAGCTGTCCCTGATGATGCCAGTTTCAATTAGCTGTCTGCTTTTTTTTTCTCACTCATATATCTTTACTGTTCATAGAACTTATCATACTGCACTGCAATTTTTTGTTAACTTGCCTGCCTTATTTTTTAGGCAGAGAGCTCCTTAAGGTCAAGGAACCTCTTACCCAATTGTTTATGCATAAAGACTTATGTAAGTGTTGTGGATAGACTGACTGAAAAAATTACTGAGAAAATGAATTAATGGGAGATTCATCTCTCTTATGTAATGTGTAACTTAAAGAAATTGGAAATGTATATATATGTGTGGAATATAGTGGCAAAATAAGTAAAATATTCAGAGGAAAAATGAGTTAAAGACCCCAGGTGGGAGAAACTAAATAAAATTTCGACTGATGTATACTTAAGGAATGCACAGAGAATATAATCACCATCTTCTTTTTCTCCTTTTGTGGCTGGGATTATACAAATATGAGCTCTATGTATAGTAGAAAATGCTGAATCTGTATAAAGTCATTATGTGGACAAAACTTAAGAATGGAAACTATTAGAGTTGAAATAAGCTTCCACAAATTTCTGACCCAACGTCTTCATAAGAATTTCCTTTATCAATGTACTTATTATTTTACCAGCCTAGAAATCTCCTGTTGTGAGGATTTTATGTCTATGTTACAAATGATGATCATTTAGTTTCCTTAAGATATTGTGGGAAGGCCATACAAAATTTTCTTTTTATTATGTTAAATATTTCTAGCACCTTCAATATTCTTCTTGTGGCCTGGTTTCTGAGCTCATCAAGGTATATTCAAATGAGCAAATACTGGAAGTAAACTGTTGTGGTTGTCAATTTCCAGTTTAGGTATTAGTTGTACAAACTACTAAGTGCCATTTCGAACGTCCAATATTCTCCCTCCTTATCCATAAAGTTAAAATAGTTGTGATTTACACTCAGATTTTTATAAGAAATATTAGAAATAATGTAAACTTTCAAAGTGACACTTAGCAGGTGCTTAATAAATGTTAATTTCCATGCTTCCTCTTCATTCTGTGCTCCTCCTCCTCATGCATTCTCATTTGATCTGTTATGACAAATTATCCTTCAGAATTGTCCTCACCATCCCCTCATACTGAGATGCTCAGAGAACCTCTTCTTTTACTAAGTACTGCTATTACTACAATAATAATTAAAAATAATGGAGACCTTAAGGTGCTTCCTATAAGTCTGGCTTTTGAGGAAATACTCTAAGGTCTCCTTGCCACCCTCTCTCTTTCAAAGCATGCTTATTTTACTATGTTATGATATTAGGAAAGGGATTCACTTTGTTACAGGCATAAGCCCACACCTGGACATACAGGGGAACTAAAGCTGAGTGTAATCAGGTGGGTGAGAGAGTAGGGGACCGCCACAATAACAAACTCAGGATTCAACATGAGGTGCTTTATCCAGTAGGGTACAAAGGAGTGGGAAGAGTGAAAAGAAAGAAAAGACAGAACTCTAAACAACTGGACTGTGACACAGTGAGAGTAAAATTATGACTTCTAAACACAACCTGCTGGAGAACCAGAACTTATACATACTTACCAGCTATGCTGCCTTGGCTTTAGAGGTTCAAATGGTAAAATTTCACAGTTAGAAATTCAGAATTTAGATACTGAACTGTGTATAGCAGAAACTCTAATAACAAATTTATGGAGCACTATGTAAACAGCTATAGTAATACCTGGATATAAAAATGAATAACCTATATAAAAAAATTAAAAGGCCACATGTAGTTTCCTTAGAATTCACTATGCTTGCTGAGCAAGTAGTAGGCAGATATATATGCTAGGAAAATGTTCTTTTTAACCTTGTAAATTTTTTAACTCTGGAAAAATGTAAAAGCTAAATTAGTTATGTATTGCTATATAACTAATTATGCCAAAATGTAGTAGCTTATACTGGAAACATTTACTATTTCAGTTTCTCTCTGGCTTGGAGTGTCTCATATAATTTCCCATAAGCTGTCCACTGGACTCCAGTCATGTAAGACTTAACTGATGGAGGGCCTGCTTTCTGATGGGTTACTCACTTGCCTCTTAGCTGGAGGTCCCAATTCCTTGTTCTACGGACCTTTCCTCAGAGCAGCCTGTGTTTTCAAAACTGGGAAGCTGTGTTTGCTGACATAAGTGACCCAAGAGAAAAACAGTCACCAAGACAGATGCCATAGAACTTTTTTATAGCCTAGTCTGGGAAGTCACAGTCTGTTACATATGCTTCATTCTATTCATTAGAAACAAGTCAGTCAGTCCACACTCAAGAAGGGTAAACATCCCTATCTATCACAATATACATGATCTAAAATACAGAGTAAGAGAAGAAGAAAGGGAAGAGGAGACTGAATTTTATAATAGCAAAAACATCTAAGAATAGTTCATTCACTGTGCACGTGGTGGGAGTCAGAATCACATTCACATGCTGAAACTGAGATTGGTGGTAGAAGCTATAGGTTACTATTTTTTTTCCTTTAAAAAGAAAAGTTTAGACACGTTTAGCAAGGTTTATCTGAGGGAAGAATGATTCATAAATTGAGCAGCACCCTGAAACGGTAAAGGTTCAAGTGGCTCCATACAGCAACGTGAGCAGACACTATTTATAGACAGAAAAAGGAAGTGATAATACAAAAACAGCTTGATTGGTTACAGCTCAGCATTTCCTTATGTGGGTGTGATGTGGTGAGGCATTGCCTTATATAGACATATTCTATCAATTGAAAGTCTGTGATTGGCTGAAACTCAATTGACATGATTGGCTGAGACTTGGCTGTCTTCTACAAGAATATAGTCTTAAGTTAGGTTTCAGTCTGCAAAATATGGAAGCAGCTCTTGCCCAAATTTGATTTAACACTATCAAACTTTTGGCACCCTTTTGATAAGATCTTGGACAATCACGTTTTTTCACATTTTTTTGTTTGTTTTTCTGTAAAATCCTCAGTTTCCTCATCTATAAACCAAGATAGAATACAGTGATATTTTTTTCCAGCTCCAATATTTTCAGAGTTGAGCTGCAAGAAGGGGATGAAAGATTTAAGGTAAGTGCACCTAGATCATGACATTTTAATTTGTTTTTTGTTTTTGAGATGGAGTCTTGCTCTGTCGCCCAGGTTGGGGTGCAGTGGCATGATCTCGGCTCACTGCAACCTCCACCTCCCTGGTTCAAGCAATTCCCCTGCCTCAGCCTCCTGAGTAGCTGGGATTACAGGTGTTTGCCACCACGCCCAGCTAATTTTTTTGTATTTTTAGTAGAGATGGAGTTTCACCATGTTGGCCAGACTGGTCTTGAAACACTGACCTCAGGCAATCTGCCCGCCTCGGCCTCCCAAAGTGCAGGGATTATAGGCGTAAGCCACCGTGCCCAGACAACAATTTCTTAAAAAAAAAAAGACAATTGGTAATCGGCATTTGACCTTTGAGTGATGTATTGCTGGGCATAAATATGTATATGTTGCAGAACAAACTATACCCAAAAATGTTCGACTCAAATAATTCTCTCACATGGTTCTATGGATTAGAGAACTCAGATGAGGTTATTTGATTGGAGTCAGATCTGAAGGTTTGCCTACACAGCACATAGGAGAAGCTTGACTCACAGTTGACGTTTACTGTCACTGGCTGGAGTTCAGGGCAGGCAACAAGACACTCACATGTTCTCTCTAAGTGACCAGGAGTTCTCACATATTGCTGCTGGATTTTCAAAACCCAGGAAACAGAAGATTCTAGGCCAGTTTAGGGCTATACATAGGATTTTCAAAGTCTCACTTTCTCTTTATTCTACTGGCCACTTAGATTCTATGGAGTGAAGTTACAAACCTCACCTCTCAATGAGACAGCTGTAAGGTCACATTACAGAAGGAAAAGAAAGAAGAGAGATGTTTCTGCAGATATCTTTGGAAAATACCATAGACCACAATATAATTAAGAGACAGATATAAGGACCCTTTTTTCACAGATTCTGAAAATATTTGCATTACAAATAGGAGTCAGTTGTGAATCTTAATGTTGTCTATAATTAATCATTGATTACTGCTGGTGCATGGTCAGGACAGGTGATTTAGCATCTCTTAGTTTGCAAATTTATGAGTTAAAATATAGCCAACACAATTAGGTTATCAATGTGGTCCACTAAAAGAATTTGGGGTTCATATAACCCTTTGAGAAATTTTCTTGTGAATGTATGTATGTGTTTGTGTGTCTGTGAACATAATCTATCTACTTTCCAAGTACTTAAGTAATTGTCACACAGATTTAGCAAAATTACTAGTGAACAACTTGACTTTTGTTTTCTTGAAATTTAAATCAACAGTCAAAATTATAAATCCATAGATAGCAAAGATATCTTATAGTATGTTTCTATAGAAAGTTAATTAGGCTTCAAGTTTTTATAATTTTCCCTTATGTCTTGGCTATTTAACAAGCATATTTATAGCTCTACATTTGCTATGACAAATTCAAATCAACTTTGCCATTTTACTTTAGCTAAGTTTAAAAACTCACTCTGCATTATTAGTTTCCAAAACGTATAAAAAATTGTGATGGCTTTGTCAAAAGTGAGGTTGTAGCTTCTAGAAGAAAACTAAATTTATAAGACCATGAAAAGTAGAAAATCTGTAATTAAATAAGGAGTTAACATTAGAATTTTTTAATGCTGCTTTTGCAGATTATTCTTCCTCCTTTATATTATTACATTTTTGATCTATGTTTTGAAATAGATGTGTAAAATCCTTTAAGTTCATATTTGGCTAAGACTGTAGATACAGACAGATCAACTCCTTAAATGATGTGGAGGAGATTCCATTTCTAGCAGGAGCAGATGAGGTTGGTTTGACCAGCCTTCCCAGAGAGAACAACTAGAAAATTAGACAAAAAAAAAAATGTTTTAAAACATTGGAAATTTATCCATAGTAATAAGAAACTGTGATGCCAAGATCAACAGAGGGAAACTTGCATAGCTGACCTTAACTTTTGCATTTTTCTAGGAGATAATTGTTAATACTGAGGATAGTTGCTGAGAAAATGAGCAGGATATTTGGATTTGTGGGACTGGTTGTGCAAAAATTATAGTTCGCAGACTACCATGGCATATTAAAATAAGAACAATAACATCAACAAACACAGCAGATCCAGGTAAAGGAATGATTAGACACAAAAAACAAATGAGAATTGTGTTCTGGAAATAAAATACGAGATGAATAATTTCATGAGATAATGGAATGACTACAGAGAAAGATCAAATAGGATATCTAGAATTTTAAAAATATAAGTAAAAATTAAAGACAACTAAAGACAAAATTAAACTGGGAAACATGTCAGAAAATAATATCTAAATTGAAGCATTCAGATACAATGGAATGACAAATAATAAAAAAGGCAATAGATATAGAAGTCATTTAGAAAAAAAAAATTTAGTCTCAAAAATCTGCAACCAGAGTCCCAGAAGGAGAATAAACAGATAATGGAGCAGAAGCAATCCTTGAGGACATTAGATATGAATTTTACAAAAAGAAATATAAAAAGCCAGATTCAAAAAGCACTTCAAATCTTAAGCAAGATATAAACAAAAACAGTGAGAATATCATATTAAAACTGCTAAAAAGCAAAGACAAGACAAAAACATTAAAATCAGTCAGAAGAAACGCTGAATTTAGCCTGTTTAGATAACAGACTTAAAAGCTGAGAATGCTACTCTTTTCCAAAGAGAAGAATCACAAAAATATTTTAAGAGTTTGGTGGGAAGATTTTTTTTCTGGGGATTAAGCACATAGTGGACTATGGGTACAAGTCTTAGAAAGTGGCATATATCACTCTGATATGTTACGAGAATCATAGATTACCCCCTGTGGTTTATGATAATATAATAAACAGATTTTACTAGAAAGAACACCTTTGATGAAAAGAAAGAAATCATTAAGATTCATGTTGTTATGTAGAGGACACTTAATTGTATACATTAGTATTTCTTTACATTTTACTCTATATGATGTTTAAATATCTTGCAGTTCATTAGTTTCAGAAAGAACTCTATTGTTAAAGTAAAAGTATAATTAAGTAGTTAAACATATTAAGCTTGTTTGTGGGAAGCTATGGTTATAAAAATTCTGGATGGTGAATCAAAGCAATCATATCCCCTTGTGTCAAGTCATCTGCATAGCAAATATCTTAACTAAAAAAGAAATAGGGTTGAAGAGCTGGTCATGAGAGCCCAAGACTATAATGAGATGAAATATACTTTGGTTTTAAGATGCAGATTAAAAAACAAACAGCTTGTTATTGAAACTCAAAGTTATTTTCTTATAAAAACCAATTTTTAACTAAGGAAGACATTAAAACTTAGCCAACACATATCTCATGCTGTAATGCAATTTCTTTTATTGTGCTCCCATTTTAATACTTTAGTTTCTGTGTGTAATCACCATTTATTCAAATATTTCTTTTCCATTAGTCTACTCTGCAGCAAATGAAGCAATTAGTGATATAGATATCATCAGTTTCTTCATTTTATAAGTAAAAATTTGAGGCTCAGAGTACAAGGCCTAAGGTTATGGGCTCAGAAATTTACACACTCAGGATTGTAGCAGACATTTTCTTGCTATAAATCTTGACATTTTTCACAACAAAGAAGGTTGTTTGTTTGCATATTCAAATCACTATTGAGTACATACTGAATTTTTTAAAAAGTGAGCGTGGGGCCTGACAACATAATTTGAGACAAGCTACTAGAGCTAAGAGACAGCTAGAACTAAGATATAAATATCATAAGAAAATGTGTTTTCAAGTAAACTTTAAAAATAAACATTTAATTCACTACATAAATTCAAGTATATATGGCTGGAAATAGGAAATGATCAAATACAGAGATGTAGGCTAATTTCCTAATAAGTTGTGGGTACTGTGTTAAGATAAAACTGAAGATCAGATTTCTTTGTTTTTTTCCATTAGAACTTTTTCACACTCCAGATATTTTTGACTACTGATTTTTAATTGAACTTTGACTAGTTCAATTAAACTGGCTTAGGATCTCTGAGGTACAGTCAGACTCTAGGCTGGGGCTACAGTTTTCTGGGACTGGAGGATCAACTTTGAGCTTATTCATAAAATTGTTGGCAGAACTTAGCTCTCCTCCACGGCTATCAGAGAGTTCAGTTTCTTATTAATTAAGCCACAACAGCAACGTTGTATGTTGAAGCTGTTTCCCACAAAGCAAGTGACCAGAGCAAGAGGGAACAAACATGAGAACACCTAAGACATTTATAGCCTAATCTGAGAAGTGAGGCGTCTTCAAGTCGGCAATATGCTATACTAGTATAACATGGAAAGGGACAGGGTAAAAGTTCCAGGAGGCAGGAATCATTATAGATTGATTACCAAGCAGGACAAAGTCAAATCCTTTAAATGAGCTCTTAGGATCTATTAATATCTTCTTTTACATTTCACTTCTATATTCAACACATTCCCTAAATTTTAGCAGTACATAATTTTTCTGGAATATCTTAATTCAAATTCAAGACATATTTTATCTATAAAATGTATTTATATATAGTCAATAGAAAAGAGCTTGTTTTAAATATAATACAATTATGAAACCCCAAAAATACAAAGTTTGCTTAATAGCATAAAATTCCCACACTGTATTTGGTTTTTCTGACTTGTTTCTCCAGTCCATAAAACTCCACATTATACATTATCTGCCTTTGCCATCATCTCTGATTTCCACCTATTAAAATGGAAAAACTGTTTCTCTTCCTAGGAAGGGCCAATCTGTTTATTAGTGCTCTGTATTTTATCTGAATTTTATCTTCCCAGATCCTTCATCTATCTCTTGCAATGATTAATTTTATGTATCAACTTGACTGGGCCACTGATGCCTAGATATTTGGTTAAATATGAGTCTGGGTGTTTGTGAGGTTTTTGCTGGATGAAATTAACGTTGGAATCAGTAGACTGAATAAACCAGATTGCCCTCTGTACTGTGGGTGGGCCTTTTCCAATCAGTTGAAGACCTGAATAGAACAAAAAGGCAGAATAAGAGGGAACTCCTGCTGCCTGACTGCTTTAGCTGGACTTTGGTCTTCTCCAGGCTTCAAATTCTAACTGAAACATTGGCTCTTCTTGGATATCGAGGCTGCTGGTTTTCAGCCTGGAACTTAAGCTGTCAAGTCTCCTAGATCGTATGCATTTGACTTAGGACTGAAACACACATCAGTTTTTCTAGGTCTACAGCTTGCCATCTGCAGATCTTGGGACTTCTCAGCTTCCCTAATGTGAGTCAATTCCTTGCTGTGTTGGTTCTGTTTCTCTGGGAAACTCTGACTAAGACATCTTTTTTTTTTTTTTTTTTTTTTGCATCATCACATTCTTCTCTACTAAACCATTTCCACTGGCAAATAAACAAGCTCTAACATCTCTGCCTTTAACCTTAGTTTCTCCTTCTGCTTACTGCTCCACTTGTTCTTACTCCTTAGGTCTACTACTTTGCCTTTTTTTTCTTTCTAGTAGTGTAATGTGAAGGAAATGGGGTAGAAGGAAGGGAGATAGAGATGGTACAGGAATTCAAAGCTTTAGGTGAGAAGTCCAGGTGATGACTAAGCATATCACCTATTCTTAATAAAATTTGAAAAATACAGAAAATGTTCCTTTTGCCATTTATTTGTCTTGTAATTTTACTAAATTGACCTAAGGCAAACATTTATTTCCCTACCTTAAGTCTATAGATTTTTTTTCCTTTTCTTCGAGAAAAGGATACTTAGTATTTCCTGATCTTTTTCCTTTTTTTCTATATTTAAGAAAATATCCTCTGGACAAATAGAAAAGTTTTTAAACACCAATATTTTCTAAGTTTGATTTTAAAACTGCTCATCATAGGACCTTGATGTAGCATGCCAGCATGACCACAAAATATATGTCAGCTCATGCACTAAGATGCCAGTGTCATAGGCAAGAGCAGAGAACATGTAAACACACTGACATTTGGATTCAAACAAGGTTGAAAATGTTATTTCCAGTTGACGTATTTTGCCTTAATACAAAGATATCATTGAAAGTCATGTTCAGAGGATGACACTGTTCAATGTAGCAGACCCCATGGGTTTATGGCAGCTGTTTGACAAGTATTCAACTGTCTCTCTAAGCGGAAGTTATGTCTACTTTGTCTTTTGGAGAATGGTGTTGAAATGGCACCCATGTGTTGGGTAGCTGATGATGCTCTTTTTGACTGTGAATATTACCTTTTACCTCTCACTTTTTTTCAAGAGTAAGGTTTTATAGAAGTGGTGGCAAGATGCCAGCAAATGAAAGATATAATGACTATAAGCAACTTAATAGCTTGACTTAAACTTGAGTTTCACTTCTATTGGTAAATGGATGTTAGGGAAAGAACTGGTTCATATCCTGATACTTCTTCAGTATTATCTTTATTGAGTTATCTTGCTATTCTGGTCTGTTTTATTAACAAAATGAAACAGTACTTACCTCCTCTTACTGTGAGGAATATAGACTATAATATGTAGTATATAGAATATGTATAAGTACATAGCCTAGTATAATCTCATATTTTAGTATAAAGCTCAGTAAAATCTAATCAATATAGTTATAATAAAATTTTAAATATTCTTATGTGTTTAATCTTTGCTCAGTAAATAATTTTAATTTCTTTAATTTGGCAAAATACACATAAGATTTACCATCTTAATCAATTTGAAGTGTACAGGTCAATAGTGTTAAATACATTCATATTTTTGTGCATCATCTCCATTAATCTGCAGAACTGACTTCATCTTGCAAAAGCTGAACCCTCTATACCCATTGAACATTAACTCCTCATGCCCTCTGATATAGCTTGAATATATGCCCCTGCCAAATCTCACGTTGAATTGCAATCCCCATTGTTGGAGATGTGGCCTGGTGGGAGGTCATGGGTCACGGGGGTGGATCCCTCATTTCTTGATGCTGTCCTCACGACAGTGAGTGAGTTATCAGGAAACCTGGTTTTTTAAAAGTATGTAGCAGCTCCCCCAACTTCTTACCATGTAAGACACTGGATTCCCCCATTGTCTTCTGCCATTATTATTTTTCTTTTCTTTTGTTTCTTTTTTTTTTTTTTTTTAAATGGAGTTTCCAGGCTGGAGTGCAATGGCAAAGTCTCGGCTCACTGAAACCTCTGCCTCCTGGGTTCTGGTGATTTTCCTGCCTCAGCCTCCCAAGTAGTTGGGATTATAGACATGCACCACCATGCCTGGCTAATTTTTTTTTGTATTTAGTAGAGATGGAGTTTCACAATGTTGGTCAGGCTGGTCTCGAACTCCTGAGCTCAGGTGATCCACCAGCTTCGGCCCCCCAAAGTACTGGGATTACAGGGGTGAGCCACTGCACAGGGTCCCGTCTGCCATTATTCAAAGCTTCACGAGGCCTTGGCAGATGCCAGCACCAGGCTTCTCTGTACAGCAGAACCATGAGCCTTTTTCCTTTATGAATTACCCAATATCTGGTATTTCTTAATAGCGATGTAAGAATGGCCTGATACACCCTCCTTACCCAAACTCCTGCCAATCAGTATACTTTATGTCTCTATAAAGCTGATACTCTTGGTACCTTGTATAAGTGGAATTACACAGTTTGTCTTTTAGCTAGATGAAGAAAAATGTCCTTAAAGCTTGTTCATGTTATAGCATGTGTCAAAATTATTTCCTTCCTCTTTAAGGCTGAATAATATTTCACAGTACGTCTATACCACAATTTGATTATCCAGTCATCATCTGTTGATGAACATTTGGGTTGTTTCTACCTTTTGGTTATTGTGAATAATGACTATTTCAGTGAGGATTGAAACAATGGCTCCTCACCTGTGTCTGTATCTCTTCAATCAGAAGAAGCAATTAGTAATCAGAGCACAGACACCTGATGTTTGGAGGTTAGGATCCTTATTGTTCACCCTGGCTCCCACAAACCATGTACAAGCTGCTCCAGGAAGAGGCACACAGCTTCCTACCATGGCTAGGATTGGGGATGAGTAGCCACTACCCAATCAATCAAAAGCTGAAACTCACCAAAATAAACAACTTACTATGCAAGCCATCCCTTGGAAGTAACAAGACTTGCACTTTGTATTTTCTTCATATTTATTCAATTCAGAACTTCAGAATAGTCACATCAAACAGATTCTGCCAGTACAGTTGTTGTCTAGGTGGGGAAACACATTTCTGGGGCTTTCCACTCTGCTATCTTCCCAGAGTCATTTTCTCAGTAAATATTTTGGGGAAAAATAAATTTAACAAAAATAAGCAACTTGGATTTTTTTTTTCTTCACATTTATTTAATTAATTCATTCTTGGATTGAAGGTGTGCCATTTGATAGGCCAACAGGACTCTGAGGCAAATAAGTAATATAGCCTCTAGTTTCCAGAAGTTTTAAGTCTAATAAGAAAGAAAGATAAGCAAACAACTGCAATACCGTGTGAATAGAACTTTAATTGAATACTGCAAAGGTTCAGGCGACATGCCTTCCTCTTGGTGTGAGGGGGTAGATGTTAGGAGAGAGCAGAGAATATTTCATTTAATGCACCATCTCCTACATATGAGTAATTGGTAAAACAAGGATACCCCTTCTGCTGCCTTTCCACTTGGGCTGCCTCACCACCTCCAAGATCCTGTAAAGGAAGCAAACATGTATTAAATGTGGGAAACTTGGGTAAACCATTAGTTTTTACTCACAACATCCTGTTTAATCTCTTTACCTGTCTTTTTTAACAGTCCACTAACTTAAGATATATCTTTTCTGTTTAATTCCAGTCTTCCTTTCTCATGCTCATGAATTTATTCATCAATTTATTAATTATATAAACATTTATTGAGCACCTACTGTGCTCCAAGCACAACGCTAGGCATTTTGCTACTATTTGGCAATAGAACAGCAATAAAGACAACTTGCAAATATTATCTGTACCATGCAACTTGTAGTCTAGTGAGAAATGTAGACATTAAGTAAATCCAAGATGAATGCCATGTTTTACTTTGTCTCTGACACAAATCATGCACATGGCAAATTAAATGTTTTTATAGGTTTTGTGTTCTAATGGACTCAAAAAATAGGGTAAGTATGATTCTCTTTAAAAATTCCATTGAATGCAGCTAATTTTGTACCATCAGCCCATAAATACATTATGATTTTTATCCAATTTCTACATCTTGCCTGAGGTGGCACCTTGTCAATTGAGATGGGCCTTTGCAGCTCAGTTTGCTGTATTCTATATTCTTCCACAAAGGATGGACATGTAATCAGCTCCAAGCCTCAGTGTCTCCTATTCTTGTTATCCTGGATCAAATCTCCTTTTATACAAGGCTCAGGAATCAGGCCTTCACTGGAGGCAGCTTTGGAGAGCTTCTGACATCTCTGTTTCACAATGTTCCACATATGCTTAGTTTTTGTCCACTCACCAGGGACAGAAACAGAATATGGTGTGACATCATGAATGGCATTATTTAGCAATGAGTGAGGAGGACACCCCTAGAGAAGAATGTAATTTTAAACTGGAAAAAAATGATTAAGATCCATGGGTGTGAAAAGAGCAGCAGCAGATGTTGTAAAACACTGGTAAGAAAGAAAGAAAGGTGACAGCTGAGAGTGATTTCATTTTCCTCCAAAGTCTTGCATCCTTACTCAATCATGCCAGATGGAGAAGCAATCTCTATGACATAAGGTCCTGTTGGTCTCACTGCCCTTATCACAAGAGAACTAGTTTAAAATCTTTCCCAAAAAGCATAATGATAAAAGTAAATGCACTGTTTCATTTATTAATCAAAATTCGATTTATCTCACTCATTTGAGACAGCAAGCTGTGGTGGAAAATAACAGACTTTGGATTACAAAGACATGCTTTTGAATCCTAATTATTTTAATTGCTACCTGAATGACCTTGATGGAATTTTTCTTTCTGAGACTTGGTATTCTCACTTACAAAAGATTAAGAGCTCACATTTATTGAGGCCTTACCTTGAGCTGGACATTATGCTGATCAAATTGTTTAATTGTCCCATTTAATCCTTCTAAAAAAAATGTTTGTTCTATGTACTCTTTGCTGGTTTCTATAAGAGAAAATAGAATAGAAGATAATTTAAGGAGTTTAATTAACTTGGAAAAGTCAGCAACCAAACGTAAAAGTTAGGGGATTGAGTGACCAGGAAGATGTGCCTGAGTTCAAATCCCAGATTCATCATATAAGACTGGGCATCTTTTTAAACCTCCTTGTGCCACAATTTCTTCATAGATAAATGCAGGTATTGAAAATAGCTGCATCATATAATGTCTATGGAAGTAGATGCAATAGTATAAGTGTTTTTAGTTTCATTCCTAGAACATAACCGTTCAATATGTTAATAGTTCTAATACTTTATTGTTACTATTTTTATGTTGAGTCAATCAGTGTCTAAGAAATATCTAAATTTAAATCTAGGTCTATTGACCTTCAAAGCCCACACCATACTCACCTACACTGGTGAGTGTTCTTGCTGAGGGTTAAGTGCTAGAGTAATTAGTGGAAATTTTGGCAGTTATTAGGTGCTAAATACTTTGTGATTCCTCCTAGACCCTCTTTATTGTCCCTTCTAGCTGACAAGAGAATAAAATCTTGGTTTTGATGAGGGATGCACATCTCTTAAGTTTTTCAATAAATTTCTCCAATTTCCATTGTATTCTTCAGGTGTCTGTGTTTTGTTTTGTTTTCCAAACCATTTCCTGGACTTTTTATCCTTATTCTACGTTGTAAATATTGATGATATTCGGGTTTACATACGTGGTAAAATTCTCTTCTCTTTTTTGCTTTCTCATACCAATTATATGTTAATTGCTCTGTCAAATACACAATAAATATGAACTGAGTAAGATACTTTGTTCAGAAGGATTATTGAAAACGGTTGGGGGAAGGGACTATTGTCATAGAAAAATGAGGGCTATTGCAGTAGGGAGAACATTAAAACCAGAAAATATGAGTTTATCAAAAGTTAGGGAAAAGGGTTTTTTGTTGTTGTTTTTTAATGGGAAAGAGTAAACAAAGATCGAAAGAACCAGATGTGGAAGTGAGATGAATAACAGTGTCATGATTCAGCAGATTAGGGAATGTTTTCCTGAGGCCAGCCTATTGGAAGTGACTGTTAAAGATGGGTTGTATGCTGTCATAGACTAAGTTTACTCAAAGATAAAGGACTTGGAGGAAACAATCTTAAGCAAAGGTTGGTTAATAAACATTTTGTTTAGATTGATCAGTGGGGACAAAGAATTTACTAATTCCTTATCTGGCAAAGGATGGGAATTTGGAACAACCTTGTCTGATCTTGTCATATAAGGAAGCATGTTTGAGTCTCATCCAAGTCACTTAGGAAGGATGGTTCTTGTCAGTAAGCCATTTCCAAAAACATAAAAGGTGAAAAGATTTTTTGACCTTCTGTTTTTCAGGATCACAGGGCTTGGGTCAATTTCAACAATGTCTAATTCAAAACATGATTTCCATATATGCCTAAGTATGTCAGAAAGACATGTTAAAAACTTAAGACAAATTTAACAGAGTTTAAGTGAGTAAAGAATGATTCACAAATCAGACAGCCTCCACAACCACGATAGATGCAGAGCAACTCCGGGGCTGCTACATGGTCAGATAACATTTATGGACAGAAAAAGGAGAGTGATGTATGATGTAGAGAAAATGGAAATGGGGTACAAAAGCAGCCAAATTGGTTACAGCTCAGTGGCTGCCTTTTTGAACATGTTTGAACAGTTGGCTGCCTGTGATTTGACCACTCTGTGATTAGTGCAAGGGTAGGTTATAGTCGGTTTACACATCCAGTTGTTACAGTTCATTATGTATGGAGAACTGTTGGTGGAACTTAAAATATGTAAGAGGGCAGCTTTAGGCTAAACTTTATTTAATAGACATCACAACCCTGGAATGACATAAAGAGTTCTATTCAACATTTCCAAAATTAAAATCACCTTTCTTGCTAAAATTTATATTAGTTTTGGATTTTTTTCTTTTCTTAGTGGCACCTAGTTATCTAAGATAGAAATGTGAAAATGAAAAGGAAAAAGGAGAATGGCTTTAGTTAATCCAACCCCTCCTGGGTGTCTCACACAGTCAGTCCTCCATAACTACAGGTTCTGTATCCATGGGTTCTGCATTCACAAATTCAACTGCAGATTTAAAGTGTCCATGGGCAAACAAACATAAATCCAATATAACTAAAAATAATACAAATAAAATATAATAGAGTATAACTACTTACATAGCATTTACATGATATTAGGTATTATAAACACAGTAATCTAGAAATGATTTCAACTATACAGGAGGATATACATGGTTCATATGCAAACACTATATAAACCTACATAAGGGAATTGAGTGTTTGTAGATTTGGAAACAAATCTACTAAAGTCACTAAACCTACAGAGCATAAGCAATATCTTCACTTCTAGAAGCATACAGAGCATAAGCAATATCTTTGCTTCTAGAATATAGAAAAAGGCTCCTTTTTCTATATTCTATAAATGAAATCATACAGTAGGTACTGCTTTGTTTCTTTGGCTCAACATTATGTTTGTAAAATTGCGTGCAGTAGTAAATTGCTCATTTTCATTGCTGTGTAGTATTCAACTGTGGATAGACCAAATTATTAACCCTTTCTAATATTATAGGCACTTAAGTAGCTTCCAGACTTTGGCTTTATCAATAGTGTTGATTTGGATATCAGGAACATGTGTTTTTTTTGTTTTCTTTTTCTTTTTTTTTTTATTACACTTTAAATTTGAGGATACATGTGTACAACATGCAGGTTAGTTACATATGTATACATGTGCCATGTTGGTGTGCTGCACCCATCAACTCGTCATTTAACATTAGGTATATCGCCTAATGGTATCCCTCCCCCCTCCCCCACCCCCACAACAGGCCCCGGTGTGTGATGTTTCCCTTCCTGTGTCCATGTGTTCTCATTGTTCAATACCCACCTGTGAGTGAGAACATGTGGTATTTGGTTTTTTTGTCCTTGAGATAGTTTGCTGAGAATGATGGTTTCTAGCTTCATCCATATCCCTACAAAGAACATGAACTCATCATTTTTTATGGCTGCATGGTATTCCATGGTGCATATGTGCCACATTTTCTTAATTCAGTCTATCATTGTTGGACATTTGGGTTGGTTCCAAGTCTTTGCTATTGTGAATAGTGCCGCAATAAACATACATGTGCATGTGTCTTTATAGCAGCATGATTTATAATCCTTTGGGTATATACCCAGTAATGGGATTGCCGGGTCAAGTGGTATTTCTAGTTCAAGATCCCTGAGGAATCACCACACTGACTTCCACAATGGTTGAACTAGTTTACAGTCCCACCAACGGTGTAAAAGTGTTCCTATTTCTTCACATCCTCTTCAGCTCCTGACTTTTTAATGATCACCATTCTAACTGGTGTGAGATGGTATCTCATTGTGGTTTGATTTGCATTTCTCTGATGGCCAGTGATGATGAGCATTTTTTCATGTGTCTGCTGGCTGCATAAATGTCTTCTTTTGAGAAATGTCTGTTCATATCCTTCACCCACTTTTTGATGGGGCTGTTTGTTTTTCTCTTGTAGATTTGTTTGAGTTCATTGTAGATTCTGGATATTAGACCTTTGTCAGATGAGTAGATTGCAAAAATTTTCTCCCATTCTGTAGGTTGCCTGTTCACTCTGATGGTAGTTTCTTTTGCTGTGCAGAAGCTCTTTAGTTTAATTATATCCCATTTGTCAATTTTGGCTTTTGTTGCCATTGCTTTTGGTGTTTTAGACATGAAGTCCTTGCCCATGCCTATGTCCTGAATGGTATTGCGTAGGTTTTCTTCTAGGGTTTTTATGGTTTTAGGTATAACATGTAAGTCTTTAATCCATCTTGAATTAATTTTTGTATAAGGTGTAAGGAAGGGATCCAGTTTCAGCTTTCTACATATGACTAGCAAGTTTTACCAGCACCATTTATTAAATAGGGACTCCTTTCCCCATTTCTTGTTTTTGTCAAGTTTGTCTAAGATCAGATGGTTGTAGATATGCGGCATTATTTCTGAGGGCTCTGTTCTCTTCCATTGGTCTATATCTCTGTTTTGGTACCAGTACCATGCTGTTTTGGTTACTGTAGCCTTGTAGTATAGTTTGAAGTCAGGTAGCATGATGCCTCCAGCTTTGTTCTTTTGGCTTAGGATTGACTTGGTAATGCAGGCTCTTTTTTGATTCCATATGAACTTTAAAGGAGTTTTTTCCAATTCTGTGAAGAAAGTCATTGGTAGCTTGATGGGGATGGCATTGAATCTATAAATTACCTTGGGAAGTATGGCCATTTTCACGATATTGATTCTTCCTACCCATGAGCATGGAATGTTCTTCCATTTGTTTGCATCCTCTTTTATTTCTTTGAGCAGTGGTTTGTAGTTACACTTGAAGAGGACCTTCAAGTCCCTTGTAAGTTGGATTCCTAGGTATTTTATTCTCTTTGAAGCAATTGTGAATGGGAGTTCACTCATGATTTGGCTCTCTGTTTGTCTGTTATTGGTGTATAAGAATGCTTGTGATTTTTGTACATTGATTTTGTATCCTGAGACTTTGCTGAGGTTGCCTATCAATCAGCTTAAGGAGATTTTGGGCTGAGACAATGGGGTTTTCTAGATATACAGTCACGTCATCTGCAAACAGGGACAATTTGACTTCCTCTTTTCCTAACTGAATACCTTTTATTTCCTTCTCTCACCTGATTGCCCTGGCCAGAACTTCCAACACTATGTTGAATAGGAGTGGTGAGAGAGGGCATCCCTGCCTTGTGCCAGTTTTCAAAGAGAATGCTTCCAGATTTTGCCCATTCAGTATGATATTGGCTGTGGGTTTGTCATAGATAGCTCTTATTATTTTGAGATACATCCCATCAATACTTAATTTATTGAGAGTTTTTAGCATGAAGCGTTGTTGAATTTTGTCAAAGGCTTTTTCTGCATCTATTGAGATAATCATATGGTTTTTGTCATTGGTTCTGTTTATATGCTGGATTATGTTTATTGATTTGCATATGTTGAACCAGCCTTGCATCCCAGGGATGAAGCCCACTTAATTATGGTGGATAAGCTTCTTGATGTGCTGCTGGATTCAGTTTGCCAGTATTTTATTGAGGATTTTTACATCGATGTTCATCAGGGATATTGGTCTAAAATTCTCTTTTTTTGTTGTGTCCCTGCCTGGCTTTGGTATCAGGATGATGCTGGCCTCATCAAATGAGTCAGGGAGGATTCCCTCTCTTTCTATTGATTGGAATAGTTTCAGAAGGAATGGTACCAGCTCCTCCTTGGGCCTCTGGTAGAGTTCGGCTGTGAATCCATCTGGTCCTGGACTTTTTTTGGTTGGTAAGCTTTTAATTATTGCCTCAGTTTCAGAGCCTGTTATTGGTCTATTCAGAGATTCAACTTCTTCCTGGTTTAGTCTTGGGAGGGTGTATGTGTTGAGGAATTTATCCATTTCTTCTAGATTTTCTAGTTTATTTGTGTAGAGGTCTTTATAGTATTCTCTGATGGTAGTTTGTATTTCTGTGGGATCAGTGGTGATATCCCCTTTATCATTTTTTATTGTGTCTATTTGATTCTTCTTTTATTCTTTATTAGTCTTGCTAGCAGTCTATCAATTTTGTTGATCTTTTCAAAAAACCAGCTACTGGATTCATTGATTTTTTGAAGGGTCTTTTGTGTCTCTATTTCCTTCAGTTCTGCTCTGATCTTAGCTATTTCTTGCCTTCTGCTAGCTTTTGAATGTGTTTGCTCTTGCTTCTCAGTTCTTTTAATTGTGATGTTACAGTGTCAATTTTAGATCTTTCCTGCTTTCTCTTATGGGCATTTAGTGCTAAAAATTTCCCTCTACACATTGCCTTAAATGTGTCCCAGAGATTCTGGTATGTTGTGTCTTTGTTCTCATTGGTTTCAAAGAACATCTTTATTTCTGCCTTCATTTCGTTATGTACCCAGTAGTCATTCAGGAGCAGGTTGTTTAGTTTCCATGTAGTTGAGCAGTTTTGAGTGAGTTTCTTAATCCTGAGTTCTAGTTTGATTGCACTGTGGTCTGAGAGACAGTTTGTTATAATTTCTGTTCTTTTACATTTGCTGAGGAGTGCTTTACTTCCAACTATGTGGTGAATTTTCGAATAAGTGTGGTGGGTGCTGAGAACAATGTATATTCTGTTGATTTGTGGTGGAGAGTTCTGTAGACGTCTATTAGGTCCGCTTGGTGCAGAGCTGAGTTCAATTCCTGGGTGTCCTAACTTTCTGTCTTATTGATCTGTGTAATGTTGACAGTGGGGTGTTAAAGTCTCCCATTATTATTGTGTGGGAGTCTAAGTCTCCTTGTAGGTCTCTAAGGACTTGCTTTATGAATCTGAGTGCTCCTGTATTAGGTGCGTATATATTTAGGATAGTTAGCTCTTCTTGTTGAATTGATCCCTTTACCATTATGTAATGGCCTTCTTTGTCTCTTTTGATCTTTGTTGGTTTAAAGTCTGTTTTATCGGAGACTAGGATTGCAACCCCTGCCTTCTTTTGTTTTCCATTTGCTTGGTAGATCTTCCTCCATCCCTTTATTTTGAGCCTATGTGTGTCTCTGTACATGAGATGGGTTCCATGAATACAGCACACTGATGGGTCTTGACTCTTTATCGAATTTACCAGTCTGTGTCTTTTAATTGGAGCATTTAGCCCATTTACATTTAAGGTTAATATTGTTATGTGTGAATTTGATCCTGTCATTATGATGTTAGCTGGTTATTTTGCTCATTAGTTGATGCAGTTTCTTCCTAGCCTTGATGGTCTTTACAATTCGGCATGTTTTTGCAGTGGCTGGTACCGGTTGTTCCTTTCCATGTTTAGTGCTTCCTTCAGGACCTCTTTTAGGGCAGGCCTGATGGTGACAAAATCTCTCAGCATTTGCTTGTCTGTAAAGGATTTTATTTCTCCTTCACTTATGAAGCTTAGTTTGGCTGGATATGAAATTCTGGGTTGAAAATTCTTTTCTTTAAGAATGTTGAATATTGGCCCCCGCTCTCTTCTGGCTTGTAGAGTTTCTGCCGAGAGATCAGCTGTTAGTCTGATGGGCTTCCCCTTGTGGGTAACCCAGCCTTTCTCTCTGGCTGCCCTTAACATTTTTTCCTTCATTTCAACTTTGGTGAATCTGACAATTATGTGTCTTGGAGTTGCTCTTCTTGAGGAGTATCTCTGTGGCATTCTCTGTATTTCCTGAATTTGAATATTGGCCTGCCTTGCTAGATTGGGGAAGTTCTCCTGGATAATATCCTGCAGAGTGTTTTCCAACTTGGTTCCAGTCTCCCTATCACTTTCAGGTACACCAATCAGACGTAGATTTGGTCTTTTCATATAGTCCCATATCTCTTGGAGGCTTTGTTTGTTTCTTTTTATTCTTTTCTCTCTAAACTTCTCTTCTCGCTTCATTTCATCTTCCATCACTGATACCCTTTCTTCCAGTTGATCGAATCGGCTACTGAGGCTTGTGCATTTGTCACGTAGTTCTCATGCCTTGGTTTTCAGCTCCATCAGGTCCTTTAAGGACTTCCCTGCATTGGTTATTCTAGTTAGCCATTCGTCTAATTTTTTTTCAAGGTTTTTAACTTCTTTGCCGTAGGTTCGAACTTCCTCCTTTAGCTTGGAGTAGTTTGATCGTCTGAAGCCTTCTTCTCTCAACTTGTCAAAGTCATTCTCCGTCCAGCTTTGTTCCGTTGCTGGTGAGGAGCTGGGTTCCTTTGGAGGAGGAGAGGCCCTCTGATTTTTAGAGTTTCCAGTTTTTCTGCTGTTTTTTCCCCATCTTTGTGGTTTTATCTACCTTTGGTCTTTGATGATGGTGACGTACAGATGGGGTTTTGGTGTGGATGTCCTTTCTGTTTGTTAGTTTTCCTTCTAACAGTCAGGACCCTCAGCTGCAGGTCTGTTTGAGTTTGCTGAAGGTCCGCTCCAGTCCCCATGTTTGCCTGGGTATCAGCAAATATTGTACTTATATATAACTAATTGGGTGGGTAATTTACATTTATTTGCCTTGCAAGTTTGAGCCTTTTCTTATCTGTATTGTCCTTCTGTATTTCAATGTCGTGACTTGATCCACATTCTCATGTAAATGTGCATTATATAGGGGGTTACATATGTAATTTCCTGTAAAGCCAAATTTTAAATCCTAATTCAAGACTGTTGCTCTAGCTAGGACTTCCAGTACTTTGTTGAATAGGAGTAGTGAAAGTGAACATCCTTGTCTTGTCCCAGTTCTTAAGGGAAATGCTTACAACTTGTTCTCATTCAGTACGATGTTGGCTGTGAGTGTGTTATATATGGTTTTCATTACTTTGAGGTATGTTCCCTCTATGAGTAATTTGTTAAGGGCGTTTATAAAGGGATGCTGAATTTTGTCAAATGTTTTTTCTGCATCTATTGAAATGATCTGTGGTTTTTAAAAAATTCTATTTATATTGTGCATCACATTTATTGATTTGTGTATGTTGAAACCTTCTTGCATCCATGGAATAAAACTCATTTAATTGTGGCATATTCTTTTTGATGTGCTGTTAGATTTTGTTGCCTAGTATTCTGTTGAGGATATTAACCTATAGTTTGCTTTTTGTTATTGCTTTCTTGCCTCATTAGAGTAATATCAGCTTCATAGAAGAGTTTGGGATGAATCTCTCCTCAATATTTTTGAACAGCTTCAGTAGGATTGGTATCAGTTTGTCTTTGTATACCTGTTAAAATGCAGCTATGAATCTGCCTGATCCTGGGCTGTTTTTCTGGGCGTGGAGGGGGAAGTTTTTTATTGCTGATTCAGGTTTATGACTAATTATTGGTTTGTTCATGACTTCTCTTTCTTCCTGGTTTTATGTTGGAAGGTTGTATGTTTCCAGGAATTTATCCATTTCCTCTAGATTTCCTAGTTTTTGTCCATAGAGAAGCACATAGAAATATCTGATCTTTGTGTTACTGTGGTATCAGTTGTAACGTCACCATTATCATTTCTGAATGTGCTTATTTGAATTTTCTGTTGACCTTTTCATATTGTGTTCTGAGAATTCTTTATACATTCTGGACACAAGTTCTTCAATATTTGATGTGCAAGTACTTTCTCAAGTCTGTGTCTCTTTTCATTTTCTTGAGTGTTTTTTGCAGAATAAAGTTTATGTAATTTAATTAATTTATTTATTTTGAAATGGAGTCTCACTCTCTCACCCAGGCTGGAGTGCAGTGGTGTGATCTCGGCTCACTGCAACCTCTGCCTCCTAGGTTCAAGCGATTCTCCTGCCTCAGCCCCCTGAGTAGCTGGGATTACAGGCACCCACCACCACACCCACCTAATTTTTGTATTTTTTGTAGAGATAGGGCTTCACCGTGTTGGACAGGCTGGTTTCGAACTCCTGACCTCGTGATCCACCCACCCTGGCCTCCCAAAGTGCTGGGATTACAGGCGTGAGCCATAGCACCCGGCTTTTTTATTTATTTATTTATTTATTTTAAGGAGGAAATTGAGGCAGTAATAAATAGCCCACCAATTTAAAAAAGCCCAGGACCAGATGGGCTTTTTTTGGTTGACAGGCTATTATTCTTCTTTGCACCTCTGGTAGAGGTGCAAAGAAGAGCTGGCACTATTTCTACTGAAACTATTCCAAAAATTTAAAAGGAGGGACTCCTCCGTAACTCATTTTATGAGGCCAGCATTATCCTGACATCAAAACCTGGCAGATATACAATACCAAATATGAAAACTTCAGGCTATTATCCCTGATGAACATCAATGCAAAAATCTTCAATAAAATACTGGCAACCTGAATCCAGCAGCACATCAAAAAGCTTATTCACCACAATGAAGTTGGATTTATTGCCAAAATGCAAGAAGGTTCAACATATACAGATCAATAAATGTAATTCATCATATAAACAGAGAACTAAAGACAAAAACACATGATTATCGCAATACATGCAGAAAAGGCCTTCAAAAAAACCAACATCTCTTCATGTTAAAAGCTCTCAATAAACTAGATATTGAAGGAATGTACTTGAAAATAATAATAGGCGTATATGACAAACCCATAGCCAACATCATACTAAATGGGCAAAAGCTGGAAGTATTCCCCTTGAAAACCAGCACAAGATAAAGATGCCCTCTCTCACCACTCCTATTCAACACAGTATTGGAAGTTCCGGTCAGGACAATTAGGCAAGAGAAAGAAATAAAAACTATTCAAATAGGAAGAGAACAAGTCAAATTATCTCTGTTTGCAGATGGCATGACTCTATATCTAGAAAACCTAATTGTCTCAGCCTAAAGACTTCTTAAGCTGATAAGCAACTTCAGCAAAGTCTCAGGATACAAAATCAATGTACAAAATTTTCTAGCATTTATATACACAAAAAACAGGCAAGCAGAGATTGAAATCATGAATGAACTCCAATTCACAATTGCTACAAAAAGAATAAAATACTAGGAATACAGCTAAAAAGGGAAGTGAAGGACCTCTTCAAAAAGAACTACAAACCACTGCTCAAGAAAATCAGAGAGAACACAAGTAGAAAAACATTTCATGCTCATGGATAGGAAGAAATAATATCTTGAAAATGGCCATACTGCCCAAAGCAATTTATAGACTCAATGGTATTCCCATTAAACTACCTTTAACATTCTTCACAGAATTAGAATAAACTATTTTAAAATTCATGTGGAACTATAAAAGAGCCTGTATAGCCAAAACAATCCTAAGCAAAAAGAATAAAGCTAGAGACATCATGCTACCTGACTTCAAACTATACTACAAGGCTATAGTAACCAAAATAGCATGATACTGGTACAAAAACAAACACATAGACTAATGGAACAGAATAGAGAACTCAGAAATAAGACGGAACACCTACATCCATCTGATCTTCGACAAACCTGACAAACGCAATGGGGAAAGGGCTCCCTATTCAATAAATGGTGCTGGGAGAACTGGCTAGCCACATGCAAATGATTGAAACTGGATTCCTTCCTTACATCTTATACAAAAATTAACTCAAGATGGATTAAGAATTTAACTGCAGAACCTAAAACTGTAAAAACCGTAGAAGAAAATCTAGGCAATACCATTCAAGACACAGGCACGAGCAAAGATTTCATGATGAAAATGCCAAAAACAATTGCAACAAAAGCCAAAATTGACAAATGGGATCTGGTTAAGCCAAAGAGCTTCTGTACAGCAAAAGAAACTATAATCAGAGTGAACAGACAACCTACAGAATGGGAGAAAAGTTTTGAAATCTTTTCATCTGACAAAGGTCTAATACCTGAGTCTGTAAGAAACTTAAACAAATTTAACAAGAAAAAGCTAAACCCCATTAAAAAGAGGACAAAGGACATGAACAGACACTTCTCCAAAGAAGACATTCGTGTGGCCAACAAACATATGAAAAAAAGCTCAACATCATTGATCATTAGAGAAATGCAAATCAAAATCACAATGAGATACTATCTCAGGCCAGTCATCATGGCAATTATTAAAAAGTCCAGAAACAACAGATGCTGGCAACGTTGCAGATAAAAGAAAATGCTTTTACACTGTTGGTGGGAGTGTAAATTAGTTCAATCATTGTGGAAGACATTGTGGAAATTCCTCAAAGATCAAAGATCCTCAAAAATGGCAGAAATACCATTTGACCCAGTCATCTCATTTCTGGCTATATATCCAAAGAAATATAGATGATACTATTATAAAAACACATCCACACGTATATTCATTGCAGTGCTATTCACAACATGAAGACATCAAATCAACCCGAATGCCCTTCAGTAATAGACTGGATAAAGAAAATGTGGGACCTATATGCCATGGAGTACTATGCAGCCATAAAAAGAATGAGATCATGTCCTGTGCAGAGACATGGATGGAGTTGGAAGCCATTATCCTCAGCAAACTAACCCAGGAACAGAAAACCAAATACCGCATGCTTCTACTTATAAGTGGGAGCTGAATGATGAGAACTCATGGACACATTGGGGGGATCAACACACACTGGGGCATGTCAGAGTGAGGGGGCTGGGAGGGAGAGCATCAGGAAGAATAGCTAATGGATGCTGGAGTTAATACCCAGGTGATGGGTTGATCTGTGCAGCAAACCACCATGACACATGTTTACCTATGTAACAAACCTGCACATCCTGCACATGTACCCCAGAACTTAAAAGTTGAAGAAAAAAAATAGTGTATGTGACCTAGTCCTTGGTAATGAATTGTTAAGACATGACACCAAAAGCAATCAATCAAAGGTAAATTTTATTTCTTTTTAGAGCCAACTTTTTATTTAATTGATACCTTGTATTGCTTGTTGGTTTCAATATTATTTAGTTCCACTTCAGTCTTTCTTTTTTCTCCCAGGTTTGTGTTCGGTTTGTTCTTGAGGAATAGGTATACTTTATAGTTCGAACTGCAAAGTAAACTCATTATGTGATAATACATTTATTGAAATATCTTAAAGCCTTTTACATTATTTTTCTTAATTTTTCAAGTTTTATGTTTAATTGACAAAAGTTGCACATATTTGTGAAGTACAATGTGATGTTTCTATAAATGTATATATTGTGGATTAACATATCCCTCATCTCAAATAGTTTTGTGGTGAGAACATTTAAAATTCATTCCTTTAATTGTTTTAAAATATACAATATAGTAGGCCCCCCTCATTCACAGGGGATAACTTGGAAGACCCTCAGTGGATGCCTGAAACCTCCAATAATACCAAACTGTACATATACCATATGCCTTTTATTTCTATAAACAAATACATACAGTAAAAACTTTAACCTTTTTCCTTAAAGGACAAACTTTGTGGCTTTTCTTTAGCATATCTGAAATACCATGATCACTACTCTTGCACTCTGGAGCTATAAGTATTACTTGAACTACAATATCACAATGAGTAGTCTGATAATCGACAGCTACTAAGTGACTAATGGGTGAGCAGCATATTTAGCATGGATAGGCTGGACAAAATGATGATTCATGTCCTGGGCAACAGAGTAGAATGAGAGATTTCATTATTCTCCTCAGTATATCCTGTAATTTAAAACTTATGAATTGTGTCTGAATTTTTATTTAATATTTTTTAACTATGGTTGACCATGAATAACTGAAACCAAGGAAAGTGAAACCACACATAAATGGGCACTAGTGTACATTAATTTTAACTATATATACCTTGTTGTGCAATAGATCACTAGAACCTAATTCTTCCACTCTGAGCTTATGTAACCTTAATCAGTGTTTCCTGTAGCCATGACCACCTATTTCCCCAGCCTTGAGTAACCACTATTCTACTCGCTCCTTCTATGAGTTCAATTTTCATTTTGCACATGTAAGTGAGATCATGTGGTATTTGTCTTTCTGTGCCTAGCTTATTTTATGCAGTGTTATATACACCTAGTTTCATCCATGTTGTTGAAAATGACAGAATTTCCTGTACTTTTAGGACTGAATGGTATTTCATTGTATCCGAATACCACATTGTTTAATCCATTCATCCATTGATGGGCACTTCAGTTGTTTCCATATATTTGCTGCTAGGAATAATGCTTCAAAGAGTATGGGAGTACAAACATATTTTTGACATATAGATTTTAATTCTTTGCATAGATACACAGAAATCATGTGTCATATAGTAAATCAATTTTTAGTTTGAGAAACCTTCATACTCTTTTCCAAAATGGCTATATTAATTTACATTTCCACGAACAGTACACAAGGTTTTCCTTTTCTTTACATCCTTGCCAATACTTGTTTTTCATCTTTTTGACAATAGCCAACCTAACAGGTGGGAAGTAATATCTCATTATGGTTTTATTTGCATTTCTCTGACTAGAGATGTTTGCTGTTTTTTCATTTATCTGTTGGTTATTTGTATGTCATCTTCTGAGGGTCTATTCAATGTCTTTACTCAATTTAAATAGCTATTTGTTTACTTTTTATTGAGTAACTTGAGTGTCTTGTATCTTTTGAATATTAGTCTCTTATTCAAGGTATGATTTCTAAAATTATTTTCTACCATCTGTAGGTTTTAAGTATCTCTTCACTCAGTTATTTCCTCTACTGTGAGAAAGTTCTCTAGTTTGATGCACTCTCATTTGTCTGTTTTTGCTGTGGTTGTCTGTGTTTTAGGGGTCATGTGCGCAGTGGCTCATGCCTGTAATTCCAGCACTTTGGGAGTCCGAGGCGGGTGGATCACGAGGTCAGGAGATTGAGACCATCCTGGCTAACACGGTGAAACGCCGTCTCTACTAAAATACAAAAAATTAGCCGGCCTGGTGGCGGGAGCCTGTAGTCCCAGCTACTCAGGAGGCTGAGGCAGGAGAATGGCGTGAACCCGGGAGGCGGAGCTTGCAGTGAGCCGAGATGGCGCCACTGCACTCCAGCCTGGGCGACAGAGTGAGACTCCGTCTCCAAAAAAAAAATAAAAAAATAAAAAATATTACTACCCAAACCAATGTCATGGAGTTTTGCATGGTATGTTTTCTTCTAGTAGTTTTACAGTCTCAGATCTTACATTTATAACTTTAATTCATTTTAATTGATTCATATATAAAGGGTAAGAATCCATTTTCACTCCCTGTGTGTGGATATCCAGTTTTCCCAATACCATTTATTGAAGAGATTGTGTTTTCTTGGCTTGTCAAAAATCAGTTAAGCCATAGATGTATAAGCATGTTTCTGGGAACTCTATTTGGTTAGTCAATGTGTCTTTATGCCAGTACCATTGCTATTTTGATTATAGCTTTGTAATATATTTTGAAATTTACTAGTACGATGTCTTCAGCTTTGTTCTTTTTGGCTAAGATTGGTTTGACTATTCAGAGTCTTTTGTAGTTCCATACAGATTTTAGGATTTTTTCATTTCTGTGAAGAATGACATTAGTCATTTTATAGAATTGCATTAAATCTGTTCTTTACTTTGGGTATTATAGTATGATCATCTTTACAATATTATTTTTTTCCAATCCATGAACATGGGATGTCTTTTCATTTTTTGTGTCTTTTTTTTTTAACAAATGTTTTACAGTTTTTTATTGTAGAGTTCTTTCACCACCTTTGTTAAATTTATTCCTAGGTTTTTTTTTTGTTTTGTAACTACTGTAAATGGAATTGCTTTTTTATTTCCTTTTAGCTATTTTGTTGTTGGTATGTGGAAATACCTAATTTTGTAGCCTGCCATTATACTACATTTGTTTATTACTTTTGAGGTTTCTGGTGGTGTCTTTAGGTTTTCCTACATATGAGATTATGCCATCTGCAAAGTTTACTTTGTCCTTCCCAATTTAGATTCTCTTTATTTTTTGCTTGCCTGATTGCTCTGAATAGTGCTTTCAGTACTACGTTGAATAAAAGTGTTAAAAATGGAAATCTTTGTTTTGTTCCACCTCTTAGTGGACGCTTTCAAAGTTTCCCTTTTTAGCATGATATTAGCCGTGGGTTTTTCATAAGTGGCCCTCATGGTTCTGAATATTTTTTGTGTGTGTACCCAGTATATTGACAGTTTTTATTATGGAGGGTTTTTGAACTTTATCAAATGCTTTTTTGGCATTAATCAAAATAATGTTTTTTTTTTTGATCTGTAGATTTGATATATCCTATTTTTTTAATTTATTTTAAATTTTTAATATATTTAGTGGTTATAAATGCAAGTTTCTTACATGCATATATTGTGTAGTGGTGAAGTCTGAGATTTTAGTGCACCCATATCCTGAATAGTGAACATTGTACCCAGTAGGTGATTTTTCAATGCTACTTTTCTCTTACTCTCCCACCTTTTGTAGTCTCCAGTGTTCATTATTTCATTCTGTATGTCCATGTGTACCTATTGTTTAGCACCTAACCTATTTAAAAGTGAGAATATGCAGGCTGGGTGCAGTGGTTCATGCCTGTAATCTCAGCACTTTGGGAGGCCAAGGCAGTTGGGTCCGTTGAGCTCGGGAGTTCGAGACCAGCCGAGGCAACATGGCAAAACCCTGTCTCCACCAAAAATACAAAAAAAAAAAAAAACAGGTTTGGTAGCACATGCCTGTGGTCCCAGCTACTCAGGAGGCTGAAGGGGAAGGACTGCTTGAGCCCAGGAGGCAGAGGCTGCAGTGAATTGAGACCATGCCACTGTACTCCAACCTGGGTGAGAGTGAGACTCTGTCTCAATAAAAAAATTAAAAAATAAAAATTGATAATATATGGCATTTCACTTTGTTTCTGAGTGATTTCAGGATAAAAATCATTAAATCACTAAATTTTTATTAGGATAAAAAGTCAGCCATAAAGCCATCTGGTCCTGGGGTTTTCTTTGATGGTAGACATTTAATTAGTGATTCAATATTCTTGCTTGTTATTATCCTGTTCAGATTTCCAGAGTATTCATGATTTAATATTGATAGGTCACATACTTCTAGCAATTTATCCATTTTTTTCTAGGTTTTCCAATTTGTTGACACAATTGTTCCTAGTAATTTCTTATGATTCTTTGTATTTCTGCTAAGGGTTAGTCTGCGAAGGGTTGGTCAACTTTGTTCAGCTCTTCAAAACACCATCTTTTAGTTTGTTGATCTTTTTCAGTTTTTTCATTGTCCTTATTTTAGTTACTTCTACTCTGAATCTTATTTTCTTTCTGCTAACTTTTGATTTACATTTGACCCTTACACAGCATACAGTTGAATTGCATGGATCCACTAATTTACAGAATATTTCAACCAAATGCAGATGAAAAATACAGTACTTGTGGAATGTAAAACCTGCATATACAGAGGACAACATTTTGTAACCAAGGGTTCTGCAGGTCTGACTGTGGGATTTGAGTATGCAGATTTTGGTATACATAGGGGGTCCTGGAACCTATCCTCTCTGTATATCGAGGGATCGTTGTATTTGGCTTTTTTTTCCTTTTCCCTAGTTTCTCGAGGTATAATATTAGGTTGCTTATTTGAGATATTTCTTTTTTTCTTATTAAAGGCTTTTAGTGCTATGAATTTTCCTCCTAAAACTGCTTTGCAGCCTCCCATATATTTTGGTAAGTTGTGTTTCCATTTTCATTTGTCTCAAAGTATGTTCAGCATTTCTCTTAATTTCTTCTTTGACTCAGTAATTGTTCAGAAGCATATTGTTGAATTTCTGTTTATTTTCCATGATTCCTTCTGTGACTGATTTCTTGTTTTGTACCATTGTGGTCAGAAAAAAAAGAATACTTGACACTTGACATAACTTCAATTTTTTAAACTGTGTAAAAACTTTTTTTTGCCCAACATATAATCTATCCTGGAGAATATTCCTTCTGAACTTGGAAAAAAATATATCCTGTAACTGTTGGATGAAATATTCTGCATATGTTTGCTAGGTTCATTTCAACTAAAGTATGCTTTAAGTCGAATGTTTCTATTTTGAGTTTCTGTTTGAATGATCTGTCTGGAGTCGAAAGTGGGTTACTTAAATCCCCTACTGTCACAGTCTAGGTCTCACTTCAGATCCTTTAATATTCATATATTTAAGTGCTCCAGTGTTGGGTGCATATACTTCTCTATCACTATGTAATTACCTTATTTTCCTTTTTTAAATATATTCTGACCTAACATTTACTTTGCCTGTTATAAGTATGGCAGGAGGACATATCCCCCTCCTGCCCTCCTTTGATATCTGTTTGCATGAATATTTTGTTCTGTCCCTTCACCTTCAGTCTGTAAGTGTCCATTAATTAAAGTGAATATCTTGTGGGCAGCCGCGTATAGTTACATCTTTTTTTTTTTTTTTTTTTTTTTTAATGAGACGGAGTTTTGCCCTTTTTGCCCAAGCTGGAGTGCAATGGCAGGATCTCGGCTCACCGCAACCTCTGCCTCCCGGGTTCAAGCGATTCTCCTGCCTCAGCCTCCCGAGTAGCTGGGATTACACACATGTGCCACCACGCCTGGCTAATTTTGTATTTTTTAGTAGAGACAGGGTTTCTCCATGTTGGCCAGGCTGGTCTCGAACTGCTGACCTCAGGTGATCTGCCTGCCTCGGCCTCCCAAAGTGAGGGGATTACAGGCGTGAGCCACGGCACCCAGCTGGTTTTTTTTGTTTGTTTTTTGAGACAGAGTCTCACTCTGTCACCCAGGCTGGAGTGCAGTGGCGCGATCTTGGCTCACCGCAAGCTCTGCCTCCCGGGATCACTCCATTCTTCTGCCTCAGCCGCCTGAGTAGCTGGGACTACAGGTGCCCAACACCACGCCTGGCTAAATTTTTGTATTTTTAGTAGATACAGGGTTTTGCCTTGGTAGCCAGGATGCTCTCAATCTCCTGACCTCAGGATCCACCCGCCTTGGCCTCCCAAGGTGCTGGGATTACAGGCATGAGCCAGTGCGCCCGGCCCCTGTTTTGTTTTGTTTTAATAGCCACTGGTTTTTGTTTGTTTGTTTGTTTAATGCCTTTTGATTGGGAAATATAATCAATTTGTATGACTGACAGGTAAGGACTTATTCCTGTCATTTTGTTAGCTGTTTCCTGGTTATTATGTGTATCCCTTGTTTCTTTATTCTTCTCTCTTCTACTGTGTGGTCTGACAGCTTTCTGTCATAATATGCTTTGGATCTTATCTTTTGTGTATCATATGCTTTTTTGCTTTGTAGTTACCTAGAGGATTAGATAATTACCATATACTGAACAAGCTACTTTATGCTGATAACAACTTAATTTTTGATTGTATATACAGATTCTATACTCCCCCTCCTCTCATGTTTTATGTTTTTGGTGTTACAATTAACAAATTTTTATAATTTGTATGTTTCCACAAATTGTTGTAATTTCAGTTGCTTTTAATTAGTTTTGCATTTTAACCTTAATTTTAGATATTTAATGGTGGTTTTACTAACCACCATTGCAGTATTAGTGTTTTGGATTTGACAATGTATTTTTATCAGTTTTTTTTTTTACTTTCATGTTTTAATGTTGTAATTTTGTGTCTTCTTTCTTCAACTTAAATAATTCCCTTTAGCATTTCCTATAATGTAGGTCTGCTGGTGATATACTCTCTCACCTTCATTTGTCTGAGAATGTTTTATCAATATTTTTTTCTTTCAGGGTTGTGAATGTATCTTTCCACTCTCTTCTGGCCTGTAAGATTACAGGTGAAAAATCTTCTGATAATACAATGAGAAGTTTCCTTTGTACGTAGTAATTCAGTTTTCTCTTACTGCTTTCAAAACTCTCCCTTTGTCTTCAAATTTTGACAATTCAATTATGACCTGTTCTGGTTTGGGTCATTGCCGTTATTTCTTTGATTGTGTTTTCTGTCTTTCTCTTCTTCTTCTCCTGAAAACAAATATGTGTATGTTGTTTCACTTGATGATGTCTCATATATCTCTAAAGCTATCTTCACTCATCACTCCTTTTTTACTTCTGCTGATCCAGATTAGAAGATTTTCTTGTATCTGTCTTCTAATTCACTGACTTTTCTTCTTGATTTGTCTGCTGTTGAAACCCTCTACTGAATTTTCTAGTTGTTATAGTTTTCTTCACTTCTATGATATCTGACTGGTATGTTTTGTACTTTCTATCTTATTGTTGAAATTAATGGGATTTTTTTCCTTGCATTGCTCTGCTGTCTTCGGAGGTCATCTTTGTTAAAGCAAACTAAATATGGCCTGAGAAGGACTCTGTACTTCTATACTTGAGTCCCTGTGGATAAACTGTAACCTAGCTTAATAGTCAGACAAAATTGAAAACCTGACTTAGGAGTATGCACCTGTAACAATAACTGAGTCTTAGCCAATCCCAGCAACAATACTTGAACCACTCATAGACTGCTAAGTGTTCAAACTGTGTTCAATAAGGCAATGCCAACCTGTAATCAGTCCAGCTGTTTCTGTACCTCACTGCTGATTTCTGTATGTCATTTCCTGTTTTTGTCTGTAAATATTTTTCTACCACATGACTGCCCTGGAGTCTCTCTGTATCTGCTGTGATTCTGGGAGTTGCCCGATTTGTGAATCATTCATTGCTCAGTTAAACTCCTTTAAATTTAATTTGGCTGAAGTTTTTATCATCTATATGAGCATTATTTTGAGTTCCCTGTTGGGTAGCTTCATTCTACTAAGACTGTTTTTTTAGATATTTATTTTTTCTTTTATTTGGAATATATTTCCATGTTTCTTTTTCTTGATTTTTCTGTGTTTGTTTCTGCACATTGTATAAGAAATATGTCTCTCCCATTCTTTTCAGATTGTAGTTGTGTAGGAGAATGATCTCAGCAATCTATCTGGCCAGAAATTTTAAGATGCCTCTTCTAATCTTTGTGTTTGTCTGAATTGCTTCTTCTGTTTTTGGTAGTCCTCAGAAGATTATGATGTGCAATGTCCCATCAGCACCCAAAGACTGATAAGTCAGAAACCAGTTTCTCTAGATATAGCTGGAAAGGTTGGAGTATGAAGTTTTCCTAGTTCCTTCTATTTTCATAATGAAGCTAAACACAGGTGTTTGTCTCTCACTTTGCACTAAGCTGGGGAAAAAATATGAGGGGAAGGTCCATATTCATATTCATATTGTACTATCTGACCCTGAGGAGACAGCTACTGGAAGTTGTTCTGTTGTATGTCCAACCCTTTGTTTTCTGTGGTCTTAGGAGACTCAGGAAGACAAAGTCCTGTAGACTCCCAGAACTAGATCATCAAGCAAACAGTCTCATGGGTGGAATCTAAAGTTGTGGCTTTGGTGCATGCATAAAGTGTTTCCAGGTAGAATGGCTAGACATGGATTTATCACTGGGGTGAGCCAAAGAAAAGGCTTAGCATGTGCTGAGCTCCTACTCAGGCTGCTAGAGGGCTACTGTTGTGTCCCTGTATGGCTCCCTGAAGCAAGTTAGAAGCCAGGCCATCAAATAGCCTCTGGAAGATTGTATCATAAACCCCTGCTGGAAAGAAACAGGAAGTTGTTTTCAAGCCCCGTCTCTGCATTGCTTTTAGGGGACAAGGCTCTTGAACATGTTTGCATGCCCATAAAAAACTGCCACTTTTTTCTCTGTAGTCTGAAGAGACTCACATATGCCTAATTTCCTCTGCTCTTGAAGTTGGTGAATTAACAGCTGCACTATAGTTAGAGTGCTATATGTGTTGTCCAAACTCTCGTCTCCACAGGGAGAAGCAGGCTGTTTGGGATTCCTTCCTGATTTTATTTCACATACCGGGGTCCCTGGTCCATGCCTCAGTGTACCTCAGCTTTTTTTGCTGGTTTGATACAAATGTTTTCTTAGTTGATAAGAGGAAGCCTCTTAACTCATCTTAGATTGAATTAATACGTGAATAAATGTTTATTCAGAGTGCCTACTGGTAGAGAGAGTCAGGAGCCTTCTATTCTGCCATGTTGCAGAATAGAAATCACCTCAAGCCTTCTACATTATTAATGTCCACAAAAAACCTATGAGAGGAATATTATTTTTCCCATTTGATAGACAAAAAGTTTGTGACTAAGGAATGTCAAGTCAGCTTCCACAGGTTACATATGTAATAGGTGATGGAGTGTATTAGTTCTCACATTGCTAAAAAGAGATAGCTGAGATTAAGTAATTTAAAAAGAAAAGAGGTTTAATTGGCTCATGATTCTGCAGGCTATATAGGAAGTATGGCTTGGGGCATTTGCTCAGCTTCTGGGGAGGCCTCAGGAAACCCACAATCATGGTGGAAAGTGAAGGGGGAGCAGACATCTCATACGGTAGGAGCAAGAGAAAGAGAACAAGATGCAACATACTTTTAAGCAGCCAGATCTCATGAGAGGTCACTCACTATCATAAAGACAGCACCAAGGGGATGGTGGTAAACTATTATGAGAAATCCACCCCCATAATCCAATCACCTCCCACCAGGCCCCACCTCCAATACTGAGGATTATAGTTCAATATGAGATTTGGATGGGGACACATAACCATACTATATCATAGAACTTAGTTTATCAACTTTTGACAAACTCCTTATTGTATATGTTATAAAATGTCATTTGACTTCATACCTATTTAAGAGTTCTGAATAGTTTCTAAGGTTTTTACTTATACAGTAACATACTTTAGACTAGTAGATTTACAATGCAGGGATAAAGAAGTTTGACAAGTAGGACTGAGGGAGAAGAGAAGAGTCATGATCAGAGAAAATGGATGCCAAATGTATTCCTGTGTTAGTCTTAGTGTCATTGGTACCACATAGGTTTTCATAGTTTCAAAATGCCCAGATTCTAAGCAATAAACTAATGACTGTATCATTTCATTACTTAATATTAGATATGGTAATGTATAACTCTTAGGCCAATACTCCACAGTTTTCATAAAATATTTACAGAATGATTTCCATAAGCATATGGTTTTCTGTGATACTAGCTGATTGCCCTCCATGATGGCAACACCCTCAGGCTTTTGCATTAGGTTGACTGAGTGGCCTGACTTTTTAGTGGTTACAGTACCATTTTTTACATTTATCAGATAATCAAATTGCTTAAGAAATAATATCAAGTAGGATTACGCATGATCTATGCTCTGCTTTGGACCAACAGAGTATCTTAGAACCAGACTGTCTGGTTTGAAAAAGACAACTCAGTGATTTTCACAACTATGTATGGTCACCATCTTTCTGATGAGATGGACAGATATACAGGAAATATTAGGATAGACATATTAGGAAATATCTGGGTATAAAAGCAGCTCCTGCTACTAAGTGGTTGATTTTCCTTTCTGTTCTGACCATTGTGGGCTGTGTGTGAGGAGAAACATACATTGCCTTTGCTCTCACCTTCATACTCTGAAATTAGATAGATATTCTCTTTACTGCTGGAAGAGAAAAAGTCAAATTGTTTTCTATCATTCTCTATGATTAAAAACAAAGAGGGAAGAAGAGAGGGAGGAAGGAAAGAAGGTAGGAAAGAAGAAAAATGATAAAATACCCTATGTATTTGACGTCCAAACTAACTTATCTCTGGCTTACTGATTTACGCAAGAGTCACCTTCTATGCCGAATTAGAAGGAATTGCTAATTATCATGTATTTTGAAACATAAATCAGGAAGCCCCTGAGGAAACATAAATCAGGAAGCCCCTGAGAAATCCAAAATCATTACCTGACTACATATGTAGCTGTAAGTAATGACTGTTTGTAAAAGACTTTGAAGATGAAAAGCACTTTAATTGGAGTAACCCTCAATCATACAGAAGCAGGAAACCTAAGTAAATGAAAATATTAGAACATGAATGGATTATTTTAAACTAGAATAACAGGACTTTAAATGTGTGATTTTTTTTCTCTTTTCTTGGAATGTCAGTTAAAGTTACAAAGCTAAAATCAATATGCTAAGTATTCTAAATAGAGCTACAAACATATCCTGTGGGACATAAGAAGAAAAGCTGCACTTGGTGGTTTGAGTATCATCTCTCCTGACATACCTCGAGCCTGTGTAAAAAAGAAAAGTTACTTTGAAAGGAATTTGTAGGACTAAATTTCCTTTTGGATTTTCTCTTCTCCCAAGAGAAGGAGGTATGTGCTCTGCTCTTCCCAAATCAAGGAATGTAGATCTTGCTAACAGAACTGCTCAAAGACATGGGGTGCTTGCAAAATTAAAAAGAAGGGCATTTTACTCAACGGATGGAAAAAAAGAGACCTTTCTGTGGTCATTGGTAATAAAGGGACAAATTGGCAAAAGTTATACATATCTATATATATACATCATTATTTTATTTTACCTTGGGACTTAGGGGATTTTGTGACAATAGAAATTTTGATCTACTTCACCTATGAGCTCTGGTATCAGAAATCTGACTAGAGCAGGCAACAATGAGAAGTCTGACTAGAGCAGGCAACAATGGCAGAAAGGAAAAAGAGCAACAAATACTAGACAAAATATATGTTGAATCATTTATCAGAACAAATATCCCCAAAATTAACTGACCCTAAAATGTGTTTTGCATAGAACGCCAAACAAACTAGATTAATTTTATTTTTATTTTAGAAAGTGTACTTTTTGAGATTTTACTTTAGGATATACTCATATTATTTTATAATCCATGTTATACATGATCAATAATTTAACCTTATCTCATTACTCACACCCAACTGCTTAGGAATTCATTCCCAAAATTAGTATTTGCTCTATTTTTTCCTTTCCACGTTATGTGTATTCATTTTTTATATTTATAAGTTTGCCAGCTGCAAAAGTAGTAATCTCCACTGTTTTTGCTTAAACAAGTGGAGGTTTATTACTAGTATGACACATTCACAATGGCAATAAACCTAAATCAGCAGATAGTGATCTTTAAAGACCTTCATGATCAGCAAGAAAACATCTTTCTGCCACTGCACAGTGGTTGGTGCAGCAACTTCCAGAGGGCAGCCAGGAAGGCATTTCAGAGCCTGACTTTCTGGTGGACATAAAAGCCAAGGGTCCACTGTTGACTCCTTATTGCTTTGTTAATGTCAGTTTGTCAGTTTTTTTAATAGTGTTGGAAAGCTGGCACTCAGCCATTAGGGTAAGCATATAATACATTTCAACTCTGAAAATGGGGCAATACAATCAGATCCTGGTAGATCTGCAAACAAAATGCAAATATATGGCCTGGGCTACTGCTGGTGTTGTACTTACTAGTGATTCTGGTTGGCAGAGGAGGGACTAGAAATTACCTTGCCCTGAAATCTACACAATACCTATTCTAAAGAGAAACAAGGTTTCTTGACTACAAAGGTCATTTTATTACTATAAAGGTTAAGACATATGTTCCTTTCTAGAAGTTTATATTGACAAAGTATCAGGTTTGTGTAAATTTATACTTGAGTATGTGTATGTAAAATCTTTGTAACAGCTTTTGAAAATTATAACACTAACACCTCTAAATTTTTTATGTACTGGAAGCAAGAGCTTGACCTAACTTTATCAATTCATTCATCTGCCTCTTTTAGTCAAAACTAATGTGATTTTGTAATTACTTAACATTAATCAGTTTCTCATAGTGTTTGATGTATTTGAATATTATGAGAATAATGTGAGGTTCTTCTTTCTCGCACAGATTTCATGAGACACAATCTTGGGATGCTATTTTAAACCAGTTAAAACATAGGAGTAAGATCCAAAGTGACTCAGGGTCACATTTGGACTTTATTACCTACTAACTCTTATAGCCTCAATTCATAAATGAAAAAGAAATTTGATACTTTTCAGATTTGTTGTGAGAATTAGATTAAAAGATTATGTGCTTATGTGTCTGTATAAGATAGCTAATCAAATATTAAATCTGTTAATATTCTTAGTTTTAGATTTATTTTAAATTACCTAGCAAAAGGCAAGATATCCTTCTTTGAAGTAAAATTTTCATGAGCTGTCTACCACCTTTTTTCCCTATGTGATCTGCTCTGATAGTTTAAATCAATTTCTTCAGCAAATATTTATTGAAAGTCTATGATGATGCTAAATACAGTGATGCTAGTTACTGTAAACATTAAACAGATGAACTGAAAATTGATTCCAGATTTTAAAATGTCATGGCCAGGTGTAGTGGCTCACACCTGTAATTCCAACATTTCAAGAGGCAAAGGCTGAATGATCCCTTAAGGCCAGGAGTTTGAAACCAGCCTGGGCAACATAGCAAGACCCCTTCTCTATGAAGATAAACCTATTAGCTGGGCATGTGGCACACACTTGTGGTTCTAGCTACTTGGGAGTCTGAGGTGACAGGATGGCTTGAGCCCATGAGTTTGAGGATTCAGTGAGCTGCGATTGTGCCACTGTACACCAGCCAGGGTGATAGTGGAGGACCTCGTCTCTTAAAATAGTCAGAATTCAATATGAAGGCCGGGCATGCTGGTTCACGCCTGTAATCCCAGCACTTTGGGAGGCTGAGGTGGGAAGATCACGAGGTCAGGAGATCAAGACCATCCTGGCTAACACGGTGAAACCCCATCTCTACTAAAAATATAAAACATTAGCCGGGTGTGGTGGTGGGTGCCTGTAGTCCCAGCTACTCGGGAGGCTGAGGCAGGAGAACGGCGTGAACCCGGGAGGCAGAGCTTGCAGTGAGCTGAGATCTCGCCACTGCACTCCAGCCTGGGTGACAGAGCGAGACTCTGTCTCAAAAAAAAAAAAAATGAAATATATTCATAAATATGTTTACTATAAACAAAAAAAGATATTAAAGCAAAAAAGGACACAAAATTTAAAATGTGAAAAGAGATTAATTACAGCCACAAGTAAATATGAAGGTTAGAAAAGTTTCTGGAGGCATGTAGGCATGAATAAAGAGGATATATATACAGGAAATTTTAATTATAGGGAAAGGGTATAAGTCTTAGTCTGGTTTTGCTGCTTTAAGACAATACCAGAGACTGGCTAATTTACAAATTTACATAAATTTATGTCTCACATAGTTCTATGTCTCACATAGTTCTGGAGGCTGGGAAGTCCAAGATCAAGGTGTCAGCAGTTTTGTTGTCTCGCGAGGTTTCAGTGTCTGCGTACAAGGTGGTTCCTTGAATGCTGTCTTTCCTGAAGGAGAAAAATACTGTGCCCTTAATGTGGCAGAAGGGAGGAGGGCAAAAAAGGACGAAATTTCCATCAAGGTGTTTTTATAAGGGCATATAATAATTCATGAGGGTGAAGCCCTCAATGCTCAATCCCCTCCTAAAGTTCACACTTTCTAATACTGTTTCACTGGGGACTGAATTTCAACATGAACTTTAGAGAGGACAAAAACATTCAAATCATAGCAGCATAAAAAAGACTTAGATGATAGAAAGCCTTGAAGGTAAATAGAAAACAGCAAAATACTCATATTTTTTTCTCTGTAGGAGATACGTTGTAGAGTAGATTAGAAGACTATATTGAAAGATAAGGTTTGGACAAGATCATAAAGATCCTGAAATGCTAATTTATCATAATATTAGGCATGAGGCAGTCAGTCTCCAAGATAGTCTTTAATTCTGCTCCCTGCTCTTATTCACTCTTTTGTGTAGTCCTGTTCTACACTGAATTAGGGGTAGCCTTCTGTGATATACAGTGGAATGACACAATGTGACTTTGGAGTCTAGATAATAAAAGGCATTCTAGCTTCCTCTTTGGTGTCTTGTATCACTGGCTCAGAGAAAGCCTGTACCATGTCATGAGAATCCTTAAGGAGTCACATGGAGAGCTCCATGTGAAGAGAAACTGAGGCCTTTATCCAGCATTCAGAAAGGTACACATTTCACAAGGGAGCCACCTTGGAAGTGCATCCTCCAGACCCAGTTTAGCCTTCATGTAAACCAAACCAAACAAAAACAAATAATCCAAGTCAGTATACTTACAACTGCTAAGACTTAACAATAATCCATCTGTGTGCTGTGATACATATACACACACTCACACCTCAATCTTAGCTCTAACATTGTATGGTGTTTTTTCGGTTTTCTTTTTCTTTTTTTTTTTTTTTTTTGAGACAGAATCTCACACTGTCACCTGTGCTGGAGTGCAGTGGCACAATCTCGGCTCACTGCAACCTCCACCTCCCAGGTTTAAGTGATTGTCCTTACCTCAGCCTCCCAAGTAGCTGGGATTACAGGCGCCTGCCACCACACCCGGCTAATTTTTTTGTATTTTTAGTAGAGACAGGGTTTCACTATGTTGGCTAGGTTGGTCTCGAACTCCTGATCTCATGGTCCGCTTGCCTCAGCCTCCAAAAGTGTTGAGATCACAGATATGAGCCACTGTACCCACTGTATGTTTTAATGTTATACAGGAAGTTGCTGGTAGAAATTGAGAATGGAATATTAAGTAAAATCCTTTCTAGGACAGTTTTTTCCCCCCCAGTGAGACCCAGAGAACTACAATATATTATATATAAATATATATAAGATATACATTATATATAAAAATATATAAAATATATAAATATATATAAAAATATATATATTATATAAAATATATATTATCTATAGTACATAAAAATCTATATATATTACGTTTGGAGAAAAATAAAATAAAATGCAATGATTAGAGATGGAATCAATGAGAGGGAAAAGGAAGGCTCTCTGGCCTGTCATGAATTTTCTAGTGCTGTCCTCAAGTTTCACCAGTATCTTGGTGGTAACACTTAAGAATGGTAGCTTTAGAAGATACCAGAAAAGTGAGGCACTTATTTTACCGCAGCTCTTCAGGTAGTCCAGATCCTGCTGAAGTTGGTTAGGTACAATTAGATTAACATCATATCTGGGCTGATCCTCAAGACATGTCTGGAACCCAGGAAATGAAAGAAAATGATATATGGTGAGCACTAACCTATATGACAGTACTAAGCCAAGTGGGCAAGTATGCATTGTGAGACAGAAGCATTAGTGTTTCCTTTTTTTTTTTTTTTTTTTTTTCTTGAGATGGAGTTTTGCTCTTGTTGCCCAGGCTGGGGTGCAATGGTGCGATCTTGACTCACAACAACCTCCGCCTCCTGGGTTTAAGCGATTCTCCTGCCTTAGCTTCCCAAGCTGCTGGGATTACAGGCACCAGCCACCATGCCTGGCTAATACTTTGTATTTTTAGTAGAGACAGGGTTTCTCAGTGTTGGCCAGGCTGGTCTCAAACACCTGACCTCAGGTGATCCACCCGCCTCAGCCTCCCAAAGTGCTACGATTACAGTTGTGAACCACCATGCCCGGCCTAGTGTTTCCTTCTATCACCTGTGGAAATCATACTATCATGTATCTATTATGTGGTCAGTCTTCAACAGTAGGTTTGACTGACTCAAAACCTTGGTATTCTTACACCTCCAGCATAAAGTCCTTGATATTCTTGCAACTCTAGCATGATTCCTCTGTTTCCTAAACCCTGGCTATTTTCTAGGACGCAAGTAGCCTTGAATTTTCTTAGTTCTGGGTGTCAGACTTCAGACTCAGCCTGTTCCATAAGCCTGAAAAATTTCTCTCTATTTCTATATTTAACTTATCCAATGTGATATTTTAATTTTTAAAAACTCTTTGCTAAAGCATAAAATGTTTGATAGACATGATGCAAGGTCTTACTGAAATTCATTTGAAAGAGCCCCTTAAAAGTATAAAATAACCATACTTCTCTGATTAGCCACTAAAGCACTATTTCCTATTTTTCCGACTTTGACTACTTTCACACATCTAATTATGAGGTACAGGAAGATTTCCTGTGTGTAGAGCTTAATAGGAATGGTTTAAGGATGCTGGAAAACCTGTGCAGCTGTCATGGTGACACCTCTCCAGCTGTGAGGACAGAGAAAGTGGGATGGGAATAGTCTTCCCTCCTTGGAGCTTTCAGATGCCTGGCAGCAACCAATCTGTGCCCAGAATCCTAGGGGCAAAGAAGAGGAAGTAGCTAGGTAGCAGCCTAATAACATTTTGCTTAAGCCATCTGGTTCTAGAATGTGATATGCAATGCTTGAGGAATATAGAGTAGGCAGGAGAAATGAGGGCTTTTAACATCAATAAGAAAAAAATTCAATTTGAAAAATGTCCTAACTCACCTTTGGCTACCTTTCCTAAGCCCTCTTTAAGCCAACCCTGATTATTATTTAAAATATGACATTTTTACAATAAACATCATATTTGATACTGGTAATCATATTAGTAATAGCAGTGGAATTGAACAAGTGATTTGTAACTAGAGGTTTGGTAATAAGGGAAGAAAGCCTTTGTATTTTGAAATGATCACGACTATCTGTTAAAATAGTACTTCCAGGTTTTGTCATCGTCTGCCTCCTCATCACCCTTTTCCCAACCCCCATCCTGGGCAGGCCCTGATATAATCCCCTTCACTTTAATCATGCAACCCTTTATAGAATGAAACTTCTTGTTGAGAAACTGCAGTTATCTGTTTCAAAGAGCAAAATGGTGTAGACTGCATGTTGTTGTTAGCAGTGGTAGTGTTACATGACATCTCAATTGACTATAACAAGGTTGTCCTTTTCTCCCTCCCTGCCCCTGCAAGAAAGGCTCTTGAGGGGAAAGAAGGTCAAATATATCAAGTCTACAAAAGTTTCAGACATATTCCTAATGAATATACTTCCAGATTATTTTGTCCATTATTTTCATAGTTTACTTTTGAGTATTGATGATAAACTATTACCCAAACATCAACTCACAATGATTCCCTAACCTAGGCTCTTGTGGAAGTAAACAAAAAGGATCCCAGGAACTCTTAGGTAGCTAAGTGCACTTTTGTTAACTGAAGACTTACGAATCTTGATATTATTTGGATATTTGTCCCCGCCCAAATCTCATGTGGGAGGTGGGGCCTGGGGGGAGGTGTTTGGGTCGTGGGAGCAGGTGCTGTCTTCCATAGTGAGTTATCACAAGATCTGGTCATTTAAAAGCATGTGGCATCTCCCCACCCACCCTTTCTCTCACTTGCTCCTGCTTCTGCCATGTGATATGCCTGCTCCCCTTCACCTTCCACCAAAATTGTAAGCTTCCAGAGGCTCCCTAGAAGCAGAGCAGATGCCAGCACCATGCTTCCTGTAAAGCCTGAAGAACCATGAGCCAATTAAAACTCTTCTTTGTAAATTACCCAGTCTCAGATATTTATTAACAGCAATGCAATAATGTCCTAACACAAATGTACTCCTTGTATGCAGAGGATCTAAGAGAAAGAAGAGACATTCAGGAGAACTGTGTGTGTATAGGGAGATGCGAGCATATGGATGTTGGCATGCTTATTTGTGTTTGGGGAGGCTGGCAATTTTAGGAAAAGAAACAAGCGCAAATTGGGCACTGTATAATAATCCATCATTAAGGTCACTGGTAGAATTTCAGGGTGGTTGGAATCTTGATGAAGTCATAGATCTTAACCTCACTCAGTTTTTTCATTAAAACGGGTGTCATGCATGTGCAGTAAAAGCTAGAGAAGTCTTTATGTGTGAGTGCTTTGCAAAGTGTGAAACACATTAATAATGTTTTTAAAAAGCTATTATGTCTATTATCCTAAAGTATATATCCATCTTCTCTAACGTTCACATCAAATCCAAGAAAACAAAACAACACGAAAATATTTACTTTGAAAATCCTGGTGAACTTGTCTCTTCTCTAGCCTCTCTTTCACTTCCTGCCAGAAAATTCACTGACTTAACGTAAGAAACTTAACTTTAACCTTACAGGATTCTGGCTTAAGACTTAAATGTATAAACTATTTGTCGAAGATATCTCCATAATTATGGGATAATGAGGTCTCAGAAGACAAGGATATTAACATCAACCCCATTCTATCTTAGGAGCACTGACTCAGAAGTAGGTTGGCTAAATTTGAATCTTGTTCTTACCATTTGCTCTTGTATAATCTACCTAATATTTCCTTGCCTCAATTTTTGTCACCTGTATCTGAGAAATAAGAATTATTTCTAGGATTCTTGAAAAAAATTAATACATGTAACTCAATAATAGTGTCTAGTAAATAGTCATTTCTCAACATTTAGATTTATTATAAATTGTTTAAGTCTGTTTTCTACAACTTTTGAGTCTTTTCAACCTCTTCATCTTAGGATCAATAGTCATAAGAGTGACATCAATATGAGTTTAATCCCCCTAATTCTTAAATTATTAAGGTTTGATCAATGGTATTAATACCCTGGTTTCCAGTTATTGACTTTGGCTTTGTAAAACACATCTATCTGAAGTATCTATCCAATAGCGGATGCATCTGAAGCTTTTCTGCATTAGTTTCTTAGATTCTGCTCTCCTAAGATGGCTGCAGATTTTCTGAACTGGTTCAATTTTTTTTTCCTCTGGAATTTTAGCTTCACAAATTGTAGATATGATAAATCTATAAGAAATTGAGGAAATTAGAGGGCAGCCAGAACTTAATATGGTGCTGAGCATGAGAGAGTCTGAGGAAAACAGGATGAATTGATTAAAAAAATAAAATGCTCCAAATAATGTTTATGAAGGCAGTCAGAAGATTGTTTAATGAGCTCCAGGAAAACAATCTGAAACAGAGGAAGGAGCAAAGCAAGTCTCCAAGTGTGGTATTATATGCCAAAGAATTAGCAAAGACATCTTACCTTCACATTCCTTAGGAGCCGTCTCAGTGATTTAACATGTCACAGAGATTTTAATGACACAGTACTGCAGCTTTAATTAATTTTTTCATCCATATGCAAGCACTCAATTAAAGCTCTGCCTCCTCCCTATATGCTCTAAGACTTGCTAGTTATATTTCAATTTGATGCATTGGTGCAGTGGTATAATGTTAGGAGTGGTTTTATTTACAAATGAGGTCAAAAGAATAAAAGATTTTTTAAGAATCTGAGTTGCTTAGTACAATGAGAAAGACACAAAACCTATTGCATCACTGGATCTCAATCAGGGATGATTTTCCTTCCCCTTCTCTGGGGATATTTGGCAATGTCTACAGACACTTTTCATTATCACAACTGTGTGAGTCCTACTAGCATTTAGTGGGTAGAAGGCAGGTATGCTGCTAATCATCCTTTAGTGCACAGAACATCCTCTCACAACAAACTATCAGGGTCTTAGCAGTGCCAACATTACTACTACCCTGTAATAAGTAGTTCTTTACTCTATGAAGCATTTACTCTGTACTGAATAAGCCCCATTATTTCTAACTATATATAAATAATAACTCTCTATTTTAAAATTTATTTCACTGGAAATCGAATGATCTAGTTGAGTTCAACTCTATAATAGGGCTAGGCAGGAGGTAGAGTGGGATAGAAGGAAGAGTTAGGAGTCTGTTTCTATCTCTATTAAATAGATGGTCTATATTAGAAATGAGAAATGGGGAAAAGAACACATTTTCTTATGATTTGATAATGAACATTTTGAAAATAATTGTAAGGAAGACAGAAATTCATGTTGAGGATGGCACCATTGCCTGCAATTATAACCAAAAGATTTAAGAAGGAATTGAAATTTTGCTTAGTAGGTTTCTAAAAAATACTGTTATTTTAGTAGTCTTCTGGCACTTAAGTTTAAAAACAATCTTAATATTTAGGTGACATCAGCCTTCTAGAAATATAGTCAGTGTAAGGAGTTACAGTTGAAGAGAATCAGCAAGAAGGGCTCCTGTTTCTTACTCACTATTGCCTTTGCACTCAGCATCTCTATGAATGAAAAGTGGCTGAATAAAATCTGACAGCAGATATAAAAACTTTCTATGAAGACAGATAAGATTTAACAAAGACAGATATATACTTGAAAAAACTCTTGAAAATATTAGTTCAGAGTTTTTTCAGATATCTGAAAAAACACATTGAGGCAAATAGAAAGAAAATACTTTTTTGTCCCAATTTACTAGAAAGACAAGCAGAAAAAAGAATTCAAAAGCCTGTGACTTAAAAATTAGTTTATATAAGACTCTGCAAAGCTTGAATCATGCCCAGCCTCTCTTTTATCTTCAATGCTGCAGAGTGCAGAAGATATACACTCCCCACAAGCAAAAAGTCTCTTCTAGGATAAATAAGAAATTAAGGATAAACACTTCCCCAAATTCCAATTTTTTATTTAAAAAAAAAATGATAGATCTTCCCCTGTATAGGAGGAGGTCAATTTTAGAGACTAGTTCCACCTTAATGAGTTAATATCTCCAATTTCAACCACTGCGCCTTATGAATCTTCCTGGAATCATGGGTTAGCAGTTTGGGTTTTGGGCTAAAACGTTCCAGAAGACTAATAAAATAACTTATATCAGTACATTATTTAAATTAACTCTAAGATCTCACTTTATATTAGACCATCTTCCCATCTTATTTTTTATCCATATTGTCTAAGTTAATATATATTATATAATCTTATTTTTTATCCATATTGTCTGTTAATATATATATTATATATTATATAATCTTATATATTATAGCTACAATGTCAACTATAGAGATATGCCCTTTATTTGTGCATGAACCTTCTAATTTTATCAAATTCAAAGGAGAAATTATGTAAAACTTATAAAAGTAAAAAATATCAAAAATTTATCTTGGAAGGTGAAATCTAAAGGAAGTACAAAAAAGTTCAACATTTATTATATTATGCATCAATCAATATAGTCTAGTATTACTGAGATACTCAGTTAAAGTTCCTTCAAGTTTTTGTCCATTTCAGCACCTGTCAAGTTGAATGAATCACATATTCCATGCTGTTTAAAAAGTCTAAATATTTAAAGGCATACAAGATTAACACATTATTGGCCCTAAATTTCAACTGATAGACCTTAGAGCAGTTACCCTAAGGAAAATGACTTTCCTTGAAGCCAATAGTTAGTCTAATCTAATTTATGCTTTTAATTGCCAAAGAACATAGACTCTGTAATACAAGACTACACTAAGAAACATTTTGTTTACATTTTCCAGTACATGCACCTGTGCCAGTTTTCCAGCACTTAAGGCCTGTAAAATTTTAGTAAATTAAGAGAAATCACTTACTAAGAGGTTAATCATTGCATTGAGAATGAAAGATACCTATAGGGGAATAAAATACTTACTGGGGTGATTAATGATGATATTTAATATTTATTTTTTTCTTTTCTGGATACATGTTGAGATTACACTTTCTAGCACTCTTGTGGTAGTGTAGCTCCATAAGACTGGTCATGGTTAATAATTTGTGAGCAAGAGTAATGTGTGTCACTTATGGGACCTTTATTTTTCAGTATAAAATCACCCAGAGCTCTATTTTTTTCTACAAGTCTCTTGGTAATACTCCAGATAGCAGGTGCTCTATCAGCCTGAGTCCCAGAGTAAATAAGTAAAAAAGGAAACTGATTTTCGAGGCTGGAATAATGCTCTCCATGTTTTGAAGGGGCAAAGCCTTTGTCAAAACTATTGTTTGTGTTTATTTGGGAAGCAGACAAGGTACTGTAGTACACAGATTTATAGCCCCCTAAAGCTATCAGTGTTCAAATCCTCAGAACCTGCAAATAGGTTACCTTGAAGGGCAAAAGACTGTGGATGTGATGAAGTTAAGTTTCTTGAGATGGGGAGATTATCCTGGATTATCCAGGTAGTCCCAAAGTAATCAGAAGGGGATTTATAGAAAGAAAATGGGGGTAAAAATCGGAAGGGAAATATGAAAAATGCAGAAGTTGACATGATGCTCTTTGAAAATGGAAGAAGGGGGCACAAGCCTAGGAATGTAGGTAACCTCTAGAAACGAGAAAAAAAACAAGAAAACAGATTATCTCCTGGAACCTCCAGTAAAAATGAAGCACTGATTTTAGTCCTATAAGAACCATATAGAACTTCTAACCTCCAGAAATGTAAGATAGTATATTTGTGTCATCTAGCTGATTTGTTCTTCTTTGACGAGATTCTAAGTGTGATGGAACATCACGAAAGACATGGATCCAGAAAGTACTTTCCAGGACCGTGATGTAAACCAAGGAAAGCAGATAGAGATGAGAGAGTATTAAAGCCCACAGAGAATCAAGTTTCTTTATCAAAGATTATAGTAAAAGCAGCTGGGATAATTAAGAGGCCAAGAAGGAGATGAATAAGCTACCTTTGTGAGGCAACCACCAATGCCACCAAGACATTCTGTGTCTTAAGGAGTAGACATATTTTTTAATCAAACCAAATCTTATGGTTACTAGAGGATAAACATTAGTGTTAGTAGCTCTTTGATCATTCTTTGATAGCCTTTCAGCTCATTTTTTGGTAGAGGAATATCAGAGTATGGTGTGTCAAACCAGTAAAGCACACAACTGACCTTGTCTAGTGTTTTCAGTAAGATGCAGTAACCCACCACAGTGATGCTGGTACCAATAACATAGTACATGTGTGTAGATGCATTCACCAGCGTATATAATTGCCTGGCTCACTGTAGGTTCTCAATACATTTTTGGTGGCCACATGTATAACTTGTTTGACTAGAGAACTGTGCAGTCTCTCAGGCTGTGTATTTTATTTCCTGCCAGATTGTTTCCAATTGCAGTCATAAGGCTGCATTAAAAAAAAAAAAGTGAGATAGATTTGGCTCTATCACGTTTCTTTGCTATGGTGTTTAGTTGCTGCTTCTTTTTGCTTACCATACATTGAGAACAGAATTCAAATTGTTGACTGAGCAAGACAAGCTCCTATGAGAGTAGAATTTTTGGTTTTGCTTCATTAGGAGTGGGCGATTTTATTTTTCAGTGCATGCGATTTAGGGTTGTGATGCCATAATGATGCCTTCAGTTTCCAGTACTGCTAGGGATTATTCTCTAGAGTACAAGTCCCATAGGCAGAGATCACCTTTGCCGAAGGTTTTTTCTTATTTTATGTTTCAGGGTACACGTGCAGGTTTGTTACATAGGTAAACATGTGCCATGCTGATTTTTAATGATAGATTGGCAACTCTTAGTTATTGGAAGGATTATTTGTCATGGTGCAGCCATGAGTTAGGGTAGACAAATATTTTAATGGAGATGATCATACTTTTCATGTATGGGAATTGTTCAGTTGCAGCCAAAATCCAGTGTTATTCTGTAGTCTGTATTCAATATCATGTGTCCCCTATCCATAAGCATTTTGAGTTTAAAAAGAAAAAGATGCTGCCTGAGATATAGTAACTTGAAAAAAATTAAAATCTTTAATACTTTCAGATTTGGGGGATTTGCTACACAAAGCATGAGCCATGGAGGGACATCACTACATGGGAGCTTGTTAGAAATACAGAAATATATTTAAATCCTACACTGTGTTAGTGTGTTCTTGAATCACTATAAAGAAACACCTGAGACTGGGTAATTTATAAAGAAAAGAGTTTGACTGGCTCATGGTTCTGCAGGCTGTAGCTTCTGGTTGGAAAGATTCCAGTCGTGGCAGAAGGTGAGTGGGTGCAGGTGAGTCACATGGTAAAAGCCAGACCAAGGGCGTTATGGGAGGTGCTACATTATTTTAAACAACCAGATCTCATGTGAACTAACTCAGCAAGAACTCACTTATCACCAAGGGGATGGTGTTAAATCATTCATGAGGCATTTGTCCCTATGTTCCAATCGCCTCCCGTCAGGCCCCACCTCTAGCATTTGGAATCACATTTCAACATGAGATTTGGAGGACACAAATATCTAAATCATATCACACACCATACTACTCCGAATCTGTATTTTAACCAAATCCCCAAGTGATTAATATGTACATTAAAATTTGATAACCATTCTTTTATACTTCTCATTCTAAGCAGTGACATTACTAATGAACATTGCATAAATGCACTCAACCACACAAAACAAGATACAAGAAAACTAGGTACTTTTATTCCAAGATTCAAGGCTGATTTTCTAAATGTTGGCTTAGAGGTGCTACTCTCAGATCAGAGGCCAGTGCATTCCTGAAGAAGCATGATGACTGAATGTAGAGTGGGATTTCTCTCACTAATAGCTAGAAAGTGTTCGTCTCACTCAGTGGGCTAAAGAGAATCACCAGGTATGAGAGGTTGTCACAGAGAAACTTAAAAAGCCATTTTCTTAACCTTCTTGTTTTGGACTAAAGTGAATTGAGTTACTTGCCTGGGGCATCAAGTTAAAAGGAGGTGTGGAAAACTGAGATCAAGATATATAATATTTTAATGTAGCAACTTGTCCTCACTTGAATCACCCTAATCTTGGCCCTGACTGAGATGCTGACATGTCTAAAATCTCATTTATGGAAAGATCTAAAGATAAAACTTCCACAAATGTGGACATTCTTACTGACCTATGCATTGGTGTTACTATTAAAAAAAAAAAAAAACTTAAGTACAATAATAAACCCTGCTGTCAAAATTCTCCATTTTTTTTGCTAGTGAAAATCTAATAAACATTCTCTATATAATGCTTTTGAATCTTTATGGAATAGTAGACATTGGATTTAAAAATATATTATTTAATGATTTAGCAAAGAAACCCTTTTAGATACCAGGTTTACTGCACTGCTAATGTTTTTAGTATAAGAAGTAAATCTTCTTTTAAAAAATTTTCCTAAAGATCTTTGTTCTTGTTTTAATTCTCTAGAGTAGAAATACAGGTGAGATCAAGCCTGAGTGTTTCTAGAAATCTAAGAAAGCAGTATTTAGAAGTGAAATTTAGGGTAGAGTTTACTGTTACATGGTTGAGTGGTGAGTCCCCAGCCAATAGAGCCACAGGACTTTGATAAAACAGGTGATTGTCAAGAAGAGGCTTATTTATTTCACCAGTAGTGAGCATGCCATAAATAACCACACACATGAGGGGTAGAAGAAGCAAATACTATTGCTGCATGTCTTGGTCAATGATAGATCCAGGAGAATTTGTGAAGTTTTGTGGAACAGTCAATACTATGATATCATTGTAGAAGTCGGTGTACACTATGCTTAATTCAACTGCTATCTGAAGTAGATCCTGGGATGCTGAGTGTATTAGTCTCTTTTCATGCTGCTGAAAAAGACACACCCAAAACTGCGAACAAAAAGAGATCTAATTGGACTTACAGTTCCACATGGCTGGGGAGGCCTCAGAATCATGGTGGGAGGCAAAAGGCACTTCTTACTTGGTGGAGGCAAGACAAAATGAGCAGGAAGCAAAAGTGGTTTAAACCCCTGATAAAACCCATCAGATCTCGTCAGACTTATTTACTATCACGAGAATACCACAGGAAAGACCAGCCCCCATGATTCTGATTCAATTACCTTCCCCTAGGTCACTCCTACAACATGTGGGAATTCTGGGAGATATACTTCAAGTTGAGATTTGAATGGGGATACAGGCAAACCATATTAGTGAGGCAAAATTTTAGTTAGGTACATATATTGACTCGTTTATCCTTATTTCCAGAAGGCATACATGTTTCATCAGTAGGCATGATGTGGATCAGAATGTAGGTTGACTTAACATCACTGCATATATAGTCTTTCGGATTGACCAATATTGTAATTCTTATTAGACTCCCTCATTTTTCAATGACCCACCCCTTTCTTCATGGACAAAATCTTGCCTATTGTCTGGTATACTGACACTTCACTGCGAGGTCTTAAAACATCTTTCCAACCTTATCTTCTGTTGCGGGAAGTCAGGGATCCTGAACGGAGAGACCAGCTGGAGCCGAGGCAGAACATAAATTGTGAAGTTTTCATGGACGTTTATCAGTTACCAAAATTAATACTTTTAAAATTTCTTACACCTGCCTTTACTGCAATCTCTGAACATAAATTGTGAAGAGTTCATGGACATTTATCACTTCCCCAATCAATACTCTTAAAATTTCTTATGCCTGTCTTTAATCTCTTAATCCTGTTATCTTCGTAAGCCGAGAATGTACGTCACCTCAGGACCACTATTGTATAAATTGATTGTAAAATATGTGTTTGAACAATATGAAACTAGTGCACCCTGAGAAAGAACAGAATAACAGCAATTTTTAGGGAATAAGGGAAGATAACCATAAGGTCTGAATGCCTGCAGGGTTGGGCAGAATAGATCCATATTTTTCTTCTCACAGAAAGCCTATAGACAGATGTGTGAGTAGGAGAAATATTGCTGAATTCTTTTCCCAGCAAGGAATATTAATAATTGATAACCCTGGAGAAGGAATGTATTCCTGGGGGTAGGTCTTTAGATGGCTGCTCTGGGAGTGTCTGTCTTATGCGGTTGAGATAAGGACTGAAATACGCCCTGGTCTCCTTCAGTACCCTCAGGTTTACTAGGATTGGGAAATTCCAGCCTGGTAAATTCTAGTCAGACTGGTTGTCTGCTCTCGAACCCTGTTTCCTGTTAAGATGTTTATCAAGACAATGCATGCACAGTGGGACATGGACCCTCATCAATGATTCTAATTTTGCCTTGCCTTGTGATCTTTATTGCCCTTTGAAGCATGTGAACCCTATTCGTACACCCCCTCCCCTTTTAAAATCCCTAATAAAAACTTGCCGGTTTTGCAGCTTGAGGTTGCCATCACTGTCCTACCAATATGTGATGACACCCCCAGAGGCCTAGCTATAAAATTTCTCTCTTTCTACTCTTTCTCTTTATTTCTCAGACCGACAAACACTTAGGGAAAATAGAACCTACGTTGAAATACTGGGGGCTTGTTCCCCTGATAACCTTCCATTATTTCCCAGTCTAAAATCTTCACACGCATTAATCAACTCATTGACTCCGCAGAATCCAATGTTTGTGTTTTCATAACAAAATTGCTCTTTCACAATATTCTATACTTATTTCTGAAATCTTGGTCTGACCAAGGCTTTTCCTCTTCCAGCTACAATTTTCTGACCATCCAAATACGAGGTGGTCTCATTCTCCTTTCGTTTCTTATATATGAGCATTCACATAAGTAATAAGAATTTATTACCTTTTCAATAATGACATATTTTACTGTAATTTTGCTATTTTTTCCCAGTAAGCATGCTGTATGCTTTCTCAACTGAAATGCAACACTTTCAAAGTTAGTCACATAGCCATCTTTCTTTATAATCTCCAAAATACATATTGGGCTACAGCAGCACTAGGCTTTTCTCAGATCTTCAGCTCACAGAAATAAACCTCCATCCATCTAATATACTCATTTTCCCTTCCCCTGCTATAAACCCGTAAAAACTGAAGTCCTTCCTGATGCCTTTCTCCTCCTTACATTCTACATAGAATTTAGGTTTAGAATTTATTAATTAGATATTTCACTAAATATCTTCAAATGTCTTTCTTTCTATTCCCATTATCAGTATACTTAACCAACCATTACCACTGTTTCCAGGGACTATTCTAATAGCTTAGAAATCAGTATTTTCCCAACCTATTATGCACACTACAGACAAAATGGGCATTTAAAAAACTTATCATTTGTTTGTGTCTTCTCTGATTTCTTTGAGCAATGTTTTGTAATTCTCATTATAGAGCTCTTTCACCTTCCTATATTCCTATGAAGCTGTATTCCTTGGAAGAATCAGTATTATTAAAATGTCTATACTACCCAAAGAAATGTACAGATTCAATACTATGCCTATCAAACTATCAATGATATTTTTCACAGAACTTGAAAAAATTATTTTAAAATTTATATGGAACCAAAAAAGCCTGAATAGCCAAGGCAATCCTAAGCAAAAAGAACAAAGCTGTAGGAATCACGTTACCCAACTTTATACTACGAGGCTACAGTGACCGAAACAGCATGATATTGATACAAAAACAGACACATAGACCAATGGAACAGAATATAGAGCCAGAAATAAGGCCACACACCTACAACCATCTGATCTTTGCCAAAGCTGCTAAAAACAAGCAATGGGGAAAAAACTCCTTATTCAATAAATGGTACTGAGATAACTGGCTAGCCATATGCAGAAGATTGAGGCTGGACTGTTTCCTTACACAATATACAAAAATCAACTCAAGATGGATTAAAGACTTACATGCAAAACCCAAAACTATAAAAACCCTGAAAGACAACCTAGGCAATACCATCCTGGACATAGGAAGAGGCAAAGATTTCATGACAAAGAAACCAAAAGCAATCACAACAAAAGTAACATTGACAAATGAAATCTAATTAAACTTGATAATTTCTTCTGCTGGGCAGCTCTTAACAGAGTAAACAGACAACCCGTAGAATGGGAAAAATTACTAAGAAACTATGCATCTGACAAAGATCTAATATTCAGCATCTATAAGGAACTTAAATTTATAGGAGAAAAACAAAAAGTGGGCAAAGGACATGAGCAGACACTTCTCAAAAAATGACATACATGCAGCCAACAAATATGTGGGGAAAAAGTTCAATATCACTGATCGTTAGAGAAATGGAAATCAAAACCACAATCAGATACCACCTCACACCAGTCAGAATGACCATTATTATGAAAAAAGACCCATGTCCACCATTGGTGGGAGTGTAAATTAGTTCAGCCATTTGTGGAAAGCAGTATCATAATTTCTCAAAGAACTACAAGCAGGTATACCATTTGACCCAGCAATCCCATCACTGGGTATATGCCCAGAGGAATATAAGCCATTCTACCATAAAGACACATGCATGCAAATGTTCACTGCAGCACTGTTCACAATAGCAAAAACATGGAATAAACCTAAATGCCCATCAATGAAAAATTGGATAAAGAAAATGTGGTTCATATACCCCATGAAGTATTATGTAATCATAAAGAACAAGATCATGTCTTTGCAGGAATGTGAATTGAGCTGGAGACTATCATCCCTAGTAAACTAATGCAGGAAGAGGAAACCAGATACCACATATTCTGACTTATAAGTGGAAGCTAAGAACTTGTGAACACAAAGAAGGAAACAGACACTGGGGTCTACTTGAGATAGGAGGGTGGGAGGAGGGAGAGGAGCAGAAAAGATAACTACTGAGTACTGGGCTTAATACTTGGGTGATGTGATAATATGTACAACAAACCGTCACATGTACCCACAAACATAAAATATTAAACTTATCAGAGCAACTAAATAATATAAAGCAAATATTAACAGAACTGAAAGGAACAATAAATAGCAATACAATAATAGTAGAGAATTTCAGTACTCCCACTTTAAACAATGGATAGATTATTCAGGGAGAAAATCGGTAAAGAAACAGCAGATTTAAACAGCCTGTACCAAATGGACCTACTGGATACATACAGAATGTTCTCCTCAACAGCAGCAGAATACACATTCTTTTCAAGTGCACACAGTAAAAAATTAAAAGGAAAAACAAAAAAGTATCCATAAATAAAAACAAAAACCTACCAAATCAAAGTGCACACATAACATTCTCCAGGATATATCATATGTGAAGCCAATAAACAAGTCTTAACACATTTAAGAAAATTAAAATAATATTGAATACAGTTTCTGACCACAATGGTATATGAAACTAGAAATTAATAAGAGGAAAACTGGAAAATTCTCAAATAGGTGGAAATTAAACAATACACTTCTGAACAACCAGTGGGTCAAACAAGAAATTAAGAAAAATAAAATGTTGAGACATAAAAATAAAAATATGACATATCAAAATGTATTGGATGCAGCAAAAGCAGCTCTGAGAGAAGTGTATAGTAACAAATGCATAAATTAAGAAAAAAAGAATGATCTCAAATAAGCAACCTAACTTTATAGAATAAAAAACTAGAGAACAAAACAAGCAAAATTCAGTAGAATAAATCCAATAATAAAGATCAGAGCAGAAATTTAAAAAAAACAGACTAGAAAAACAATAGAAAACATCACAGAAACTGAGGCCTTTATTGATAAACTTTTAGACTAAGAAAAGACTAAAACAAAATTATAAATGAAAGACTTTACAATTGACAACAAAAATCCAAGAGATCATGAGATACAAGGAACAATTATATACCAACCAATTAAGTGACCAAGAATAAATGGAAACATTCATATTAATAGAAGCATGCAACTTAACAAGCCAAAATTACGAATAGTAAATGTGAATGAAACAATAACTAGTAAGGACATTGAATCAGAAAGCAAAAACTTCACAACAAAGAAAAGCCCAGGACCTGATCGCTTCACTGGCAAATTAAATATTTAAAGAATAATTAGCACCAATTCTTCTCAAACTTCTCAAAAAGCCTGAAAAGGAGGGAAAATTCCCAATTCTTTTTACAAGGCCAATGTTTCCCTGATACAAAAGCCTAACAAGGACACCACAAGAAAATTAAATTACAGGCCAATATCCCTGATGATCATAGATGCAAAAATCCTCCAAAAAATTCAGCAAATTGAATTCAGCCACAAGTAAAGAGACTTGTACAATATGGTCAAGTGGGATTTATGCCTAGAAGACAAGGATGGTTCAATAGATGCCAATCAAATATGATATACCACATTAACAAGATGAAAGATAAAGATAATATCTTAATCTTAAGATTAAATATAATTTCCTTAATCTATTAAGATTATCTTAATAGAAACAGAAAAAGCATTTGACAAAATTCAACATTTTTTCATTATTTAAAAAAAACTTTCAACAAATTAGATACAGGTGGAATGTAGCTCAACATAGTGAAAGTCACGTATGACAAACCCACGGCTAACATCATAATCAACAACTAAAAGCCAAAGTCTTTTTTCTTTAAGATCAAGAATAAGACAAGGATACCCGCTCTCGCCACGTTTATTCAATATAGTACTTGAAATACAAGCCAAAACAATGAGGCAAGAAAGAGAAACAAAAGGCATCTAAATTATAAATAAATAAAATTTTCAGTTTGCAGATGACATAATTTTATATACAGAAAATTTTAGATGTCACCAAAACACTATTATACTAATGAACAAATTAAGTAAAATTACAGGGTACAAAATCAACTGCAAAAATTAGTTCCCTTATGTACTAACAATGAACTATCTGAAAAAAAATTTTTTAGAAATCCAATTTACAAAACATCAAAAACAATAAAACCACTTAGGAATGAATTTAAGGGGGTAAAAAAAAGCTGTAAGTGGAAAAATTTAAAAACTGATGAAAAATACTGAAGACACAAATGGAAAGATACTCTGTGTTCATGAATTGGAACACATAATACTGTTAAAACAGCCATACTACCTAATGCAGTCAGTACATTCGGTGCAATCCCTATACAAATTCTAATGGCATGTTTCACAGAAATAGAAAAATATTCTAAAACCTATATTGAACTATACACACATAAAACAAATAGCCAAATCAATGTTGAGAAACACGAACATAGCTTAGGGCATCACATTACATTGTTTCAAAATATACTGAGTTATAGTAATGAAAGCAACATTGTACTGACATAAAAACAAATGTATAGGTCACTGGAACAGAATAGGCAGCCAAGAAGTAAATATACACAGTTATTGTCAATTGATATTTGACAAAGTTGCCAAGGCCTTTGAATGAGGAAAGAAAGAGTCTCTTCAATAAATGGTGTTGGGAAAACTGAGTGTCTATGTATAGAAGAATGACAATGGACACTTAACTGTTACACCTGAAACTGTAGAAGTCGTAGAAGAAAAGGGAAAAGCTTCTTGACATTTGTCTTGGAAATGATTTTTTGAACATGACCTCAAAAGCACAGGCAACAAAAGCAACAATGGACAATGAAATTGTATCAAATTAAATAACTAACTTCTGCACAGCAAACAACAGAGTAAAAAGCCTATGGAATGTGAGAAAATATTTGTAAACCTTACTTCTGATAAGGCATTAATTTCCAAAATAAATAACAAACTCACACATCTCAATGTCAAGAAAACAACCCAATTAAAAATGGGGAAAAGACTTGAACAGATATTTTCCAAAAGAAAACATACAAATGGCCAACAAGTATATGAAAAAATGCTCAACATCACTAATCATCAGGAAAATGCAAATTAAAACCACAATGACATACTGCCTCATACCTATTACAATGGCTATTATAAAAAAGATAAATGATAAAGTCTTGTCAAGGATGTAGAGAGAAGGGAAACTTTGTATGTGGTTGGTGGGAAGGTAAATTAGTACAGCCATTGTAAATAGCGTTGAGGTTCCTTTAAAAATTAAAAATAGAACTACCATATTACCTAGCAATCCTACTCCTGCATACATACCTAAACGAAATAGCCTAAGAATGTTAAACAGATCTCTGTATTCCCATGTTCACTGCAACATTATAACAGCTAAGATGTATAATCAGCTTAAGTGTCCATGAGCAATAGATAAAGGAATTGTGATGTATATATATAACATATTATTATTCAGCCTTACAGAAAATCCAGTCCTATGTGACCTCATGGCTGAACCTTGAGGATGTTATGCTAAGTAGAATAAGCCAGACACAGACAAATGCTATATTACCTCACTTAAATGTGGAATCCAGACAAGCACAGAGTAGGGGCTGGGGGAAGGGAATGAGGAGTGATTAGCCAAAGGATATAAAGTTTTAGGTAGAATGAATAAGCTCTGGCGATCTATTTGTGCAGCGTGGTTACTATAGTTAGTAATAGTAAATTATATTCTCAATTACTGAGGAAATGCTAAATGTTCTCACCACAAAAAAATAAGAGGTGATGGGTAAGTTAATTAGCTTGATTAAATCATTTTACAATGTATACATATATCAAAACATCATATGGTACACTGTAAATATATATACTTCTTGCTTGTCAGTTATACCCCAATTGGATTAGTCATTATAGAGTTTTAGTTTTGCAAGAGGCAAATGTTCAGCAGAGTTGCTGCACAATAATGTGAAAGTACTTAACATTACTGAATTATACACTTCAAAATAATTAAGATGGTACATTTCATTTTGTGTTTTTCCAAAATTGCTTATTTGATTGTTATATCTGTATTTTAAAATAAGAAATGGTGACTATTTCTTCTTCCAATGAAAATATAAAGTATCTACATTTCCTGGTACAACAGACATAGAGTTATCTATGTGTTTCTTTAGCATTACCTTCTGATACTCTCTATCAAATGCTTTGTGTTCTAGATTTACTAGCTCTCATTAAGCTTCCTGAATGAGTCAATATCCTTCCAACCTTAGGGATTTTAAATATTTTATTCTCGTCACCTATAATACTTCCCATGAGCAATCTCATTTACCTTTTTGGCTAGATCCTATTAATTTATGATAGGTCAGGTTAAAATTAACATCCTCAGGCAAGCTTTGGCATCTCTGAGAACAAGGCAGGAACATATATAGTTGATTGGCATGTATTACTTCTTTTTCTGTGTATATGAGTGTGTGTATGTGTAAGAACACCATAACAGCTGGAGCCCTTCAAGCTCTGTCTTTGCTGACTGGTTAACAGAACCAACACTTTCATTCGTAGTCATTATGAAATATGAATGTGTACATTTCTGATACTAACATTAGGGGTGAACTCATGAACCAAAATAGAATCATCAGAACATTTTAACCTCCTAGCCATAGTCTGATTAAAGAATGAGCAAGTGACTCAATATAGAAAAGTAGTAATTAGAAAATCCCTTGTGATACTTTCTGGAATGATCATGAGAGAAGTCAACTGAGATTATGAATTATGTGTTAAACATAAACCTGGAAGGTAACAAATGCTATGGCCATTTTGTCTGTGTGTTGTAGAGGAAGAAGAGCAGGAATATAGAGAAAATAAGGTAAACTTTGGAGAGTATTATTTTACTGGATCTCACCATAGCTGAAAGCAAAGGTTAACTGTACATTTTCTAGAGAAGTGAGTGAATAAATGATTTTCTACCCTTTTCCTTAATTTTAAATAGTTAAATTTCTTTAACTTTTTATCGAAGTAATCATAATATACTATTTTGGTGTCCCGAGTATGTAACCAAGTGCTGAGCACCTAGAATCTATTCAATCTATGCTGTTAACTGAGTAAATGAATAAATGCGTGAATCAAAAGATTTATGGTATCTATAGCTATGATTTAACAGAACTTGTTATTCTGATCATATATATGGAATAACTTTCAAAACAGTGATTACAGTAACTTTAATATCATGTCCCATTGATTACATTCTGCTCTTGGCTTAAAAAACACAATAAGGTCACAGTTGGAGATGGAGACTAACAGAAGGTTCAAGACCTAAAATAACAGGTTAAAATAAGAAATAAAAATCTTCAGTGTGGATTTTCTAGATAGTATTAAGGTATACAGAGTATTGATCAGTGAATAGTTCCCACATGCTGTAATTTGAAAATATTGATATATTCTATCTTATATAGCCTTTTATATCAAGTGGATAAAGGAGTTTCAGCAAGTATGATTTCTTTAGTGAACTTAATATTATAGTCCAATACTGCTATGTAGGTGCCATCTATTGAAACTTCATAATGCTTAATGGCTTACGTTAAAAAGAAGTTTGTGTGGATGATAGAATTACATGAAGAATAGCATGCTAAAAGATGCCTAAATTTATCACACTCTGAAGCAAATGAGAAAAATATTGGCAGGTGTAAATATGAGAGGGGAAATGGGTGGATTTCTCGTGCATGGAATCAGAATTTCTAATAGCTTCTCATTCCCCAGGGTTCTTAATACTAGCAAAGTGCAGAGCAACCTCAAGGATCAATAAAATTGCAAGTCAATGAAATTTTTTCTGTTAAGGGGAGCAGAAGACAATCTACTTCAAATGTTTGTTTTATAATTGATAGAATCTGTAGGTAGAAAAGCTAAAATCACATATTTTTCTATTGATCTATTTCTATTCAAGTAAAAACATTCCATTGCAGATAGAACTATGAAGAATCTTTTATCACAAAAGCTAATAAATTTCCTCTGTAAACTGACTAACAAAGGCAAAATAGTAGGGAAGCAAATCTCCAAGTAAATCTCAATTTATCTATCCTTTTCAAGAATCTGGAGGTTGCAGAGTAGCAAGCATTTAAAAAAATATATTATTCTGATCTATTTTCTGAGGCCAAGAATATTGAAGAGTTTGACAGGAAAATACCTTAAGCTCTTCCCTACTCCCCCAAATGCACTTTTACATTGGTTCTACATGTGCCTGTTAGTGCATAGTTTTGATAGAATTTCAGGGTCCCTGAACAAATAAACTGGTCCACACAGAGTTCAAAGCTGTGAGTTTAGCTCAGAAACCCTCATGGCAACAAATGTAATCAGCTGGTTTCAAATGAAGCTGAATCCCCAATATTATCATTCTAGCTAGGTGTCTCTATGTGATTGCTAGAATATCAATCCAATTCTTTCTTGTTCTTTAGAAAAATGTTCTTTATTGTGTTAGGGATAAAGCTGAATAGATTTTGAAGCCCTGTATAATTAGACTCTGGTTCAACCATTAAATACCAAATGTACTTTCTTAGCCAAGTTACTCTGAAGTTTAGTTTTCTCACATGTAAGATGGATGTACTAATCATTCCCACATTTAAATTTCTATTAGACCACGGTAAAGAATGAACTAGTAAACTGAAAGATCTGTAGAAGTTATTCAGAAAGCAGTAAAACATGATGGGATTAAAGGGAGATTGAATAAATATCTTTTGAATATTAATAGATCAAGAAGGAAAAAATAAATGAAGTTTAAAGGTGCTATGGAAGATTTAAACAACAAAATTAACATGGGATGTTGATCTTCATAAATGGGCGATATACATTCTTTTTTTTACAACACAGACTATAAAAATTGATCACAAGCTAAACCACAAAGCAGCAAAAAAATACACTTTAAGTCTTATCTTACCAGATCATATTCATTGTTTGTTATAAAATTAAATTAGAAATAACAGAGAGAGAGAATAAAACTCTCATGTTTAAGAATTAGTAAGAATTCTAAACAACTTGGGGGTCAAAGATAAAATTTTACATACACATATATTTTTAAATATATATTCTATTAATGCAGTCTATTATATTGATCAATTTGCATATGTTAAATTATATTGCTGAATTTGTTAGTATATTGCTGAGAAATTTTGCATTAATGTTTATAAGATATCTTGGCCTATAATTTTATTAGCATCCTTGTCTTAGATCAGAGTAATGTTGGCCTGATAGAGTAAATCGGGAAATATTTCCTGTTCTTCAGTTTTCCAGAAAACTTAAAGATTGGTGTTCTTCTTTAACTGTTTAGCTTAATTCAACAAAGAAATAAGTTCACCAAAAAGCCCAGGTTTAGGGCTTTCTTTTCTTTTTCTTGGTCAGCAGATGTTGGATTATGAATTCAATCTCCTTAATAGTTACAGATTTATTTAGATTTTCTATTTTTTCATGACTTACTCCTACTAGATTTTGTGTTTCTAGAAATGTGTTCATTTTATCTAGATTATCCAATTGTTGCTATGTAATTATCCAGAGTCCTATTTTCTTTAGAAACAGGAGTAACATACCCATTTTCAATTCTGATTTTAGCAATTTGAGTCTTTTCTTTTTTTTAGTGCTAGACTAATGTTTCATTCATTTTGTTCATCTTTTCAAAGAAATAACTTTTGGGTTTTTTGATTTTTCTCTATTTTTCCTCTTCTGTTTATTTTGTAGTGACATGTTTAAATTTCTTACTTCCTGTTGTATATATACATGTTACCATGTGGATTACATTTAATATTCTAAAGCTATAATATTCTATATTAACTTTGTATCAATTTAACATGAATAACATGCAAAAACTTTGCAGCTTTGTACTCACCTCTTTTAGTCACTTATGTGATAGAACTACACTGGTATACACTGCATGCCCCCAAAGAAACGAATAATTCTTTTAAATGTATTAGTCTTAAATTATATTTTAAAAAACACAAAATGTGGAGTTACAAACTAAAGCTATAACAAAACTAGCTTTTAAAATTATTTTTAATGTATTAATTAAATTATGTAGAAATCAAAAAGTGAAAGTACAAACCATTACAATAACACTAGTTTTATAATCGCTCATGTTCTTACCTTTGTTGACATCTTTATTTCTTTATATGGCTTCAAATTACTGTCTAGTGTTATTTCATTTTGTAGAAGTCCCTTGAAACTTTTCTGTAGAGTAGGTCTAGTGGTAATAAATTCCCAAAGCTTTGTTCATCTAAAAATGTTTTAATTTCTTACATTTGAAGGACAGATTTTCTATAGGATTCTTGGTTGACAGCATTTTTTGTGGCTATTTTGTTTTGTTTTGTTTTTGTGGGTTTTTTTGTTTTGTTTTTGCTTTTTCTTTCAGCACTTGGGAGATTTTCAAGGTCCAATGCCTTCTGGCCTTCAAAATGTCTCATGAGAAATCTGATAATGGTATTGCTGATCTCTTGTATGTAAGTCAGTTATCTTGCTGCTTTTAAGATCTTCTTTTTGTCTTTATCTTTCAAAAGATTGATTATAAAGTGTCTTAGTGTGGGTCTCTTTGATTTCATTTTGATGTGTTTTGAATTTTTTTAATGTTCGTACTTGTATCTTTTTCATTTAAGAGGTTTTTAGCCACTATTTCTTTGAGTATTTTATTCCATTTTCTTTTTCTTCTTCTTCGGGGATTCCCACAATGCACATGGTGGTCTGTTTGCTGTGTCCCACAGAATCTGTTCCCTCTTCTTCCAAGACTCAATTTCCATTGTCTTATCTTCAAGTGCACTGATTTTTCTCCCTGCTCAAATATGGTTTGGAATCTCCATGACATAAGAAAATATGAAAGTTGTGTTAAGAGAAGAGAGTAATTGTGGGGGAAAAAAAAAAGAAAATCAATGATTTTCTTAGATAAGAAAGGGAGCATTTTGCCCTACTTGGACCTAAGATTGAAATTGTTTACCATACTCAATTTGTACAAGCCTGACAATATATTAGATGATTGCTGGCCAGGAGTAGAGGCCCATGCCTATAATCCCAGCTCTTTGTGAGACTGAGGTAGGAGGATTGCTTGAGGACAGGAGTTCAAGTATAGCCTGGGCAAGATTGCAAGGCCTTGCCACCCCATCCCCCACCCCAAAAAAAAGGATAATTACTTAGACTAACATAGTATTACATAGAATAGTATGAGTCATACAGGAAAAGTGTCAGGTGCAAACAAAAGTAGAATTGCCAGCATTCTATAGTGTATCTTTACTGCTTTAATAGTTGCCTTTATGTGTTAGACACATCATCATCTACACTAGTATGTCTTCTGATATGAAAAGCCAAAAATGGAGTAAATGAATAAACAAATGGAGTGATATCTCAACTTCGGCCCTTACTATGTTCCATAGAAAGTTTTTGGGAGGAAACTATGGGGTTGCTACATCTGTCTTTAGTACTGCTATACCTACCTCTGTGCAAAAAACCACAAACACACACAAAACCCAAAATAAAAACATGGCTTTTGATCCATTAAGGCCTGGGCCTATGCTCTGTCTCCACTGGCATCATTACTACCTATGCGAGTTTAATAAATTATTTTCAGCCTATCTAGTCTCAGTTTCCTCACACAAATAATGAAGTATCTTAGTCAGCTTAGCTGTTATAATGAAATACTATAGATGGAGAATGGGGTAGCTTAAACAACATAAATTTCTTTTTACTCTGAAGATTGGGATGCAAGAATGGTCAGGTTCTGGTGAAGGCCCTCTTAGTGAGTGGCTGATTGCCTTTTTGCTGTATCCTGACATAGCCAAAAAAAAAAAAAAAATGCTGGGGGGGGAGTGAGCAAGACAAAATATCCTCTCTTTTCTCTTCTTATAAGGACACTAATGCCAACCTGAAGACCTCACCCTCATGATCTCATCTTAATGTAAGTACTTCCTTAAAGCCCTATTTCCTAATAGTGTTACATTAGGGGCTAAGGCTTTTATATTAGTCCATTTTCACACTGCTGATAGAGAAATACCCAAGACTAGGCAATTTACAAAAGAAGGAGGTTTATTGGACTTACAGTTCCACATGGCTGGGGAGGCCTCTCAATCATGGCATAAGGCAAGGAGAAGCAAGTTATGTCATACATGGATGGCGGCCAGCAAAGAGAACTTGTGCAGGGAAACTCTCATTTTAAAACCATCAGATCTCATGAGACTCATTCACAAGAACAGTGCAGGAAAGACCCGCCCCCATAATTCAATCATCTCCCACCGGGTTCTTCCCACAACATGTAGGAATTGTGGGAGTTACAATTCAAGATGAGATTTGGGTAGGGAAACAGCCTGGCCCCTCCCAAATCTCATGTCCACACATTTCAAAACCAATCATGCCTTCCTAACAGTCCCCCAGAGTCTTAACTCATTTCAGCATGAACTCAAAAGTCCACAGTCCAACATCTCATCTGAGACAAGGCAAGTTTCTTTCATCTATGAGCCTGTAAAATCATAAGCAAGTTAGTTACTTCCTATATACAACGGGGGTATGGGCATTGGGTAAATAGAGTCATTCCAAATGGGAGAAGTTGGACAAAACAAAGGGGCTGCAGGCCCCATGCAATTCCAAAATCCAGCAGGACAGTAAAATCTTAAAGCTCCAAAATGATCTCTTTTGACTCCATGTCTAGTATCCAGGTCACACTGACGCAAGAGGTGGGTTCCCATGGTCTTGGGCAGCTCTGCCCCCATAGCTCTGCAGGGCACAGCCTCCCTCCTGGCTGCTTTCACAGGCTGGTGTTGAATGTCTGCAGCTTTTCCAGGCACATGGTGCAAGCTGTCAGTGGATCTACCTTTCTGGGGCCTGGAGGATTGTGGCCCTCTACTCACAGCTCCACTAGGTGGTACCCCAGTAGGGACTCTGTAGGGGGGATCTGACCCCACATTTCCCTTCTGCAATGCCCTAGCAGAGGTTCTCCATGAATGCCCTGCCTCTGCAGCAAACTTCTGCCTGGCCATCCAGGCATTTCCATGTATCTTGTGAAATCTCGGTGGAGGTTCCCATACCCCAATTCTGGTATTCTGTGTACTTGCAGGCTCAACACGGCATCGAAGCTGCCAAGGCTTGGAGCTTGCACTCTCAGAAGCCACAGGCCAAGCTCTATGTTGGACCCTTTCAGCCATGGCTGGAGTGGCTGAGGCACAGGGAACCAAGTCCCTAGGCTGCACATAGCATGGGGACCCTGGGCCTGATCCAGGAAACCCTGTTTTCTTTCTAGGCTTCCAGGCCTCTTATGGGAGGGGCTTCCATGAAGACCTCTGACATGCCCTGGAGACCTTTTCCCTATTGTCTTGGGGATTAACATTCAGCTCCTCCTTACTTTGCAGATTTCTGCAGCTGGCTTGAATTTTCTCTTAAGAAAATGGGATTTTCTTTTCAATCACATTGTTAGGCTGCAAATTTTTCAAACTTTTTTACTCTGCTTCCCTTGTAAAACTCAATGCCTTTAACAATACCTAAGTCACCTCTTGAATGTTTTGCTGCTTAGAAATTTCTTCTGCCAGATACCCTAAATCGTCTCTCTCAAGTTCAAAGTTCCACAAATCTAGAGTAGGGGCAAAATGCCACCAGTCTCTTTGCTAAAACATAACAAGAGTTACCTTCACTCCAGTTCTCAGTAAGTTCCTCATCTCCGTCTGAGACCACCTCAGCCTGGACCTCATTGTTCACATCAGTATGGGCATTTTTGTCAAAGCCATTCATTCAATGAGTCTTTAGGAAGTTCCAAACTTTCCCACGTGTTTCTGCCCTCCAAAGTGTTCTGACTTCTGCCTGTTACCCAGTTCCAAAGTAAGTCGCTTCCACATTTTCAGGTATCTTTTCAACAATACTCTACTGTATTTATTAGACTGTTTTCATGCTGCAGATAAAGACATACCCGAGACTGGGCAATTTACAAAAGAAAGAGATTTATTGAACTTACAGTTCCCCATGGCTGGGGAGACCTGACAATTATGGTTGAAGGCAAGGAGGAGCAAGTCACATCATATGTGGACGGCAGCAGGCAAAGAAAGAGCTGCTTCAGAGAAATTCCCATTTTTAAAACCATCAGATCTTGTGAGACTCATTCACTATCACGAGAACAGCACACGAAAGACCCACCCCCATAATTCAGTCACTTCCCACTGGGTTTCTCCTATGACGTGGGAATTGTGGAGTTACAGTTCAAGATGAGGTTTGGGTGGGGATGCAGCCAAACCACCTCAGTCTTCAATATATGAACTTTGTGGAGGATGCAAATATTCAGTCCATTAAATAGTGATAATATATTTTAATGCAATATAATTATATTACAAAATATAATATATGGGATTTTAGTAAAGATTAAATGAGACAATGCTTGTAAGTCACTTAGCCTGGTGACAAGTGCACATAAAAATCATTTAACTCATTGTTATAAATAGTAGTAGCAGTAGTTCTGTGAATGCTTTGTAATCACTTAATCATTTTAGACCTGTAAGGCATTACGTAGGGTCTGTTACTTACAGTGCAGTGTTCCTATGGCCTAAGTTAATACGATCTTCCATGCTAGCTAGCAAATCATTTCCTATGATCTTTTCAGTGCTGACCATACAGGCATATTATATTGTATACTGGTTAATGTATAGATTTATAGTTTAGTTATGGGGATAAGCAGGTTGGTATAATAAACCAGTTCCACTTTGTTCACAGACATAAAATTTTGAGGTGAGGGTTGGGGAGTAAAGCAAATGAAGTTTAGCAAACATCAGTTACCAAATTCCTAAGCAAGCTGAAGGTTATAATCTTCTCAAGACATTTTCCACCCACCATCAATTAAGGTGCACTGCTTTGACCTTTAAATGGGAAGTCAAACTGACAAACTGTCACCCTAGAAGAACAGAAAGCCATGGAGATAAATTAGCTTTGTCTGACTGCTGCATTAGCCTCACAAAAGTTGTTAAAGTGTTTCTAGAGTTAGCAGAAACTTCCACTGACCTAACCAGTGAACCCAAATCCAAAATCCTCCCAATCTGCTGAACCCTGAACCATAAGCATATGTGTGATTGTTTTTTTTTATAATTGCTTTTAACACAAAGATTTAAAAAATAAATATTATCAAAAATCATTCCCTAATTCAGATAGTGGTAGCTTAGTTTATATATTTTCTAATTTAATGGAGAACTATATCACAATACTTTAAAATGCACAAACGTAAAGGAGAAGAGACAATTTAGACTGTGGGTAAAGAAGAAAATAAGCTAATCTTTTAAAATTTTCCCATAGGTCTTCCACAAATAGGTGGATAACCAAAGTGAACAGGAGCAGAACTAGCCTTAAAAGCCAAATATTCAAATGCCACGTGTTCCCACTTATAAGGGGGAGCTGAACAACGAGAACACATGAACACAGGGAGGGAAACAACACCCACTGGGGCCTTTGGGAAGGGGTGGCGCGAGGGAGAGAGCATCAGGAAAAATAGCTAATGCATGCTGGGCTTAATACCTAGGTAATGGGTTGGTAGGTGCAGCAAACCACCATGGCACATGTTTACCTGTGTAACAAACCTGCACGTCCTGTACATGTACTCTGGAACTTAATAAAATAAAAAGCATGAAATTTAAAAAGCCAAATATCCTCTTACCTTTATAATGTAAAGATTTCTACTGAGGGAACATTTGTCAAAGCTATCTATAATTTACTTCTAATTTTTTTCCTAGTGCTTTAGAGAATTTTAAGGCTTTTCCTGGTTTAAAGATTATTAAATAATACACAAGTCCTATCTGAATGAGAAAAAGTTAGCAATTAAGTTTTCACTGGGTAAAATTTGAGCATGATTAAATTTTCAATAGTGTCCCTGAGCCAAAAGCTGCCACAAAAGCAATTGATAAGTTCTGGAAGAAAAATAGTAAAAACAGGAAAGAGGAAAGAAGTATTGAAAAAGAAGGTTAGCAATTGATAATTTTTATCTTTTCAAATGTTTACTAGGGCACATTTAAAATCAGTTGAAAAGCAGAGTTTTAACCATTGTAAGTAGATGTAGGCTGTTGTATAATTGGTTCCATTGAGAACCAATGTTTAGGCAAAGAAAAAGAATGTAACTCATAACTTTTGGAGACCTTAATGACACTTACTATGAAGCTGAAATAGCCATCTTCAGAGGTGACAGAATGAAGAAAATGTAAATAAAAGTTGTTATAATGGGAGTTATTGAGTTAACATTATCAGGAGATGGCATTGACGATGATATTGGTGGTATTTTTCAAAATAACCTAATATATTAGTAGACATCAATAAATATTTGATTATTGGCTTATGCTGAATTCAATAAGAGAAACACTATCAGTTTGGAGAATAATCTGGGGGGCATGCAAAATCCTCAGTTTAAAATCAGTTCTGCTATGGATTTGCTCAGTAACCTTACAAAAGACGCTCATTCCTTATTTGTAAGCCAAACAGTTTAGACTCCAAAGTATCTAAGGATTTCTTTTTTTACTTTATTTTGGGCATGAGGTCCTTCTTAAACTTGGGGTGGCCACTAGAGAGAAAGAAGATTTCACATGGAAGGGTATGTGTATGTATTTTGCTCTTGAGAAGATGTTAATCTTATATAGAAACAAAGAAAATGTTTAATTCCAGACATAGGAGAAAGGTTTTAAAGAAACAAAAAAGTACCAAGAGCAGCATCTGCCATAAAAGAGCAAATCCTGATCTTTGCTGGTCCTTTCTTATATACGGCAATGTTTACGATATATGTTATCAGAGTAAAAATTGCATTCAATCTAAAAAATTATTATTTACAATGATATGTTAGATCAAGTATGTGGAGGTCATGGTTAAAACTATGTAATTTGGGGCTAAACTGCTTTTGTTTAAATTGGAGTTCTGCTAATTTAACCTTTTAATTGCTTGATTTCCTCATTATTAAATGAAGCATATATCTACTATGCAACACAGTGATCCCATTTATAGATAATATCCAAAGATAAATGAAAGAAAGTCTCAGTAAATATATAGTCATATAAAAAAGTCTGACACAATATTTTACTCTGGCTTTATTCATAATCACCAAAAAAAAATCCAAATATCCATTACTTTGTGAGTGGGAAAACAAACTCTGGTGCATCTGTATGCTGTGATATTATTCAAGAATTCCTTTAAAAATGAATTACCAATAACATCCAAGGAGGTTTGCATTGATAACAGCATGGATAAATATCAAATGCATTATGCAAATGAAAAATCTAAAAATAAAAGGCTATATGTTGTATGATTCCATCTATATGGTATTATGGAAAAAGCAAAAGCAGAAGGACACAAAGCAAATCAGTGGTTACAACGAGCTCTAAAAGAGGAGAAAGGATTAATTCCAAAGATAGCAGAGAACTTTTTGGGGTAAAGAGACTGCTGACTGGACTGAGATTACATGACTTTATGCATTTGCCAAAGGTTCTAAAACTTTACCCCAACAAAGCGTGACTTGTATGGCAATGTATTATGCTTCAAAACACCTGGAAAAAAAGTGACATGGTAGATCTACTTCATCAGGTAGTCGTGAGGATTAAGAAAGATAATGCATATAAAAATATTAAGCACTCAACAAATGCTATCACAGGTCCTTTGTAATCATAATGGTTAATATTTTTCAAGTGAAAATTATTTCAAAATAAAAAGCCACTCTTTGATTATGTCTTATGAAAATGAAGGGCATTTTGTTTCCTAATAGGTTAGTTTACAGTGAGACCAACCCACATTGAAGATAATCACAATACTTTCAGGGCTGTGTTTCCAAGACAAATTTCCTTATTGAGGCTGCACATGAGTTTTAGTGACAAATGAGATAATCATGAGAAGAAATAAAATGACAAAGAATGTTGCTTGCTTCTCAGAGACAATCTTTCTTTTAGAGTCCCCAAGCCTCTAGCCCAGAGACCAAGATAAGGACACTTTCTCCATTTTCCCAGGGCTTTGCTTTCTTTTGCTTCCATTTCTCACCACCTATCAGCTGCCATCTTCAGTAGAAACCTATACTATGTGTAGTAGACATGAGATTGCCTACCCCACATCTGTGTCTCATGCCTTCCAGTTACAGCCCAGTCTTCACATCTACCTAGTTTTAGCAAGAATCTTGATTTGTTAAGCCAATTAAACTCATCTATTTTATTCAGTGCATGGTTCAGAGGTGGGTGATAATTTGATATTCCCCTGGTTATAGGTAGAGATCAGAGGAGAGTGTAGCAATTTTTCAGTAGTTCAGAGGAAGCTAGAAGATCTCTGTTTCTGGGCATTGGTATGTACATGGATAGATCCTGCAAATGCCACTATGAGGGAAGCCAGCTGAGATGAAGGCCAGCCTGACCCCAGTCTTTACTATTTCAGTGGCTGAAACTTACTTTGTGGCTTAAGCCATTTGGAGTGATGATGATGATGATTACTATTATTATTATTTTACAGGTAACTAAAATATCTGAACCAATACATTTATTTTTCCTTTTACTATTTCAATTTTCCATCCCCACTGAAGTTCACAAAGAGCTCAAACCCAACTAATATGATAAATTACGTACATTAAGTCCTTAAATATTTTTAACAGACCATTTATAAATCTTAGACTTTTTAAATGTAAATTTCATAAAATTTGGCAGATTTTATAAAAATGTTTTTAAAAAGCCATGAAAATGTCTACAAATACTATATTATACAATTTTTTATGGCTATTGCCCATCACAATTTCAAAATAGTTAAACACATGTAGTTCTCCACATCTGCTTTCTGATATCAAATACATGTTTGAAGGAGTTAAACGTATATAACTTTGGTTCATAAAAATTAAAATTACATTTTTATTAAGGATGCCCAAACTGAGCGAAATTCTGATCTAATTTCACTTAATATTTCTCTTAAAAGTTTAAAATTTCTGGCACAAATTCCAGTTTCTTGGGTTTTTTCTGAAGTGGAAATAAAAAGTTCTCTTCATTAATAAAAATAAAATGTATTATTAACAATAAGTTAATTATCCTAGAATATCCCAGATTTTTTTTTCCTTTTTTTACATCCTATCACTTCTGAATTTTTAGCAAGACCTCTGTATTTGCAAAACTTTCTTTCCTCTGACCTTACTTATACTTGAAATCTTACCATTGGAACATTTTCTCAATTAGTGTGAATACTTTTTCATTAGAAAGCTAAAATACCCCATGAAAGAGTTAGCACTCTGCTTTTTTACTAGGTTTTAAAATTCAGTGCTAATGAATTTATCAGTTATTTCCTTAGATTAAGTGTTAAGTAATTAAGAACAAGTGAAGACACTGAACATTTGCTGAAACAGAAAAAAGGGAAGAAACAAACATAGATGCTCACAGTGAATAAACAAGTTAGGGAAAATAGAAAAAGAAAAGAGTAAAGGCAAATACTCCGCTCCCAGGGTTTTCATCCTTCATCCTTGGGAAAATCTTGCTTCCCTGTCAGAGGAACCCACCAGGGGACCTCCAAGGAATCTTATCAAGTGTTCAGTGTTTTAAGAATAGAAAAGGTGTGAAAACTTTTCTTACCATTATTGGAGTCACAGCTCACACTCCTAAAACAAAAGACAGGTTAACAAGAGAAAAACATAACAGATGTATTTAACCAAAGTTTTACTTGACATGGGAGCTTTCAGAAGTTAAGACCCAGAGAAAATTGTCTATTTTTATGATTAGGTTTGATGAAGAATGGACATCCATGTAGGAATACCATTGAAAAAAAGTAAATGATCTAATGGTGACAGGCTACATGAAGACATTCAGCAAGGCCTCTTTTCAGATTTTTCTTGGTCTTTCTGTGTGGCATTCCTTCCTCTTGGGTATATGGCAGGACTCTGTCTAGAATAAAGGTTCTATGACCTACTATTAGACAAGGGAAGTCAGAGAATTTCTTTGTGGCCAGCTTTTACACAGAAAGGTGGGAGAAGTGATGCTTCTCCCTCAGCCTCCTGAGTACCTGGGACTACAGGCATACACCATCATGCCTGGCTAATTTTTAATTTTTTTGTTTTTGTAGAAATAGGGTCTCACTTTGCCCAGCCTGGTCTTGAACTCCTGGGCTCAAGTGATCTTCCCACCTGGGACTGCCAAAGTGCTGAGATTATAGGCATCAGCCACTGTGCCCAGCCTCAGTATCTTTCTGTTTAAAGTACTCAGCATGTCAAAGCACGATACTTGGGTATCATTCTCTGAGCCTCAGCAGTGTGCAAGATATAATTAGTGTGTACAAAAGAGGAAAGATAAATCCTTGCCTTCGAAAAAATTAGCTGTCAAAAAAAATCTACAAACAAGAAACCAAATATATAGATTAAAATAAGTAAATTATACAAACTACCAAAAGAAGAGAGAGAGAAGGATAGAGAACCAGAAGATATCCTAAAGTTTACCTAGTCCAGTGGTTCTCAATCTATGTACAATTCCAGCATTGATAAATACAGATATCATACACCTTCACTTAAGATTTGTAATTCAAATGTTGCTAGAATAAATCAAACAGAGACTCTTCCCTGCTTTATTTCTACCATACACAAACTTTCCTAAAATTCTCATATTACAACTCTCCTGTTCCACAGCATTTCCTCCATCTCTAATTTCAGAATAATCACTGATTCTACTATATCATTTTCAATTTAAAGAAAAGAAAAAGCAGACCGTGGACCCAACTGTATCACTGTGAAAGATATACCCAAGATCATCTAGATAGCAAGATACAGAACAGGAAATAAATCCTGTTTTCCTTATTGCCATATAGTCAACTTCTAGGTTGTGAGTAACAGACAGAACTACAAAAACATTCTAAGAAGTGAAAGACAGACTGATTAGGAGTACCCCTGAATCAGACCTCCTCATTGACATCAGGGTAACTGATGTGCTGTTCTGGGACATCAGGTAAGTAGGTAATTCCTAAGTTCTAAGGGGACAGAGGAAACAAGGATCAGACATGGACAGATTTGAGAAGCCTTCTTTAAAAGTCTAGGTCAGGATCTCTTATATTTTCCTAATTACCTAATTCAGTTGAAGTCTAAAGTATAATTTATGATTACAATGGTAGAAATACAGAATTTGGTATTAATAGATATTTTATTCAATCTTAAGTTTATTAAGATATAAAAATATTTTTTTCTGACCAGCTAAGATCCCATTATATTAAGGACTTGAAAAATCCAGACATGAACTTTACAGGCGTCAGTAGCTAATAATTATTCGTTTGACCCTTATTTGGCATATGGTCTAATATTTATGCCCAAGGTCCCTCTGCTGAAGTCATTGTTCCATTTTCAGTTGTCATTTACTCCATCCTATAGATTGTATGAACATCAATGTCAAAGTAGATCAAGCAGTGCTGCTAAAAACAAATGAATATAGTTGTGTCAACTATGTGTCTCTATGTTAAGATAGAGAAAGGGAAAATGTGAGGTTGAAAGAACATGCAAAATGGGATAATCTATTTTAATAGAAACTTCATTCTTTTTAACAATCTTTTAGTTGTCTAGGTTTTTTTTTGTTTTGTTTTGACTATGAAATTTCCAAAGTATATGACAAATGGCTGATTACACGCTTGACTGTACAGAGCTCTATGATTGAAGAAATTGAGGGTGTGAAGTTTCTGTTCTCCAGAGGCTGGAGATGCAGGGTGATTAGTTGTGACATTTTGAAGGGTGTGAATGGATTTAGAAGAAGAGTATAATAGACACAGATTGCATTTTCGGTTAGCTGCCAAATGGTTACAAAATCAAGAACCATCAACCAACGTATTTATCTTTCATTCTTCCAGAGATCAAACAAGAGTAGGAATATTGCATTAATTTGTTTAAAGGGTGATTGACACTAGATATTTTAAATAAATATCACAATTTCAGGGTGGACCATGACTTCACTCAAATGTAGACCTTGTAACTAAATGAGAAACTGATATTTTGTCTGTAATTTGGATGGATATTTGTTGTTTCCCAACATTTGGGATAGTAGATGTCATGTGTACCCAAAATAAAATCGACTAGATACTTGGATGTTTTAAGGATTAGATTTTTCTCCCACCTGAAAGTCTTATTTTGATTACATATCACAAAATAAGTATGTTTCTTGATAGCTCAGGTACTCAAAGTAGCACTGGCTCATTGAAAGATTTAGCAATAGATCCCAGAAGCCCTATTCTTAATTATTTACAAAACTGAAAAAGTTTGAAAACACTTGATTTCCCGTTAAGTCAAAATCCTCCTGGCATCTAGAGATTTTCTAATCTGTTTGTGTTTCTTGTTTTGGGCCACATGATTGACTCAGCTCTCTTCTTAACTTCGGTTCCCCAGGTTAGTACTATGATTTCTCCACCTAATTTGGCCAACTTTCTGAGCTTCCAGCTGGTACCAAGCCTGGCCCTAAGAGCTTGGCCACGGTGGTCAATATTCAACAGAAATAAGTCACAGAACATTAACCTCAGACAAGATAACTCTGTTATTCTGATGCATTGAGACCAAACAGGATGACACATTATTATATGGGAGCACAGCGAAAAACTAGCATTGTACAATGACAAAACTGAACAAACATGTCTTTCTTCCACTGAACATAAGTAACTGCTTCTCCTTATCAATTATGGCATTCGTCCTACACTGCACCTACCATTCCTAAATAAAAAATTGATGTACCTAATCATAAAATTACCCTTGTCTTTGGTTTGGATGCTATCAGAAAACAAGACCTACTTCTTTAGTCCATTTAGACTACTTCTTTAGTCCATTCTCAAAATCACCTAATACCAAGTTTTATAACAAATTCCTCCAGACACTGAGGAATTTATAATTATGTTGTGACTACTGAAGCAGCCATCTTTAGCTCAATGCAGTTTTGAAGGTCTAAAATCTAGACTGGAAAGTAATACAATTAAATGAAATTTAAAACTGGTTAGTGATTCAACTCTTATATAACAAGGCAACCAGAAAGGTATGTGGCTAAAGTTCTGGTAAGCATTGTTTCACTGCAGATAATCCATTTTACTATTCACACAAGAAATGCAAAAAGAAGCTATCTAGGTATAGTAAATGAAACAAATGGGTTGCTATATTTGTGAAGAATGGAGTAGATGTAATTTATAGATTTGCTTATAAATAACAACTTCTTTCATATCAGGGAGATTCTATGTAGACACTTAACTACTTATTTATGGGATAATAAATCTTCACTTAGACTTTGTACTTAAATTTGGGAGAATGTCTTCCAGATGGTGGCATTTCCTATGATAGTCATGGGTTCATAAAACACCCACCAGAAAAGCTGGATTAAAATGAAATATGGTTCAAACAACCATGTGGTTATTTTGCCAGGACAAAACAAAAATTATTGTGAAAATGCTTTGGTGACAAATAAGAGATCTCCTCATAGCAGGAGAAAGCCAATGAGAAACTAGACGTGTTTTAAGCTTTACAAAGTCTAAGTATCATAAATATTATAATTGTTAGTCCTGATAATCTGGATTATAAATGATGCTGACTGGCCTGAGGAAAACTCAACATTATTCAGTTATGATTTTGTTGTTCCAAAACAAGAGGCCCATATTTATTTAAATAGATAACAAAAATTATAATAAATATTTAAGGTAGTTCGTGGCACAGGCCTACTTCTTTCCCAAAAAGAATCTTTGTTGCTGACTTATATTTACTCATTCAGTCATGCATTTGTCAAATCCTTTCTGAAAGCCCAGTGAGAACCCAGTAGGTGAGGTTACAGAGTTCAGTCTACAAGGAAAGTCATTTGAGCCAGTTCTAATAGTGAGCATGCTCCTTAACTTATGTAGGCTGTCTCAGCTTCCTCCTAAGCAAGTGTCCCATAGAAGTCCCAGTGGAGGCTCATCTGAGATAGGAGAGGTAACATAATGGGGAGACACCAATAATTGTAAATTAGAAACCATTCAGGCTCACATTGCAACTACCACCTTAGACAAACAATTTCTAAAAAGTCGTTCTACTCAATGCAAAAGGTCACTTGCATATGCTTCTGGAGATGCAAAACAAGAGCATTTCCATAGAAAATGAAGATTATCAGCCTCTGCTGTAGAATAAAAATCCCAGGATTGTTTTCTTAAGCCAGCCATCAAGTGATAGTTATTAAAAACTTTCCTTAAAACAAACTACCAAAAAACTCCCACTTCTGATTACCAATCTGAATCAGAGAATAGTGCTTATAAACCAATTGAGCCAAATGAATTACCTAATCATGCCTTTTAATTACCAGAACAACTCCAAAATTGAGGCAGCGCCAAGTTCAATATTTTTGCCTAAGGTCAGAATGCCAGGAAATAGTTAACTTGAGATTTGAAACCAGAGACCACACTCTTTAATCCTTGTTATGTTTTGTGATATTTCAAGGGAATATGATTAAGATTGATAGATAAAATTTACACAGAGATACATTTCAATTCAAAATAAAATGTACTTTTAGTAAATTATAGTGCTATATTAATTGAGCATAGATTTTTGATGTCACAGCTTCATATCCTTAGGTTTTAGGTCCTGGGAGTATTAAAGTAGAAATTAGCTAGTCATTTCTCACAAATGGTGTATGTGGACCTGAGCTGTTTTATCAATGATGATAAATTATTGCAGCACTTAAAGGTTAAAACTCTCTAGAAGATCTCCTGGCATCATTTCCTGCCACAAAAGTAAAAGTCAAAATTATTCAAAGACAAGAATACCACCCTGAATTCATGAGAACTCAGGAGAGAAGAGAAATCCACTGGGAGCACAGAATCAAGAGAAGCCAGAATTAGTTAGGAGGAATTGTCATTTCAAATTGCACCACTTTCTCTCCCAAGCAGGCATAATGACACTAACATAATTTTTCTGGACCCAAGGTTTCTGAGGTGGGAGAAGAAAATTGGAGGTGGATGCTCAATATCCCCACCAGTTGGGAATCTTTGTGAGAAGCCCACTTAAGTCTCATTCCACAAGAACCATTATGAGCGCTGGAGGTCTGGAACACCTGGGATAAACTGGGGACAAAAAGTGATGATCACAGCAACTGGTGTGTGGATCTTAGTGACTGCTCTGTGTCCCTATCAGCCATCCTAAAAAGACTGGTAGCTGCCATAGTTCTTCATGGAGCATGATCTTCAGGAAGACCTGAATTCCTGGCCAGATTTTTCACAAAGCCTGGTTGCTCATGTGGAAACTATCTCCAAAATAGAAACAACTAAAAAATTTGCAATTGAGTTTCAGCACTTGCATAAATACTCCCCAGACAATGAGGAAACAATAGCAAGGCGGCATTCAAGTTCTGGTTCTTACTATAACTTCCCCTAGGCAAGAAACAACAGTAGCACTACTGTGTAATTTCAGTGCAGCATTTAAGTTCTGATTCTCACTATAAATCTTACCGAGCCTGGGAAGAACAGCAAGCCAGCAATTAAGTTCTAATATTAAGTAGTACAAGCCGAACACCATGAAAAAAATGACTGCAAAAGCTAGAAAAGGTGTCTTTCTCCTCAAATTTGCAGGTATCAATGTGAAAATGCAGGCCGGTGAAAAATAAGGGAAATACGATATCATCAAAAGAAACCAACCAAGGTCCAGTAACGGACCTATAAAAGTTAATGATATATGAATGTCTAACAAATTTCAGAATAATTCTTTTGAAGAACTTCAAAAGAAAATCACAAGAATATATGAATAACTCTAAAAAAATGTGGAAAACAATCCAGGAACAAACAAGAGAAACTTGAAAAATAAATGGAAACAAGTTAAACAACCAAATAGAAATTTTAGAAGAATACAATATCTAATCTGAAAAACGCATTAAAAAGCTTCAACAGTATATTTGATCAAGCAGAAGAAAGAATCAGAACAAAGACAGAACATATGAAATAACCCAATCAGCAGAGCAGAGAGAAAAAAAGAGTAAAGAAGACCTATAAGAATTATGGGATACCAACCTCTACATAACGGGAGTTCCCAAAGGAGATGAGAAAAAGGCTTAGAAAGCATATTTAAGAAAATAAATGGCTGAAAAATTCCCAAACCTGGAGGAAGACATCAGCAGCTAAGTACAGAAAGCTCATAGGTCACCAAAAATCAAAGACAATAAAAAATATTTATAGCAGCAAGAGAAAATAAACATACCACGTTCAACGGAGCCCAAATATGGCTTTTAGCAGACTTCTCCACAGAAACTACATAAGGCCAGGAGAGAGAGGGGAGTGGGATGATATATCTAAAACGCTGAAGGCAAACTGCAAATAAACTGCCCTCCAAGAATAATGTACCCAGCAAATCTTTCCAGCATGAAAAACAGATAAAGGCTCTTGGACAAACAAAAGCTGAAGGAGTTCATCAACACCAGTCCTATCTTAGAAATGGTAAAGGGAGTTTTACAATATGAAAGAAAAGAATGCTAACATGTAACAAGAAAACATCTGAAGGCATAAAACTCACTGGTAAACATAATAAAGATGAATATACGCTAATACTATAATTGTGGTATATACATTACATCTTAAGTATGAAGACCAAAGACAAAACTATTAAAGACAATACTTAAAATAATTGGTTAAGAGAAGGGCATTATTTTAAAAATATATATTTTTTACTTTTCTTTGTGATAAAAGTTGTCATTATCAGGTCCAAATAACATGTTATAACTACAAGAATTTTTTATAAACCTTGTAGTAATTACAGAGCAAAAGCAAGTAATAGGCATACACAATAAATGGTATAGAAGAATCAAAACATACACATAGAGGAAATCATTTAACTACAAAAAAAGGCAGAGAAGAAAAAGAAAGTACCTACAAAACAACCAGAAAACAAGTAACAAAATGGCAGTACTAAATCATTACCTTTTAATAATCTTTAATGCAAATGAATTACATTCTCTAATTAGAAGAAATAAAGTAGCTGAATTGGTTAAGACCAAACAAAATAACCAAGATCCAACTGTATGTTGTCTAGAAGAAATTTATTTCACCTAAAAATATACATATTGGCTGAAAGTGAAGGAAAAGAAAAAGGTATTCCATGCAAATGGAAAACAAAAAGGAATAGGAGTATATTAGACATAATAGACATTAAGCCAAAAAAAAAGTATTTAAAAAAAGACTAGGCCATTATCTTATGATAAAGAAATCAGTATAGCATGAGGATATAACAATTTTAAATATATGTATACTCAACACTGGGATGCTTAATATGTAAAACAAATATTAAGAGACCTAAATGGAGACACTGAATATAACACAATAAAGTAGAGGATTTCAACACCTCACTTTCGGCAATAGACAAATATCAACAAAGAAATATCAGTTAAACTGCACTCTAGACCAAATGGATCTAACAGATTATTACAGAACATTCCATCCAACAGCTGCAGAATATACATTTTTCTCAATAACACATAGAAAATTCTCCAGAATAGTCCATATATTGAGTTACAAAACAAGTCAGTAAATTTTAAAATATTTAAATTATATCAGGTATCTTATATGACCTCAATAAGGTAAAACACAAAATCAGTAACAGAAGAATACTGGAAACTAAACAAATTTATGGATATTAAACAACATGCTCCTGAACAACAGATGAATCAATGAAGAACTTTAAAGGTAAATTTTAAAATTTCCTTAAAATAATTGAAAATAGATACACAACATACAAAAACCACTGTGATACAAAAAAAAATAGAAACACAACATACAAAAACCACTGTGATACAAAAAAAAGTTTTAAGAGGGAAGTTTATAGAAATAAATACATCAAAAAAGTACAAATATCCCAAAGAAATTAATGATTGCATCTCAAGGAACTAGAAAACCAAGAACAACAACCACAAAACCCCACAAAATTAACAAGAAAAAATAATAAAGAGCAGAACAGAAATAAAATAGATGAAAAAACAATCCCAAAGATCAACAAAGAGTTGATTTTCTGAAAAGATAATATTAACAAACCTTTAGCTAGACTAAGAAAAAAGAGAAAATTAAAATAAAATCACGGATTAAAAAGGGAACATTACAACAGACACTATAGAAATACAAAAGATCATAAGAATATTATGAACAACTATATACCAATCAATTTCAAAATCTAGATTAAATGGTTAAATTTTTGGACATATACAACATAATAAGCTTAAATCACAAGGACATAGAAAAATTGAACATACCAACATTGAGTAACAAGATTGAATCAGTAGTAAAGACTCTCTCATCCAAAAAAATCACAGGACCTAATGGCTTCACATCTCAATGCTACAAACATTTAAAGAACGAATACTGATTCCTCTCAAACTCTTAAAGAATTAAAAGGAGAAAATAATTCCAAACGTACTCTATGAGGTCGATATTACCCTGATGTCAAAACCAGATAGAGACACAACAACAAAATTACAGGACAATACCTTTGATGAACATAGAAGCACAAGTACAAAATAAAATACTAGCAAACCAAATTCAACAACACATTAAAAAGATCATAATTATAAAATCAAATGGAATTCATCCCAGGTATGCAAGGATGTTTCAACACATGCAAATTAGTAAATGTGATACATCCCATTAAGAGAATCGAGGGAAAAAACTCATATGATTGTTTTAATAAATTCAGAAAAAGCATTTGATAATATCCAATGTCCCTTTCAAATAAAAACTCACAACAAATTGGGTATAGAAGAATATACCTTAAAGCAATAAAGGCCATATGTGACAAGCCCATAGCTAACATTATACCCAATGAGGAAAATGGAAAGTTTTTTTTCCTTTTTTTGAGACAGAATCTCGCTCAGTCGCCCAGGCTGGAGTGCAGCTGCACGATCTTGGCTCACGGCAAGCTCCGCCTCCTGGGTTCCCGCCATTCTCCTGCCTCAGCCTCCCGAGTAGCTGGGACTACAGGCCCCTGCCACTAGGCCCGGCTAATTTTTTTTGTATTTTAAGTAGAGACGGGGTTTCACCCTGTTAGCCAGGATGGTCTCGATTTCCTGACCTCGTGATCCGCCCCTCTCGGCCTCCCAAAGTCCTGGGATTACAGGCGTGAGCCACCGCGCCCGGCCGGAAAGCTTTTTTTCTAAGATCTGGGACAAGGCAATGATACCCACTTTTGCCACTTTTATTTAACATAGTAGTGGAAGTTCTAGCTAGAGCAATTAGGCAAGAGAAAGAAGGATAGGGCATCCAAATTGGAAAGGAGGAAGACAAATTTTCCCTGTTTGCAGATGGCATGATCATTCATATATATAAAAATATATATGATATGATATAAAAAATATATGAATAATGCCATCTGCAAACAGGGAAAATAATTTATGTGTATTTATTCAATATATACGAATATATATGTCATATATTGACATGTATATATACAGTTTTTAATAGTCTTTAGAGTTCATATATATTCATATTACATAGGTATGAAATATAGTTTTCATATGTATATATTTATATGAAATATATATGAATATATGTGTGCATAAATATGTGTGTGTGTATATATATATAATATATATATATATGAAAACTCTAAATACCACACAAAACTATAGGATTTATTACAGATTTGTTATTCTTTGTTAAATATTTGGTAGAACTCACTAGTGAAGCCATCTAGTTCTAGAATATTGTTTGTGGAGATTTGACTACAAGCTGAATTTTAAAAATAGTAGTTTGTCATTCAAAGAATTTGTCTATTTAACCTAATCAGTTGATTTTATTGGCATACATTTGTTTACATTAGCACTTTATTTTTCATATCTGTAGATTCTGTTGTTATGGTCCTATCTAAATCCAGGTGTTGCTAATAAGTGCCTTCTCTCATATTTTTCTCATTATGACTGGAAACCTCTCTATTGATCAAACAATTAGCTTTTGCTTTCATTTTTTTCTCATTAGGATTTCTCTGGGTTGTGTTTAAACTATTTTGGCTCTTATTCATATTACTTCCTTTCTTCCATGTATTTTTCTAGTTCATTAATTTAAGGCCTGCCTTTTTTTAGTAACATACTATAAATTTCCCACTAAATATTTTTTAGTGGCATTCCATGCCTTTGATATGTTGTATTTTCATTTTTAGTTGAAAATGCTAATTTTCTTTGTGAATATTTTTTGAGCCATAAGTTCTTTACTAGTATATAATTTAATTTACAAATATATGGAAATTTTTCAGAGCTCTTTTGTCAATGATTTCTAATTTAATTTTACTGTCATCAGAGAACATTATTTGTATGAGTTGAATCTGTTTAAATTTACTAAAACTCTTTTGTCTTAGAATATGATTCTCACTTTGTAAATGCCCTATGTGGACTTGAATATTCATTTTATTGCTGTTGCATCAAATGTCTTACACATTTAGCTCAGGTCACGTTGGTTGAAATTGTTATTCAAGTCTTCTATATCTTTAGGTTTTTTTATTTATTGTGTTATATTAACTGCATACATGTTCAGAATTTGTATGTTATCTTGATAACCCAACACTTGATTGCTATAAAATGATTTTAAAATCTCAGATAATTTTCCTTGCTTCAAAATCTATTTTGTCTAATATTGATGGAGCCATTCCAACTTTCTTTTGATTAGTGTTAACAAGTGTTTTTTTCCCCAGTTAATTCACTTCTAGCCTATTTGTGTATTTATATTAAAAGTATGTTTCAATGTAGACTGCATTTATTGGGACCTTATTCTTCAGTCATTCTCCAATGATTATATATGATAATTGATGTGGTGAGTTTCAATACGTCAACTATTTGTTTTCTACTTTTCTCTCTGTTTCCTCCTGTTTTTGTGCCTTTTAGGTTATTTTGTTAGTTTTCAATCTCTGCTAACCTAACAATAACTCTAATTTAATGTGGTTGCTTTAGAGTTTACAACATACAGCTTTATCTTAGTAATTTGACCTTTAAGTAAGATCATATCTATTCAAATATAGTTCAAGAATCTTATAATAATGCACTTCTGTGTCTCAATTCCTAGCTTTTATACTATTATTGTCATAGCTTTTTATTATATATATATATATATATATATATAAGTTCCAGAGTACATTTCTATTTTTGTTTAAGCAATCAATTATACTTTAAAGATATTTACCTCATACACCAAAAAACTAAATAATTATCCATGCTGTTACCATTTTGTGTGTACTTTATTCCATTTTGTTTATCTAGTAACAGTTTTTTTGCCTGGAAGACTTTAATATTTTTCAAAATTGGTGTTTGCTGGTAATATATACTTTCAGCTTTTGTATGTCTGATAATGCTGCTATTTTTGATGTCTTTTAAAATGATATTTTTGCTGGGTATAGAATTGTAAGTTTTAAAGTGTTTTTAATTTTCCCCTCTAAAATGTTGTTCTGCAATATTCACTCTTGTTGTTTCTTTGAAGATTTTTAAAATGGATTTCTGCTTCTCAGTCTGAGAAGTGAAAAGATTGAAATGTATCACTTTAATCCTTACAACAAGACAAAAGATGAAGAACAGAATATCAGCAACTTCTTAGATCCATAAAAGAATTGAGGTTACAAGGTCAAGTAAGTGCCCTGAAAACTGTAACAGCCATATATAGAGAAGCACATATTACCAGAGTAGAAACCACTGCAAGAGGCAGCGCCAGCCTCGGGTATGAATGCTTAAAGGATAGTTGACTAACTGCTGGTAATGGACTGTGGGCTAGCTCAAGAGATAAAAATTCCTGGAACCCTGACCTTGGGAGCGGAATTCCCCATACGTTTTTTGAGTTTTACCTTCAGGAGCTCCACGAGGTTCTAACTGTAAATAAGTGAGACAGATCCCGCTCTGCTTCCAGCAGGAAAGGAGAAAAGTAGCTAATTTAAAAATAAAACCAAAACAGTTGGTAATCCTTAAAAAGGGTCTGTGCTCAAAGGAAACTCTTCTGCAGAGCCTAAACAATGTGGAGAATTGAAGTACCCAACACTAGACCTCACTAACCTTCAGCATGAGGAAAGAGAAATACCCAACTCCAGCTTCCTCTGCCTTCAATGTGGGGGAAAGGAAATGGCCATCTCCAGCCCCCTCCAGTTTTTCTCTCACTATGGGGTAAAATTTAAGAGATGAGAATGATTTAGAAAGGTCATTGCACTTGGGCAGAGTATTATTATAAGACTGATACTCAATCATAGAATTATAGAATGTTTCCTCTCCCCCACATTTTTACCACAACAAAAATAGGATTCCTGTATAATAACAGGAGATTACAGCTGAAAATAATTGCAAGACTCAGCCTCTATTTAAGAAATTCCTATGGAAACACGAAATCAACAGGGCAACAAAAAGGACACTAGAGTAAATTTTAGCCTCTGACACCTGCAGATACAGCAAATAGCAAAGTGAACCTATCTCATAGCAGATAAACATAAAGCATCACTGTAAAGTTCTACCTACCTCAGTTCCTTTTAGGCAATATATCATTTCTGGCATTCAGTAAAAATGTACAAGGCATGTTAAAAGGTGAAAACAACAGTCTGAAAACATAGGGCAAGCATTAAAACCAAAGTTAGACATGAAGGTGATTTTGAAATTATGAGACCAGGAAATTAAAACAAGTATTATACACTAAATAATTTAATAGAGATTGACTACTAAGAGGTAATCAAAAGAAACTGATAGAAATTGTAAACTCCATAACAGAGATGAAGAATAACTGAGACATCAGACACAGACAGGAAAAGAATCAGTGAGCTTCAGCAGACAGCAACAGAAACTTTGCAAAGAAAATAATGAAAAATATGAAACACAATACCTAAACACTCTGAAACAATTACAAAATGTGTACCATACATGCAATGGGAATATAAAAACAAAAAGGAACAGAAGAAATATTTGAAGCTGTAGTGGCTGAAAACTTTGCAAAATTATTGACAGACACAAAACCATATGTCAAGGAAGTTCAGAGAATGCTAAGCAAGACAAATATCAAAAAATCTGTACCTAGTCATGTATTCAAACCGTAGAAAGTCAAAGACAAAGAGAAAATCTTTAAAGAGGGCAGGGGTGGGATAAGGTGAAAAAAACCTTACATGTAGGGTAACAAGTTTAAAAGTTAACATCAAGCTTCTCTTCAGAAACCATGAAAGCAAGAAGAGAGTGGAGTGAAATGTTCAAAATGTTGAAAGCAAACAAAACCCCACCTTCTAGAATTCTATAAGCAGCAAAATTATTATTCAGAAGTGCAGAGGAGATACAGATTTTCTCAGATCTACAAAATCTGAGAGAATTTGTCACTAGTAAGCCTGCCTTGCACGAAATGTTAAAAAGCTCTTCAGAGGGAAAGGAAATGATATAGCTTAGAAATTCAAATCTGCATAAAGGAAGGCCATTTGAAAAGAAATAAAAAGGTAAAATAAAAATTTTTTTGTTCTTATTTTGAACACATAATAGTTTGTTCAATATTTTGTTGTCATTATTATTTTGAACAGTTATTTATGATTAAGTGAAATGTATGACAGCAATGTTGTAAGGGACAGAAGGGAGGAAATGGAAATACTCAGCTATAATTTTCCTGAACAACCTAAGCGGTAGTATAATGTTATTTGAAAGTAGACTGATATTAGTTGTAAATGTATATTGCCTGCTTTGAATAAACAACTAAAAATAAATTATATAAAATGCTTAATTAAAACCAGAGAATGAAAAATATGGCAGAAAAAGGAACACGAACAACGAATAGAAACAGTTACAAATATGGTAGATATTATGCAACTATGTCAATAATTTAAATTTAAATGTTCTTGATATATATAACACATAATAGACCATCAAAATGGATACCAAATATATGCTATCTACAGGAACCTACTTCAATTATAAAGATGCATATAGATTAAAGGTAAAGAGATAGAGAATATGCCATGCTAAAATAAATAAAAAGAAATCTAGGGTAGCTACATCAATTTCAGACATAGCATATTTCAGAGCAAGTAAAATGATTAGGGATAAACAGGAACATTACATAATGATAAAGGGATCATTTATTTACATAGACTATTGTTAATGTGTTTACACCTAACACCAGTGCATCAAAATTAGTGTTGAAAAACTGATAGAAATCAAAGGAGAAATAGGGAAATCCACTATTATAGTTGGACAATTTAAGCCTTTATATCACTAACTGACAGATTCAGCAGGCAGAAAATTTGGAATTATACAGTTCAACTGAACATCAACTGAATCTAATGAAAATTTATAGAATACTTAATTTTAATTTTTTTAAGAGACAGTGTCTTACTATTTTGCTCAGGCTGAACTCAAATTCCTGGGCTCAAGTGATCTTCCTGCCTCAGGCTCCTAAGTAGCTGAGACTACAGGCAAGCACCACCACACCTGTCTCTATAGAATATTTTATCCAGTAGCATGGAATACACATTATTCTTAAAGTTTACATGGAGCACTCACTAAAAGAGAACACATTCTAGACTATAAAATACAGCTTAGCAAATTTAAAATAAAAATCATATAAAGTACATCGTTAAGACCATAATGGAATTAAAATAGAAATCTATAACAGATAAAAGCAAGAAAATTCCAAAGTGTTTTGCTATGTGGATATGTAAAGAACAGACTTCAAAGCAATAAATGGGTCAAAGATGATATATTAGAAATTTTAAAAATATATTTTGAACAAAATGGCATTAGAAATTATCAAATTTTGTGTGATATGCCAAAAGTAATGCTTAGAGAGAATATATAATAATGTTGAATACATATAGAAAAGGTGAAAAATCTAAAATCTATGCTTCAATATTAACTTGAAAATGAAAAAAAAATTGAATTCAAAATAAGCAGAAAAAAGAAATAAAAATTACAGCAAAAAGTGGTGAAATTGTACATAGGAAATCAGTATAGAAAACCAATTAAACCAAAAGCTAGCTCTCAGAAAACATCAATAAAATTGATAACTCTTTAGCCTAGCCAAACAGGAGGAAAAAGACAATGATTATTAATACCATAAATGAAACAGAGCCAACACAACTGATCCCATGGTTGTTAAAAGAATAATAAAGAAATATTATTAACTCCAAGCCTCAAAATTTGACAAGTTAGATGAAATCAACAAATTCTTTGAAAGAAATGACCTACTGAAACTGACACAAGGAGAAAGATAATTTGAATAGGCCTATGTCTATTAAAGAAATTGAACCCACAATCAATGACCTTCCAAAACAACAACAAAAAACAACAGGCCAGTTGGTCTCACTGAATTCTATCAAGTATTTGCAGAACAATACTAATTATCTACAATTTCTTCCAGAAAAAAAGCAGCAGAGAGAATAATTTCTAACACATTTTATGACTCCAAAGTTACCCTTATATCAAAAGCAAAGAAATATACTAATTGGGAAAATAATTCTAGACAGATAGATATCTTTCATGAATATACACAAAAACGTCCTCAACAAAATATTAGCAAATTGAATAGAACTAAATATACATATTTTATATATATAAATAATTATATACCACAGACAAGTGGGATTTAGGCCAAGTATACAAAGTTGGTTCAACATTCAAAAGTCAATTACTCTAACATATCACATTCATAGGCTAAAGAAGAAAAATCAGACCATAATATCAAAAAATGCAGAAAAAGCATTTGACAAATCCAATACCTGTACATGATCAGAACTCTCAGCAAATCAGGAATGGATGGAACATCATCAACTTGATAAAGAACATCTACAAACAGCCCTAGAGCTAACGTAGTACCTAATAGTGAGAAACTAAGTGTTTACCCCCTATAATAAAAAACATATTCTATGCTTTCACCACTCCTATTCTACAAAGAGCTGGGCATTCTAGCTAATTCAGTAAGGCAAGAAAATAAATAAGAGACAAAGACAGAAGGAAGAGAAAGAAGAAAGAAAAAGAGTCTTTTTCACATATGGTATCATTGTCTACGTAGAAAATCACAAATAATTGACACACAAAAATCTGGAGCTAAAAAAATAACAATGATATAGAAAAGTTACAGAATACAAAGTTAATATACAAAAGTCAATTGGTTTCTTACATGGCAATAATAAACAACTTGAATTTGGAATTAAAAACAAAATAGTGTTCACATTAGCAACAAAAAGTGAAATACTCCCATATAACTTAAAAACGTATAGTGCTATATGAGGAAAACTATAAAACTATGATGAAAGAAATCAAGATTTTATACAAATGGACAGTTATTCCATATTCTTGGATAGGAAGACTATATTAAGATGATAATTCTTCCCAGCTTGAGCTACACATTTAACACAATCCCAATAAAAATCTCAGCAATTTAGTTTATGGATATCAACAAACCGATTCTAAAGTGTGCAAGAAAAGATAAGACGTAGCAAAGCCAAGGAGGCAATATTGACATGACTTCAAGATTTTCTATAAATCTATGGTGATCAAGATAGTATGTCAATCATGAAATAAATACATAAATGGAACAGAATAGAGAGCCCAGAAATAGACCTATACATATATAGTCAACTGATTTTTGACAAAGGCAATTCTATGGAGAAAAAACAGTCATTTTAACAAATGTGGAAACAAGTGAACATCCGCATTGTGTGCGTGTGTGTGTGTGTGTGTGTGTTTGTGTGTGGAGAGAGAGAGAGAAAACCTTCCATAAAAGAAATTAACTCAAAATGAATCACAGATCTAACTTTAAAATTCAAACTGTTCAATTTCTAGAAGATAGGAAGAAATCTAGCTGACATTAGATTGGACAATGACTTTTTAGATACAAAAAAACATAATTTATCAGAGAAAACATGATGTAATAGTTCATTAAAAAGTTACACTTTTCAAAAGAACAGATGAAAGTAAAAAGAATTGCAACAGACAGAGAATATTTTTCAAATAACATCTGATAACTGGTATTATTATTAAGGGTCTTAATACTTAAGAAAACAAACAGTAAACAAATGGGCAATAGATCTGAACAGACACCTCTAAGGAAGACATACACGTGGAAAGCAAGCACAGAAAAAGATGCTCAGCATTGTATGTCAATAGGGAATTGTGAATTAAAACATCATGGAGATACTACTACACACCTATCAAATGGTTAAAATATAACACTGACAACACCAAATGCTGGCAAGGATGTGAAGCAACACATGTATTGCTGGTGGAAATGAAAAATGATACAGTGGAAATGCCAAATGATACTATTTGGCATTTTCTTACAAAGCTAATCCTGGGTTTACCATATGATCCTGCAATCACACTCCAGATGTTTACCCAAATGAGTTAAAAACATATATCCATGCAAAAACCTACACACAAATGTTTATAGCAGCTTTGTTCAGAACGTTCAAAAGGGAATGAATAAGTAAATTGTGGTACATCCATACCGAGGAGTTACTCAACAACAACAAAAGAGCTGTCAAGGAGGGAATTTAAATGCATATTGCTTAGTCAAAGAATCAAATACGAAAAGTAACATACTGAATAATTACAGTACATAACATTTTGAAAAGATAAAAGTGAAAAGATCAGTGGTTTCCAGGGGTTCACAGTAAGGGAAGTAGAAATGAACACGTGGAACACAGAGCATTTTTAGAGCAATAAAACTATTCTGTATCATACTGTAATGGTGAACACATAACACTGTGCATTTCTGAAAAACATAGAACACAAAAAATGAGCTCTAATGTAAACCATAGAATTAGTTAATAATTATGGTACATTACTTATACTATATTGCAAGATGTTAATAATAGAGAAACTGGGTGTATCTCTGTGTTTGTGGAGGGCAGGTGTGTATGACAACACTATATTTTTGCACAATTTTTCTGTAAACATAAAACTGATGGCTCATGCTTGTAATCTCAGCACTTTGGGAGGCTGAGGCAGGTGGATCACAAGGTCGGGAGTTTGAGACCAGCCTGGCCAACGTAGTGAAACCCTGTCTGTACTAAAAATACAAAAAATGTATAGTGCTATATGAGGAAAACTATAAAACTATGATGAAAGAAATCAAGATTTTATACAAATGGACAGTTATTCCATATTCTTGGATAGGAAGACTATATTAAGATGATTGATAGTTCTTCCCAGCTTGACCTACACATTTAACAATCCCAATAAAAATCTCAGCAATTTAGTTTATGGATATCAATAAACTGATTCTAAAGTGTACAAGAAAAGATAAGACGTAGCAAAGCCAAGGAGGCAATATTGACTACATGGCTTCAAGACTTTCTATAAATCTATGGTGATCAAGATAGTATGTCAGTCATAAAATAAACAAATACATAAATGGAACAGAATAGAGAGCCCAGAAATAGACCTACACATATATAGTCAACTGATTTTTTATTATAATATAGTCAAAAATATAAAAAATTAACCAGGTGTGGTGGCTCGTGCCTGTAGTCCCAGCTACCTGGGAGGCTGAGGCAGGAGGATCACTGGAACACAGTAGGCAGAGGTTGCAGTGAGCCGAGATCCTGCCGCTGCACTCCAGCCTGGGCAACAGAGTGAGGCTCCATCTCAAAAAAAAAAAAAAAAAAAGTATAGTCTATTAAAAGCTTTAAAAAAAAGTTATTAGAATAAATGAATTGGTATAACAGATGGGATTTTTATGTTACGGAAATAAACTTATGAATTTTATTTTAAAAACTGCCTATATAGTTTCATACATGAATCAGTTATCTTAGAGTTAATTTATGTATGATTTTGCTTGTGTAGTCTGAAGGATAAAGCACATGGAAGAAGAATGAGAGTGCCTGTCATTCAGAATGTTGTTATTGCACCTTACTCACCACTACCCTGCTACATTTTCTAAATCCTCATAAATTTCATTTGCTATATTTCATATATCTAATAGCTGATGATTACCTAACCATCATCCCTCTCTGTTTCCACTAGGAGTTCCATTATAATAGTTAAATAATGAAATATTAGAACAGGTATTAGCAATATGAAGATAAAATGGTACTTAGAATCTGATTTTTTAGAATTTCTACTTTATTTGGCATTCTAAGTATGCTTTCTCTCTAAACTACTTCAGGAATTTAAAATTATAAATTCCATAAGAATAAACAAAATGTTATAAATTATCTGTTCAACAGTTATTAACAAGATACCAAAAGAAAAATACTTGATATTGATTTGCCTCTTCCAGTAAGAAAATAAATATTCTAATATAATTCTAATGCATTACTGAGTCTTGAGATATGGTGATATCACTTATTATTCCCTTGAAGGGACTCAGAGTCTAAATTTTATAATTGTAAAAGTGGTCTGGCATGTTTGCTGCTTTGTAGATATATTAAACTTGATCGAAGTGGTCCTTAATGCAGATTAATCCCTCTTGGGCCTTATTCTGGTAATAGAAGTAGCTGCTGGTTGACATTGCATATGTGCACACAAATGGATTACTCAGTAGACAGGTAACTAACCTAGAGTTCAGAGCATTTGATATTGAATGTAGTGCTGTATTAAAATAAATGTACTGTATTTTAACTCTGTATGGTTATACACTGAATATATGTAATTAAAATAATAATTACTGTGTCTTGAGTCCTAACTATATCAGATATTTTACTCACACTTGACATATATTGTCATATTTAATATTCATGAAAATGCCATGGGGTAAATATCACTATCAGAATTTTGTGAATTAGAACTCTAAGGCTTATTTAGATTGCCCAAAAGTCCCACAGAGAGTAAGTAATAAGCAGCTGAGCAAGAATTTGAGCACAGTTTATTTGACTCAATTATTCATGTTCACAACAATTATATGCCATTAGAGCAAAGTCTATTGGAAGAGGAATATTGAAAATAAACACATATGTAGCATATTTTCACACTGCTGTATAATAAAAAAACTTCCCCAAATATCTTGATATGCAATCATCATCATTTCACTCATGTGTCTGTGGGTGAGCTGGGGTATGGCTGATTTAAGCCTCTACTGTACTAGGTTCCAAGCTGCATGGTAGATCAAGTTCTGCTTTATGTAACTCTCAATTAGACCAGACTTTATTTGAAACATGTTCTTATGGCAAAATGCAGGAGCTTAGAAAAGTAAACACAGCTGCGCAGCCATTTTAAGCAAGCTCTACATTTCATTGGCTAAAGTAGGTTACTGGCAAAACCCAATATCACTGACAAAGGAAAGTACCACTGTGGTCAACAGGGAGGTGAATATTTGCTATATCATAATAGAATTAGCATGCATGTGTGCACACAAATACATACCGCCGTCACCCAATCCCATAGCCATATATTGCATATGAGTGTCTTCTTCCTTTCTAATCAAAGATTTCTGTTATTATTTAACTAAATCCACTGAATCTTCCACTGTTTCTCTGGCATTTAGTTGGGTTCATTGAGTATGAGATTCCTGTTCCAGCAAGCATCATATTGGTAACTGCAATTCAAAGAGAGGATTCTTGCTGCTTGCTGGACTTAACTGCACAACTATATTTTTGAAGGAGAAACAACTTGTTATCACTGTTCAATGACTTAGTCTTATAATTTGGGGAAAAAAAAGTAATGGGGTGAAGATAGATTCACACTCAAGTCTGAATAACTAATATCAGAGATATAGGCCAAAAAATTTTTGGCAATTAGCAAACCTGGCTGTTTACCGCACAGTTCACAAGCATTAATATATTTGCTAATCTAGTAGAGTCTACGGAGTTTGATAATTTGATTTTTTTTAACTTTATGACTTTAGGACATAAGCCTTGTGGTTACATACCAAGATATATAGGTATTGATATATGGTATGGGGTTATTCAAACTAACAGATAAAGGTGGGGCTTTCTCAGTTTAAAGCTTTTTAGAATTGATTTTAATATGTCATGCTTCTGTGTGTCTGTAATCCCAAAATTCAGGAGGGGACGTACAATTTGAGATTACATGTTCAGGGTCACAGCATGATGAGCCATCCTCTTGCAGTGAGAGAAATATTTGCTTCATAAAATCATTGAATGGTTTTAAAAGTCACATGGCAAACAGATTTGTCTTATGCAAGTGAGAATCAATTTAGAAAAGCTGCCCGTGCCTTCTCCACTACCACATGTTCAGCCTTACAAACTTATTTCTTAGTACTCAAAACAAACATTTTGGAAGATTCTGAGATTATTTGACACATTCTCCTCATTTTGCATTGCCATCTGGATGCAGAATCCAAAGCAGCACCATTTTATCAAGAAAGCTATTCCTGGGAAACAGAAAGCTGAAGTTGAATTGAAGAATGCTCTGGTTTTAATACTTAGTCTGACTTCATCAGAATTCCAGCCGGAATTCTTTTCAGAAACCTCAGAAGTCGGTCCAAGCTTAGTCATTTTTCAGCCACATGCTAGGGTAGAGATTCAATTCATGATTTTTTTTTTCTTTTGTTATTCAAGGCAAGGAAGTTACTAAGGACACTTGCCCTGTGTCTGCCATTCACAGGGACTCTGCAAAACTATAATAAGAACATACGAAAATAGATAATGCTGGAGTGAGATTATTATATTGGTGAAGAGAGAGGACAGATTTTTGCTTAGAAAAGACTAAAAACTTGTTACTACCCGTTCTGAGAAGGTTTTAAAAAAATTAAAGTTAATACAGTTATGAAGGAGATGAAAAGTATGGACACAGCATCATCAAGGTCTGGAAGATGTGTTAGGGAGTCAGAGAGAAGCATGGCTATTCATACTTAAAGAATGTAGATTTGATCTAGTTATATGTCCTATCAACCAGCAGTTGTATACCTAAAATTTCTCATAAAGGCAATTTAGCCTGACATTGAAAATTTTTAAGAATGACTGTCATTGGTTTGTATCTCCCCTAGAAATTCTGTTGAACTTATTTTTCCTCAAGTCGAAGCTACACAATTCAGTACTCATTTTCCATTGTCCTGTACCTACCTACACAAACATACTTGCATCTATTAAGAATTGGCAGGTAGTGGTGCCCTAAAATTTCTATTGTGGTTAAATATTATTCCTTAGCCTTTTCCAACTGGTATAATGATACATTTATCAGAGTTATCTGAAACACAAAAATCCCAATGAAAAACTGACTTCTGTCCTTCATAAAAACTTGTCCAGTCTCTAAAGGCTTTTAGCCTCCACCCAAGCCCTATCCCCAATGGTAAAGGTATAGAACACTCTGTCTCATGCACACGTGGCCACATGTACAACCACACACGCACACACGGCTTAAACAATAATTAAATGATTGGAAAAGAGTGCTTTGCTTTCTCTTTCTTGGGTAATCCATGTTCAAAATAACCATTTTGTAGCTAGATCCTGTTTGTCGTTTTGTTTCCATGCTGCCCATTGTTTTCACCCATTAAAATCAACCAAATTCATCTCTGATTAATGTTTCCTTAATTGGGAGTCCCACAGTAGGATTCCAGTCTCCAGATAAGAGCCTTTAATCGTTCCAGTTATAACCGCTGGGAACCTCCTTCCTTCAAAAATAATCCTCCCATCACCATCTTCACAGCTGCAGAATGGGACTTTTCCTCTCTCTGATGCTTTGGAAAACAGTATTTCAGATATTACCAATCCTGAAGATTTAGTCATACCTGTTTTACACTAAGCTCAATGTAAAGTCCATATCTAAGTATTTCTATTTCTGCCAAAGGGATAATGAAATGGGCAAAGTTCCCTTGTCCCCCTCACAGGTCATGTGATGGGGGTGTGGCTGGCTTCTTCAGTTCCCTGCTGCTCAAACCTCTATGGGAGCATATAGATGGGCAGGCTGTGGGGCTCCAAGCCCACTGCAGTGTATAGGAGTGAATATTTACAGCTGAAGCCCCAGTGGCCATGTGTTACACGGTGCTCTTTTAGTTTGTTGTCTATAGGCAGCTTGTATTAACCAGCTCAGTTAGACCCTCTACCTTGTCGCAAGGACAGAGGGCTTTCTGTATCCCGGGTTCTTGCCTTGGGTGTACCAGAAAAATTGGATCACACATAGGCTTGGAGAATGAGTGCAAAGTTTTATTGAGTGGAAGTAGCTCTCAGCTGATGGGGGAGCCAGGAGGGAGATGGCTTTTCCCTGGCGTTGGGACTTTAGGCAGCCCCAGCTCTCCTCAGACTGCTCTGGCCAAACTCCACCTCCTCCCACCAGTCAATGGCCTGCTGGCATGCCGGTGTCTGTCTGTGTGCTGTTCTGTAGGCAAGCTCCCCTCCACATTCTCTTGATGTCCAGCCGCTGTCTTCTTCCACTGATGTGATCCTCTAACCATCTAGTAGCTTCTGTCTCTGCCTTGCTAGGGTCTTGGGTTTTTATAGGCCCAGGATGAGGACATGGCAGGACAGGGTGGTCTTGGAAAATGCAACATTTGGGCTCAAAGGCAGAAGTGCCTCTCCTTACCTAGGTCCATGGGGGTAGAGCCCTAGCCAGGGACCATGCCCTCCTCTACCCAGAACTTCCCTTCCCCTCTTCTGTATCATTTAAAGGGACCACGCTCTTCCCTTCCCAGCACTCCTGTATCAATGACCTTGCCTTTACTTAACATACACATGTAAGCTACAAGACTTACATACAGTGACTTATTGAGCCATTAAATGCTGCCTTCCCATGGAATGAAGTCCCTCTCCCTGGTGTTTCCTGTCAAGGCTTTTTCTTTTTTACTCCAGATACCACTGGAAGCAATGGGATTGATAGAATGGAAGTAGTAGCAAAGAGCCCCCTGAAATTTGAAGGAAAGAACCTGCAGTACCGCCTTACATGCTATGGAACCTAAGAAAAGACAGTTTACAACCTCTTGCATTTAAAGAGGATAGCAGTAATACCTTATTTTTTAAAATTTATTTTTTGTTTCAATAGGTTTTGGGGGAACAGGTGGTGTTTGGCTACATGAATAAGTTATTTAGTGGTGATTTCTGAGATTTTGCTGCACCCCTCACCCAAGCAGTGTATACTGTACACAATGTGTAGTCTTTTCTCTCACCCCCTCCCATCCTTTCCCCCGAGTCTCCAAAGTCCATTGTATCATTATGATTCTAATGTACAACTTGCTTTCACAATGAACTAGTCTGTGTAAAAGCTTACTGTTGTAAAGTTGCATTGAGAAAGTTTCATATATTAAATGTAAGATAAAATGATTTTGTTTTAAAATTCACCCCTTATTAGTTATAGCTTTCATAGCAGTGTAAATGCAGTCTTAATATAAATTAGAAAATATGAATTATAGCTCTGCAAAGATGATTAAAATCATTGTTTCCATTTGCTTCTACCTAGGCCCTGTTGTAGCATGAGGAATCCCACCTGCCTCATTATCTCCTACTTGAACAGATGGATCATAAAAGTGTGGGCTCACCAAGGAAAATTTAGTCTCATCCCATTACATCTGATGGCCATGGGAGAGATACAAAATAGACATTATCCAATTCATAGACTTATAACCATCCAAGAGAATGGTTCTGTAGGCCTTGCTGGCCAGCTGGGTTTATCCTCGGCTTTCTCCCAGTAATTATAGTAATTGCTGCCCATCAGATATTACACATATGTGGGCACTAAGAAGTGTATCACTTATGGGTGCAAAAAGGAGGTAGATCTCTGATGAAAAAAAATGTTCCTTACAGTTTCTGTAAGTCTTAGTTTGAAAAAATGGTCACTCTCAGACGTTAGGCATACTCATTGCTCCAGGGATTTCATGTTTTACAATTTAAGAAACATCATACACATGTGAAAACATATATCTGCAAGTATGGAAAATTCATTGTGATGCAAAATGATTTAAAATAAAAATATATCAATGAAGGCAGGATGAGTAAACTATGGTACGTATATACAATGAAATACCTAGAGGTCCATTAATAATGAGCACAAGTGAAGTTATTGGCCTATAAATTTTTCCATGAAATATATCTGACTGAAAAAGCACATTGCATAATTTGTTATGATCCAGCTAATACAAAAGTCTAACTCATATGTAGATATCTAGAACTCACCAAAATGTTAATGATAAAAAATTTTAGTGACTTGATCTACTTACTCTCTGTAGTTTTCAGTATATTTACATTATTTAAAAGGAGTATGCATATTTACCAAAAATGATAAACCTCATTTTAACATCATGCCAAACTACATATGTCTAAGTGAAGAAAACAGACACAGCCCATTCATTCAACATGTTTATGTGCTTGATATGTCATAAAGGCCAGTTTCTCTTTTTTCTCCCTCAAATCTGTCAAGGAACAATGTAGTAGAATAAGATAATGGTAAACATGTGAAATAGGATAAACAATAAACTATTGGAAATATCACATATATAGATATTATGGAAATACTGAGTTGCTTTAACAAGTTTCTAAAATCTTAATTTGCTACCACTTGCTAACTGGTAACACATAGGGTATAGTTCAGCACATGTCTGTAGACTACACTTTTGAGTACCACTGTTTTAGAAATAATGCCACATATCTACAACTATCTGATCTTTGACAAACCTGACAAAAACAAGAAATAGGGAAAGGATTCCCTATTTAATAAATGGTGCTGGGAAAACTGGCTAGCCATATGTAGAAAGCTGAAACTGGATCCCTTGCTTACACCTTATACTAAAATTAATTCAAGACGGATTAAAGATTTAAATGTTAGACCTAAAACCATAAAAACCCTAGAAGAAAACCTAGGCAATACCATTCAGGACATAGGCATGGGCAAGGACTTCATGACAAAAACACCAAAAGCAATGGCAGCAAAAGCCAAAATTGACAAATGGGATCTCATTAAACTAAAGAGCTTCTGCACAGCAAAAGAAACTACCATCAGAGTGAACAGGCAACTTACAGAATGGGAGAATATTTTTGCAATCTACTCATCTGATGAAGGGCTAATATCCAGAATCTACAAAGAACTCAAACAAATTTACAAGAAAAAAACAACCCCATCAACAAGTGGGTGAACGATATGAACGGACACTTCTCAAAAGAAGACATTTATGCAGCCAAAAAACACGTGAAAAAAATGCTTATCATCACTGGCCATCAGATAAATGCAAATCAAAACCACAACGAGATACCATCTCACACCAGTTAGAATGGCAATCACTAAAAAGTCAGGAAACAACAGGTGCTGGAGAGGATGTGGAGAAATAGAAACACTTTTACACTGTTGGTGGGACTGTAAACTAGTTCAACTATTGTGGAAGTCAGTGTGGCAATCCCGCAGGGATCTAGAACTAGAAATACCATTTGACCCAGCCATCCCATTACTGGGTATATACCCAAAGGATTCTAAATCATGCTGCTATAAAGACACATGCACATGTATGTTTATTGTGGCACTATTCACCATAGGAAAGACTTGGAACCAACCCAAATGTCCAACAATGATAGACTGGATTAAGAAAACGTGGCACATATACACCATGGAATACTATGCAGCCATAAAAAATGATGAGTTCACATCCTTTGTAGGGACATGGATGAAGCTGGAAACCATCATTCTCAGCAAACTATCACAAGGACAAAAAACCAAACACCACATGTTCTCTCTCATTGAACAATGAGAACACATGGACACAGGAAGCGGAACATCACACACTGGGGCCTGTTGTGGGGTGGGGGTTGGGAGAGGGATAGCATTAGGAGATATACCTAATGTTAAATGACGAGTTAATGGGTGCAGCACACCAACATGGCACATGTATATATATGTAACAAACCTGCACGTTGTGCACATGTACCCTAAAACTTAAAATATAATAATAATAATAATAAAAAGAATTAAAGCATGATTTTTTTAAAGGATATCTAGTTAAAATGCTGAGGTTAAAAAAAATCTTAGTGGCTTAAACTAATAAAGCATTCTTACTGAATCATTCAAGGCTGTGATCCTCTATCTTACAGCTTAAGCTGCTTTGGATACTTGGCCTCCTCATCCTCATGACACAGGAAGAGAGATGTGGAGGAATACTACTTCTCTGCCTCTTACAGTAAGGAATGCAGATCATTATTGTTGTTAGTGCATTAACCAGAATTGATTATATGATTCCAATCTAAGTATAATTAAAAGTGAGAAGCACAGGAAAGAATATGGATATTTGGTGATCACTAAATTTATGGAGGAGTCATTAATCTGTTACCTGACACGATCAAGATTGGAAAGCTGATGAGGGTATTGAGATTAAAACTTGAATTTTTTAAATTCAAAATTTAGTATATATTTGTATCAATCAGGGTGTATTAGGTTATGCTGAATTAAGAAACTGACCTTTAAATCTCAGAAACTTAATACATAAAAATGTATGGCACACTCCATTTTGCGACAGGGCCATCTTGGTTTGGGTTTTCCATGATGACAAGGACAAGAGAGCAGAGTGCCTGGAGAAGTTACACCTATCTTCTATATTTTGTCTTAGATGTGATACTTGCCACTGCCTCCCAGAGGTAATTGGCAAGACCTGGTCACATAGACTCACAACTTCAGGGGGCTGGGCATTGAGGAAAAGCACATGTATGTCTCATGAACAGTATATGGATACATGTACACTGAATAATGTTCAACTAAAACTGACTCAATAATTACAGTTTGGATATTTCTACCTTTTCAGGTGCAGCTATATGGAATGGTTGGATGAAATTTGCAAATTTTCTACTTCATCCCTTATATTTGATTCCTGAAACTAGGTGACTGTCAACCAACAGCCAATCAACCATTTTCCCTAAATTGTTCAATCCTGTAGAAAAAAATAAAATCAGTCAAAACTATTAGGTTATTTAAAAGACAGATAGACAAATGTGTCCATCTAAAATCTATATAGATATCTTTATATTTCCATAGGTTTCTGGGGAACAGGTGGTTTTTGGTTACATGAGTAAGTTCTTTAGTGGTGATTTCTGAGATTTTGGTACAGCAATCACCTGAGCAGTGTATACTTTACCCAATTTGTAGTCTTTTATCCCTCACCTCCCTCCAACTATACACCCAAGGCCCAAAAGTCCATTGTATCATTTTTATCCATTTGCATCCTCATAACGTAGTTCCCACTTATGAGTGAGAACATAAAACATTTGGTTTTCCATTCCTGAGTCAATTTACTCATAATAATGGTCTCCAATTCCATCCAGATTGCTGCAAATGCCTTTATTTTGTTCCTTTTTATTGCCAAATGGTATTCTATTGTGTATATATTCCAAAATTTCTTTATCTACTCATTGATTGCTGGGAATTTTGAGTGGTTCCATATTTTTGCAATTGCGAATTGTGCTGCTATAAACATGCATGTGCAAGTGTCTTTTTCATATAACAACTTCTTTTCCTCATGGTAAATTCCCAGTAATGGGATTGCTGGATCAAATGGTAGTTCTACTTTTAGTTCTTTAAGGAATCTCTACACTGTTTTCCATAGTGGTTGTACTAGTTTACATCCCCACCAGCAATGTAAAAGTGTTCCCTTTTCATGCATGCCCACCAACATCTTTTTTTAATTTTTTTTTATCATGGCCATTCTTGCAGAAGTAAGGTGGTATCGCATTGTGGTTTTGATTTGCATTTCTCTGATCATTAGTGATGTTGAGCATTCTTTCATATGTTTGTTGGCCATTTGGATATCTTCTTTTAAGAATTGTCTAGTAATGTCCTTAGCCCATATTTTGATGGCATTGTTTTATTCTCACTAATTTGTGTAAGTTCCTTGCAGATTGTGGATATTAGTCTTTGTCAAATGTAGATTGTGAAGATGTTCTCCTGCTCTATGGTTTTTCTGTTTACTCTGCTGATTGTTTCTTTTGCTGTGCATGAACTTTTTAGTTAAATTAAGTCCCACCTATTTATCATTGTTTTTGTTGCATTTGCTTTTGGGTTCTTAGTCATGAAGTCTTTGCCTAAGCCAATGTCTACAAGGGTTTTTCTGATGTTACCTTCTAGAATTTTTGTGGTTTCAGGTCTTATATTTAAGTCTTTGATTCATCTTGAGTTGATTTTTGTATAAGGTGAGAAATGAGGATTCAGTTTCATCCTTCTACATATGACTTGTCAACTATCCCAGCATAATTTGCTGAATAGGGTGTCCTTTCACCACTTATGTTTTTGTTTGCTTTGTAAAAGATCAAGTGGCTGTAAGTATTTGGCTTTATTTATGTGTTCTCTATTCTGTTCCATTTGTCTATGTGCCTATTTTGATACCAGTACCAAGATGTTTTTGTGACTATGGACTTACAGTATAGTTTGAAGTCAGGTAATGTGATGCCTCCAGATTTGTTCCTTTTGCTTAAGTCTTGCTTTCCCTATGCAGGATCTTTTTTAGTTCCATATGAATTTTAGGATTGCCTTTTCCAGTTCTGTGAAGAATAATGGTGGTATTTTGCTGGGAATTGCAATGAATTTGTAGATTGCTTTTGGCAGTATGGTCATTTTCACTACATTGATCCCATGAACATGGGATGTGTTTCCATTTGTTTGTATCATCTACAATTTATTTCAGTAGTGTTTTGTAGCTTTTCTTGTATGGGTCTTTCACGTCCTTGGTTAGGTATATTCCTAAGTATTTATTTTTTGGCAGTTATTGTAAAATGGGTTGAGATTTTTACTTCTCAGCTTGGTTGCTTTAGGTTTCTAGCAGAGTTACTGATTTGTGTGCATTAATTTTGTATCCTGAAACTTTGCTGAATTCATTTATCAGTTCTAGGAGCTATTTGGAGGTGTCTTTAGGGTTTTCTAGGTATAACAATCATATCATCAGCAAACAGCATCACTTTGACTTCCTCTTTACTGATTTGGATGGTTTATGTCATTCTCTTGTCTGATTATTCTGGTTAGGACTTCCAGTACTATGTTGAATAGAAATGCTGAGAGTGGGCATCCTTTTCTTATTCTAGTTCTCAGAGAGAATGCTTTCAATTTTTCCTCATTCAGTATTATATTGGCTATGGGTTTGTCATAGATGGATTTTATTACATTAAGGTGTGTCTCTTCTATGTTGATTTTGCTGAGATTTTAATCATAAAGGATTCTAGATTCTGTCAAATGCTTTTTGTGCATCAATTGAGATGGTCATATGAATTTTGTTTTTAATTCTGTTTATGTGAACTATCACATGTATTGACTTGTGCATGCGAAACCATCCCTGTATCCTTGGTATGAAACCCACTTGATCATGGTGGATTATCTTTTTGATATGCTGTTGGATTCAGTTAGCTAGTATTTTCTTAGGGATTTTTGCATCTATATTCATCAGGGATATTGGTCTGTAGTGTGTTTTGTTATGTGCTTTTCTGGTTTTGGTTTTAGGGTGATGCTGGCTTCATAGAATGATTTAGGGAGGATTCCCTCTTTATCTTCTGAAATAATGTCAATGGGATTCGTACCAATTCTCTTTTGAACGTCTGATAGAATTCAGCTGTGAATTCATCTGGTCCTGAACATTTTTTTGTTGGCAATTTTGTTATTACCATTTTAATCTCACTGCTTGTTATTGGTCTGTTCTCCCTGGTTTAAGCTGGAGGGTTGTATATTTTCAGGAATATATCCATCTTCTCTAGGTTTTCTAGATTATGTTTAAAGGAGATCATAGTAGCCTTGAATGATCTTTTGTATTTCTGTGATGTTGGGTTGTAATATCTCCTGTTTAATCTCTAATTTAGCTTATCTGGATCTTCTCTCTTCTGTTCTTGGTTAATCTTGCTAATGGTCTATCAGTTTATCTTTTCAAAGAACCAGCTTTCTGTTTCATTTATCTTTTGTTTTTGTTGTTGTTTCAATGTCATTTCATTCTGCTCTGATCTTGGTTCTTTCTTTTCTTCTACTGGGCTTGGGTTTTGTTTGTTCTTGTTTCTCTAATTCCTTGAAGTGTGACCTAAGGTTGTCTATTTGTGCTCTTTCAGACTTTTTGATGTAGGCATTTAAGGCTATGAACTTTCCTCTTATCATGGCCTTTGCTGTATCCCAGAGGTTTTAATAGATTGTATCACTGTTATTGTTCAGTTCAAAGAATTTTTCTATTTCCATCTTGATTCCATTGTTAACCCAGTGATTCTTCAGGATTGGGTTATTTAATTTCCATGTATTTGCATGGTTTTAAAGGTTCCTTGTGGAGTTGATTTCCAACTTTATTCTACTGTGATTGGAGAGAGTACTTGATATAATTTCAATTTTCTTAAATGTATTGAGACTTGTTTCATGGCCTACCCTATACCCTATGGTCTACCTTGGAGAAAGTTTCATGCACTGATGAACACAATGTATATTCTGCAGTTGTTGAGTAGAATGTTTTGTTAATATCTGTTAAGTCCATTTGTTTTAGGGTAGAGTTTAAATTCATTGTTTCTCTGTTGACTTTCTGTCTTGATGACCTGTCTAGTGCTGTCAGTGGAGTATTGGAGTCCCCCACTATTATTGTTTTGCTGTCTATCTCATTTCATTTCTTAGATCTAGTAATAATTGTTTTATAAAATTGGGAGGTCCAGTGTTAGGTGTTTATATATTTAGGATTGAGGTACTTTGGACAAGGCCTTTTATCATTGTATAATGTCCTCTTTTGTCTTTTTTAACTACTGTTGCTTTAAAGTTTGTTTTGTCTCATTTAAGAATAGCTACTCCTGCTTGCTCTTGATGTCCATTTGCATGAAATGTCTTTTTCCACCACTTTACCTTAATTGTATGTGAGTCCTTATATGTTAGGTGAGTTTCTTGAAGGCAGCAAATACTTGGTTGGTGAATTCTTATCCATTCTGCCATTTCATATCTTTTAAGGGGAGGATTTAGGCTATTTACATTCAATGTTACTATTGAGATGTGAGGTACCATTCTATTCACTGTGCTGCTTATTGCCTGAATACCTTGTTTTTGGGGTTGCGTGTGTGTGTGTGTGTGTGCTGTTGTTTTATAGGTCTTCTGAGATGTATGCTTTAAGGAGTATTTCAAGGATTTATTTCAAAACTTAGAGCTCCTTTTAGCAGCTGTTATAGTGCTGGTTTGGTAGTGGCATCTTCCCTCAGCATTTGTTTGTCTGAAAATGACTGTATCTTTCCTTCATTTATGAAGGTTAGTTTCCCTGAATACAAAGATCTGGGCTCATCATTATTTTGTTTAAGGAGGCTGAATATAGGGCCCAATCCCTTCTAGTTTGCAGGGTTTCTGCTGAAAAATCTGCAGTTAATCTGATAGATTTTCCCTTATAGGTTACCTGGTGATTTTGCCTCATGTCTCTTAATATTTCTTCCTTTGTCTTGAGTTTAGATAACCCAATAACTATGTGCCTAGGCAATGATCTTTTTGTGATGAATTTACCAGGTGTTATTTGAGCTTCTTGTATTTGGATGTCTAGATCTCTAGCAAGTCCAGGAAAGTTTTTTCTTTATTATTTTCCCAGGTAGGCTTTCCAAACTTTTAGATTTCTCTTCTTTCTCAGGAATGCCAATTATTCTTAGGTTTGGTCATTTAACATAATCTCAAACTTCATGGAGGCTTTATAATTTTCTTATTCTTTTTTGTCTTTGTTGGATTGAGTTAATTCAAAAATCTTGTCTTCAAGCTCTGATGTTTCTTCTGCTTGTTTGATTCTGTGGCTGAGACATTTTAGTGCATTTTGCATTGCTATAAGTTTGTCCTTGATTTCCAGAAGTTCTGATTGTTTTTCATTTATGCTATCTATCACTGAAGATTTCTTCCTTCATATTTTGTGATATGGTTTGGCTGTGTCCTCACCCAAATCGCAACTTGAATTGTATCTCCCAGAATTCTCATGTGTTGTGGGAGTGACTGAGGGGTAGGTAATTGAATCATGCGGGCCGATCTTTCCAGATCTCTTCTCATGATAATGAATAAGTCTCATGAGATCTGATGGATTTATCATGGGTTTCCACTTTTGCTTCTTCCTGATTTTCTCTTGCCGCCACAACATAAGAAGTGCCCTTCACCTCCAGCCATGATTTTGAGGCCTCCCCAGTCATGTGGAAATGTAAGTCAAATTAAACCTCTTTTTGTTCCCAGTTTTGCGTATGTCTCTATCAGCAGCGTGAAAATGGACTAATACAGTACATTGGTACCAGTAGAGTAGGGCATTGCTGAAGATACCCGATAATATGGAAGCGACTTTGGAACTGGGTAACAGGCAGAGGTTGCAACAGTTTGGAGGGCTCAGAAGAAGACAGGAAAATGTGGGAAAGTTTGGAACCTCCTAGAGACTTGTTGAATGGCTTTGACCAAAATGCTGATAGTGATATGAACACTAAGGTCCAAGCTGAGGTGATCTTAGATGGAGATGAGGAACTTGTTGGGAACTGGAGCAAAGTTAACTCTTGTTATGTTTTAGCAAAGAAAATGGGGGAAATTTGCCCCTGCTCTAGAGATCTGTGGAACTTTGAACTTGAGAGAGATGATTTAGGGTATCTGGTAGAAGAAATTTCTAAGCAGCAAAGCATTCAAAATGTGACTTGTGTGGTCTTAAAAGCATTCTGTTTTAAAAGGGAAACACAGAATAAAAGTTCAGAAATTTGCAGCCTGACAATGCCACAGAAAAGGAAAACCCATTTTTTTGAGGAGAAATTCAAGCCGGCTGCAGATATTTGCATAAGTAGCATGGAGCCTAATGTTAATCACCAAGACCATGGGGAAAATGTCTACAGGCCATGTCAGAGACCTTCACGGCAGCCCCTCCCATCACAGGCCAAGAGGCCAAGGAGGAAAATGTGGTTCCATGGGTCAGGCTGAGGGTCCCGGTGCTGTTTTCAGTCTAGGGACTTGGTGTCCTGGGTCCCAGCCACTCCAGCAGTGGTTGAAAGGAGCCAACGCAGAGCTCAGGTTGTGGCTTCAGAGGGTGCAAGCCCCAAGCCTTGACAGTTTCCACATGGTGTTGAGCCTATGGGAAACTGTGAGTCAAGAATTGAGGTTTAGGAACCTCCACCTAGCTTTCAGAAGATGCATGGAAACATTTGGATGCCCAGGCAAAAGTTTGCTTCAGGGGCAGGGACTTCATGGAGAACCTCTGCTAGGGCAGTGCAGAAGGAAAATGTGGGATCAGAGCCCCATACAGAGTCCCTACTGGGGCACTGCCTAGTGGCGCTGTGAGAAGAGGACCACCGTCCTCCAGAACCCAGAACAGTAGATCCACCAACAGTTTGCACCATGCACCTAGAAAAGACACAGACACTCAATGCCAGCCTGTGAAAGCAGCCAGGAGGTAGGCTGTACCCTGTCAAGTCACAGAGGCAGAGCTGCCCAAGGCCATGGGAAGACACCTTTTGCATCAGTGTGACCTGGATGTGAGACCTGGAGTCAAATAAAATCATTTTGGAACTTTAACATTTGACTGCACCATTGGATTTTGGACTTGCCTGGGCCTTGTAACCCGTTTATTTTGGCCAATTATTCTCACTTGGAACGGCTGTATTTACCCAATACTTATATCCCCATTGTATCTAAGAAGTAACTAGCTTGCACGTGATCTCAGCTCACTGCAAGCTCCACCTCCTGGGTTCACACCATTCTCCCGCCTCAGCCTCCCGAGTAGCTGGGACTACAGGCGCCCGCTACCACGTCCGGCCTTTTTTTTTTTTTTTAGTAGAGACAGGGTTTCACCGTGTTAGCCAGGATGGTTTCAATCTCCTGACCTCGTGAGCTGCCTGCCTTGGCCTCCCAAAGTGCTGGGATTACAGGCATGAGCCACTGTGCCCAGCCACTAGCTTGCTTTTGATTGTGCAGGCTTATAGGTGGAAAGGATTGTCTTGTCTTACATGAGACTTTGGACTGTGGACTTTTGGGTTAATACTGAAATGAGTTAAGACTTTGGGGGGACTGTTGGGAAAGCATGATTGGTTTTGAAATTGGAGGACATGAGATTTGGAGGGACTAGTGGTAGAGTGATTGGTTTGGCTATGTCCCCACCCAAATCTCAAGTTGGATTGTATCTCGCAGGATTCCCATGTGTTGTGGGAGGCACCCGGGGAGATAAAATTGAATCATGGGGACCATTCTTTCCCATGCTATTCTTATGACGGTGAATAAGTCTCATGAGATCTGGTGGGTTTATCAGGGGTTTCCATTTTGCTTCTTCTTCATTTTCTCTTGCCACCACCATATAAGAAGCGCCTTTCACCTCCTGCCATGATTCTGAGGGCTCATCAGCCATGTGAAACTGTTAAGTCCAGTTAAACCTCTTTTTGTTCCCAGTTTTGGGTATGTGTTTTTCAGCCGTGTAAACACAGACTAATGCATCTTTATAATTTTTTTTATTTCATTAAATTGGACTTGACCTTTCTCTGGTGCCTCCTTGATTAGCTTAATAATCAATCTTCTGAATTCTTTTTCTGGAAAATCAGGGATTTCTTCTTGGTTTGGAGCCATTGCTCATGAGATAGTGTGGCTTATTGATGGTGTTAAAGAAATCCATTTTGTCATATTACCAGAATTATTTTTCTGGATTCTCCTCCTTTGAGTAGGCTATGTCAGAGGGAAGATCTCAGGCTAAAGGTCTGCTGTTCAGATTATTTTCTCCCTTGGGGTGATCCCTTAATGTAGTACTCTCTCCATTTTCCTAGGGATGGGGCTTCCTGAGAGCCGGGCTGTGGTGATTGTTATTTTTCTTCTGGATCTAGCCATCCAGGGGGCTACTGGATTCTGGGCTGGTTTTTGTGGGGGGTGTCCACACAAAGTCCTATGATGTGAACTGTGTTGCAGTCTCTCAGCCATGTATAGCAGCACCTGCTTCAGTGGAGGTGCAAAAAGAGTGAAATGGACTTTGTGAGGGTCCTTAGTTGTATGATTGTTGTTTATTGCACTAGTTTTGTGCTGGTTTGCCTCCTGCAAAGAGGAGATGCTTTCAAGAGAGCATCAGCTGTGGTAATGTAGGATCAGGTAGTGGGTGGAGCCCTAGAACTCCCAAGAGAAATGACCTTTGACTTCAGTCAGCAGGGCAGATAGAAAAAGACCATCAGGTGGGGGCAGGTTTAGGCGTGTCTGAGGTCAGATTCTCCTTGGGCAGGGCTTGCTGTGGCTGCTGTCAGGGCTGGGGTGTCCTTCCCAGGTCATTGCAGTTATATTCCCAGGAGGATTCTGGCTGTCTCTGCTGTGTCATGCAGGTTTCCAGGGAAATTGGGGAAGCCGGCAGATACAGGCCTCACCCAACTCCCATGCAACCCAAAAGGCTGGTCTCACTCCCACTGTGCCCCACCCCAACAGCACGGAGTTTGTTTCCAGGCAATGGGCGAGTAGGGCTGAGAACTTGCCCCAGGCTAACAGCCTCCCAGTTGAAAAAGGGAGCGGGGCTTCCAGGTTTCACGCCTCCCTGCCTGCCCACATCTGTACTCTGGAGTCACCTCCTCCCCCAAGTTCTGTCCAAGAAACTTTATGTTCAGTTAGAATTGTTACAAAGTTCAGCTGGAGGTTTCCTTCTCCATGTGATCTTTTCCCAGTTCCTCTGGCAGTCCTCCCCAAAGAACTCTGTGAGACAATGTCAGAAATGTCTTTTGTAGGGACCGAAAGTGCCCACAGGATTCTTCCTGCTGTTTCCTCTACTCCTGAATTTTGCTTGGCTCTCTAAGTTATCTCAGCTCCAGGTAAGGTCAGATCCTTCTACTGTAACCTGGACCTTCAGACTCCCCAGTGAGGGTGTGTGTCTGGGGGCAGATGATCCCCCTTTTACACTTTCACACTTCGGGCTCTCACAGTATTTGGGCTGTCTCCAGGGTCCTGTAGGAGCAATCCATTTCCTTCAAAGGATCTGTAGATTCTCTCGGCTTTCTTGGTGTGTTCCTACAGTAGTTCTTGGAGCAAAATTTCACAGTGTGAGTCTCCACACGCTGCTCTGTCTGAGTGGGAGCTGCAATTTAGTCCTGCCTCCTATCTAGCACATTCCTGATATCATTTATCTTACATTCTTTAGGTTTCTAACGATAAAAAGAGAAATAATGACATGCCTAACTATAGTTCTTTTTTTCTATAAACTGAAAATGGATATATATTTTGTTGGCTTTAACATGACCTAGAAAATATGTGTAGGGCACTTACTTGTCAGAAACCCCTTTATTTGAATCAGATTGTACATGAGACTTAATCCTTAGAGAATCCCCTGACAAGATTACTCAAAGAAGTATATTTAATTAACCGAAGAAAAAAGAGAGCCATCTGTCTTAGCTCATCTAGACATCTTGAAGTATGAAGCCACAGGAAGGACTATGTATTTCTTCAGACAAATATTAGCTCAGGAGTACAATACTCAAAGCCATATGCTTGATTTAGAGTACAGTAATCACACAGGACTATCTCTCACTCTGAATATTCATATTCCATCAAAAATATGAGTTCAAAAATAACAGGAAGCTGATGTAGGAAAATGATACCTACAGGTATACATGTGACATCAGATCACAAAACTTGTCAAGACCTTACAAAAGCGTGTGATGGTTTGCAATCCTCTGCTTATCAAAATTCTGTGTCTGTGGTGCCCTCCATCTGTCTTGGCAGGTATGAAGATAAAATTATCAGTTCTTTAGCAGCATATGTTTTACTTCTCAGATGTTTGTTTATGGGAAAAATTAATGTAGCATGCAACTTGCAATTAGTTTTTACACTGTTAATGACAGGTTCCCATAAAATGCCTTGCATTGAAATATGGAAACTGATGGCATTAATAAGGTTTGTAGATGCTCATTCTCAGGGCTGCAAAAAGAGGCCGAATCAATAGAGTTTACCTACAAAAATTGAGCCATTTGACAAGATTCCCAAGAATTTTGCAATTGGCCACCTGTTTTGTAACTTGAATATTAAGGAGTAATTTATGGCAAACATCTTTGATACAATTTGGCCATGGTGGTCACAGAGTGAGCAAAATAGTTACTTTTACTGATTTATGTGTATATACAATTATGGGGAGAGCTTCAGTTCATATTATATTGCAAAATTGCTCTATACTTGGTCTGAAAGATACATATATGAGTAAGGCATGGTCCCTGTTCTCCAGGACACTAGTTATAACAATGACTCCTACACAAGTTCTAATTCATCAACTTGAGTTAGATATAGGCACCTGCATTTTTTTTAATAGAGATGAGGTCTCACTCTATTGCCCAGGATGGCCTTGAACTCCTGGGCTCAAGCAAGCTTCCTGCCTTAGCCTCCCAAAGTGCTGGGATTACAAGCATGAAGCACTGTGCCTGGTGGGACCTGCATTTTTTTTTTTTAGTCCTCATATGTGTTGTAACTGTTAGCTAAAAAATGAGAAAGCTTATTTATCTAATTCCATTTTGATTCTTTAAATGTACTATTATCTCCACCTGAAGTGATTCCCTCCAGTTTTTCACAGCCTATACAACTTAAAAAATCAACCTATGTAACATTTATCATGACTTCTCAGATCACAATTCCTAACATTTTCTGATCATCATTTTGTTCTCTAATTGGGGAAGATATATATAGAAGTAATTAGTGCTGAATACAGGAGTAATTGTACTATAATAAAGTCATAAAATTCAGTGAGAATACAAAAGTTGGGTGTATTATGACTTGCAAGTAATGTTAATGGGCATCTCAACAGAGTGAAGACTATCCAGACTTTGAGAGTTGGTGTAGATATTCTCAATTTCCTTTCCGTGTCTAAGTACTACACTTCTGTTCCTTCTCCATGTCTGGAAGCCTGACTGCATCTTTAAGGGTCTTTTCAATTCCAGATTCTGGTTGAAGTTAACTGATTGGGAACATTGGCATGAGATAAGACAGAGGAGGAAAGGACTTACTATTTATTCTTTCCCTGTCACACCATGGATTGATGACTAGTCCTACTATAGGTCATAGCTGCTCTCCTACACTTGTGGTTTCCCTGGGAATCTAGCCAGTACTACCTCTTTCATCATTTTAATATTAATATTCACCTTTTTAAAAATTATAATTCAATGAATTATAATATATTCACAGTTATACACCCATCACCACTCTCTAATCACGGAACATTTTTATCATCCTCAAGAGAGTCTCATATTTCTCAGTAGTCACTCCTCATTCTCTCTTGCCCCTATCCTCTTTCAACCATTAATCTACTTTATTTATTTATTTATTTATTTATTTATTTATTTATTTATTTGAGAAGGAGTCTCACTCTGTTGCCCAGGCTGCAGTGCAGTGGTGTGATCTTGGCTCACTGCAACCTCCGCCTCCCAGGTTTAAGCAATTTTCCTGTTTCAGCCTCCCGAGTAGCTAGGATTACAGGTGTGTACCACTATGCCTGGCTAATTTTTGTATTTTTAGTAGAGACGGGGTTTTCCCATGTTGGCCAGGCTGGTCTCGAACTCCTGACCTCATGTGATCCACCCGCCCTGGCCTCCCAATGTGCTGAGATTACAGGCCTGAGCCACTGCACCCGGCTCTACTTTATGTTTTTATACATTTTCTATTCTAGACATGTCATATAAATAAAACCATGTAGTATATGGCCTTTTGTGTCTGGCTTCTTTCACTGTGCATACATTTCTTAAGGTTCATTCATATTGTAGCCTGAATCAATATTCTTTTTTATGTCTGAATGATATTCCATTTTATGGCTATACCATATATTGTTTAACCATTCAGCAGTTGACAAACATTTGCACTGTTTCCACATTTTGGCTATTATGAGTAATGCTCCTATAAACATTCATGTACAAGTTTTTGTGTGGAAATATGTTTTAAATTCTTTGTTATGTACCCAGCAGTAGAAATCCTCAGTCATAGAGTGAGTTTAATCTTGTGAACAATTATCAGACTGTTTTATAAAGGGGCTTCATCATTTTACATATTCACTAGCAAAAGATTCCAGTTTCTCTTCACTCCTCCCAGGATTTGATATTATCTGTCTTTTGATCCTAGTGTGAGTAAAGTGGTATATATCATTGTGGGTTTGACCACAATATGTATTTCCCTATTGATTAATAACATTGGGCATCTTTTTATGAGCTTATTGGCCATCTGTATATCTTCTTTATAGAAATATCTATTATATCCATTTTAAATTAGGTTGTTTGTTTTTTTATTGTTGAGTTGTGAGTTCTTTAATATACTGTAGATATTAGATTCTTATTGGGTAAATTATTTGTAAATATTCCTACTATTCTCGGACTTACATTTTCACTTTTTAATAGTGTCTTTGAAGAACAAAATTTTTATCCTGATAAAGTCAAATTTATCTTTTTCTTTGGTGTTTTTGTGTGTGTGTCAATCTAGGAAATAATTACATAATCCATGTTAAGATTTATATCTATATGTTCTAAGAGTATTATTATTTTAGCTCTTAAATGCAGTTCTTTGATCAATTCTGAGTTAAATTTTGTGCGTGTTGTGAGGTAGGATGATTTTGCATTTGGATATCCAGTTGTCCCAGCATTATTTGCTAAAAAAGAGGGTTCCTTTCCCATTTACTTGTCTTGGAAAACTTTTTGAAAATAAATTTACGAAAAACTTGAGTTTATTTCTGGACTTTCGATTCTATTCTTTTTGGTCTATATGTCTATCTTTATGTCACTACCACACTGTTTTGAAAAGAGTAGTTTCGAGGTAAGTCTTAAAATTGAAAAGGATCAGCTTGCAAATTTCTACAAAATTTAGATTTGCAGCTTGCAAATTTCTACAAAAAAGGCAGTTAGGATTTTGATGGGATTGAACTGAATGCATACATTAATTTAAATAACAACCATACAAGCCAGAAGAGGCTGGATGCATACAATAATTATTTTAGCCTTCATACAGGAAAAAAAAAAAAATGCCAGCAAAGAATTTCATGTTCTGCCAAACTACGCTTCAGCTAAGCTTCATATACAAAGGAGTAATAAAGTAAAGTATTTTCCAGACAAGGATACACTAAGGGAATCTGTCACCACCAGATTGACCTTACAGGAAGTGCACAAAGGAGTTCTAAACATTGAAACAAAAGAACAATACTTGCTAACATAAAGGTACAAATGAATAGAAAGCTAAGAAATCCTGTAAAGCTGTTACACAATTAAAACTACAAAGTAGCTAACAAAACTATGACTGGAACAAAATCTCACATATCAATATTAACCTTGAACGTAATAGGCTTAAATGCTCCATTTAAAAGACACAGAGTGGGAAATTGGATTAAAACAGAACAAAGCCTAACCTTCTGCTGCCTTTAAGAGATCCATCACACATGTAATGACACAATAGGTTCAAAGTAAAGGGATGGAGAAAGATCATGCAAGTGGAAAACAAAAAACAGCAGGTGTTGCTGTTCTTGTGTCATATAAAACAAACTATAAATAAAGTAAAAAAAGACAGGGAAGGGCAATTATATATTGATAAAGGGTTCAATTGAACCAGAAGATTTAACTCTTCTAAATATACATGGGTTCAACTTCAGAGCACCCAGATTTCTATAACAAACATCACTAGACTTAGAAAAGAGATCAAAAGACATATAATCATAGCGGGGAATTTCAACATCCCACCATTAGCACTAGGCAGATCATCAAGACAGAAAATTAACAAGCTCTGGACTTAAATTGGACTTTTGAACAAATGGACCTAATAAACATCTGTGAAATCCTCCATCAAACAACCATAGAAAATATATTCTTCTCATCCGTGCATGGAACAGTCTCTAAAATTGACTACCTGCTAGTAATAAAGTAAATCTCAAAAAATTCAAAAAAATCAAAATTATATAAAGCATCTTCTCAGACTACTGTGGAATTAAAAAAAAATCGGTGAAAAGAGGAAATTTCAAAAACCACATAAGTATATGAAAACTAAACAACTTGCTCTGGAATGACTTTTTATAAATGGTGAAAGTAAGACAGAAATAAGAAAATTGAAATTAATGTAAATAGAGATGACATACCAAAACCCCTGGGATACAGCAAAATAAGTGTTAAGAGAAGAGTTTATAGCACTAAATGTCTACATGAAAATATAGAACACTTTCAAATTAACACCCTAATGTCACACCTAAAGGAACTCAAAAAAACAAGAAAAAAGAAAACCAAAGCTAGAAGAAGAAAAGAAATTTAAAAGATTACAGCAAGACTAAATGAAATTGAGACCAGAAACACTATAAAAAGAGGAAACAAAATTATAAGCTTAATCTTTGAAAGGATAATCAAAATTGGTAGACTGATAGCTACGTTAACCAAGAAAAAAAAACAGACAATTCAAATCAGCATAGTCAGAAATGGCAACGGTGATATTCCAACTGACACCAAAGAAATACTACAGCTACTTGGAGTCTGCTATAACCCTCTCTAAGCGTACAAACTAGAAAACCTAGAGAAAATGGATAAAATCCTGGAAATATACAACCTTTCAAGATAAAACCAGGAAGAAATTGAAATCCTGAACAGATGAGTAGTAAATGAGTAGTAAAATTGAATCAGTAATAAAAATAATCTCCCAACAAAATAAAGCCCAGAACCAGATGAATTCAGAGCCAAATTCTGTCAGAAGTACAAAGAAGAGATTTTACCAATCTTACTAAAACTATTCCAAAAGATTAAGGGGAGATTTCTCCTTAATTAAGTTTATAAAACCAGTATCATCCTGATACCAAAATATGGCAAGGAAAACAAACAAACAAAAAATAGACCAATGTTCCCGATGTGTAGAAATGCAAAAATCCTCAACAAAATTCCAGCAAACCAAATGCAACAGCACGTAAAAAGATAATTTATCAAAATCAGTTGGGCTTTATTCCTGAAAATGCAAAAGTGGTTGAACATACACAAATCAATAAAGGCGATTAACCACATAAATAGAATTAAAAACAAAAACCATATGACTATCCCAATAGATACAGAAAAAAATATTTTATACAATCTAACATCCCTTCATGATGAAAAGCCTTCAACAAACTAGGCATCAATGCAACATACCTGAACTATCTATGACAAACCCAAAGCCAACATCATACTGAGTGGGCAAAAGTTGAAAACATTTCCCGTAAGAACTGGAACAAGACAAGGATACCCACTCTCACCATTCCTATTCAGCATAGTACTGGAGTTCTTGTCAGATCAATCAGGCAAGAAAATAAACTACTAAGTTTCCTACCAAGTAGGAAAAGAGAATGTTGTGTTATCTCTGCTCACTGATGACATGATCCTATGCCTAGAAAACGCCAAAAATTCTAAAAAACTACCAGATCTGATACACAACTTTAGTAAAATTTTAGGATACAAAATCAATGTGGAAAAATAAGTAGCATTTCTCTACACTAATAATGTTCAAGCTGAGAACCAAATCAAAAACTCAATTTACAATAGCCATACACAAAGATTAAAAATCCAGCAATACATTTATCCAACGACGTGAAAGATGTGTACAAAGAGAACTACAAAACACTGAAGAAAGAAAGCATAAATGACATAAACAAATGGAAATTCATTTTCTGCTCACATATTAGAAGAATCAATATTGTTAAAATGACCATGGTGCTCTAAGCAATCTATAGATTCAACACAATTCCTATCAAATTACCAACATCGTTTTTCACAGTATCATTAAAAATTCTAAAATTCATACAGAACCAAAGAAGAGCCAGAATTGCTAAAGCATTCCCAAGCAAAAGGAACAGAGCAGGAAGCATCACATTACCCGACTTCAAACTATACTACAAGCCTGTGGTAACCAAAACAGCATGGTACTGGTATAAACATAGGAACGCAAGTCAATGTAATAGAATAGAGAACCCAGAAATCAAACCAAACATCAAACACCTACAACCAATATTCAACAAATTCAACACAGATAAACAATGGGGAAAGGACATTCTATTAAATAAATGGTGCTGGGAAAACTGGCTAGCCACATTCAGCAGAAGGTAACCAGACCCTTATATTTCAACATATACAAAAATTAAATCAAGATAGACTAAAGACTTAAGTGTAAGACTTTAAACTACAAAAACCCTAAGAAAACTCATAGGAAAACTCTTCTGGACATTGACCTACGCAAAGAATGCATGAGTAAGACTTAGAAAGCAAATGCAAACAAAAATAGACAAATGTGACTTAGTTAAAGAATTTTTGCATAGCATAAGAAACAATCAACAGAGTAAAGAGATAACTTACAGAATGGGAGAATATATTTGCAAATCTATAAGGAATTTAATCAATAAGACAAAACAACATTAAAAATCTATAAGGAATTTAATCAATAAGACAAAACAACATTAAAAATCTATAAGGAATTTAATCAATAAGACAAAACAACATTAAACAGACAATTCTCAAAAGACAACATACAAGTCGTAAAGAAACATGAAAATATGCTCAGAATCACTAATCATCAGAGATATGTGAATCAAAACCACAATGTAATACCATCTCACAACAGTCAGAATGGCTATTATTAACAAATCAGAAAATAACAGATTTTTGCCACAATGCAGAGAAAAGGGAATGTTTATACATTACTGGTGGGAATGTATATTAGTTCAACCACTATGGAAAACAGTACGGAGATTTCTTAAAGAACTAAAAGCAGAACTACCATTCAACCCAGAAATCCTACTATGGGGTGTCTACCCAAAGGAAAAGAAATTGTTTGATCAAAAAACACTCGCACTCATGCGTTTATAACAGCACTATTAACAATAGCAATCTTAGTGTCCATCAGTGGTGGATTGGATTAAGAAAATGTGATGTAGATACCAAGATATACTATCCAGTTATAAAAAATGAAATCATGTCCTTTGCAGCCACATAGATGCAGCTGGAAGTTTTTCTAAGTGAAATAACCCAGAAACAGAAAATCAAATATCACATGTTATCACTCATAAGTTGAAGTTAAACAATGGATACACATGGACATAAAGATGGAAACAGCAGACACTGGGGACTGCAAAATGAGGGAGGGAGCAAGAGGGGCGAGGGCTGAAAAACTACCCATTATGTATTATGTTTACTATTTGGGTGAAGGGTTCACTAGAATCCCAAACTACCACCATTGTGCAATATACCCATGTAACAAACCTGCACAAGTACCCCCTGAATTTATGATTTAAAAAAAATTAGGTAATACACCACCTTAAAATGAAAAATTTCAATCCATGAATTTAGGATGCTTTCCTATTTATTTAGCTCTTCAATTTCCTTCAATAGTGTTTTGTGGTTTTCAGTGTACACATTTTGCATTTTTTGGGTTAAATTTCTACCTAAGTATTATTTTTTATGTTGTACATAAAATTATTTTTAATTTCACTTTTTGATGGTCCATTGCTAATATATAGAAAAATTTTATTTGTTTATATTGATCTTGTATCTAGCAGCCTTGCTGAAATTATTTGGCTTGATAGTTGCATGTGTATTTCATACAATTTTCCATGTGTATTTCATGCCTTTTGCAAATAGAGATAATTTCACTTCTTTTCAATCTGAGTGTCTTTTGTTTCATTTTCTTGCTTGCTATATTACTCTGACTAGAAACTCAATGTCAAATAAAAATGGTAAGAGTGGACATCTTGTTCTGTTTCTGATCTTAGGGGGCAAGTTCAGTCTTTCAACATTAAATATGCCCTCATCAGGCTGAGAAAGTTTGCTTCTATTTCTGGCATGTTGAGTGTTTTGTTATGAAAAACTGTTGATTTTACCAAATCTTTTAAAGTCTCTATCGAGATAATTACGTTTTTTACTTTTATTTTATTAACATGGTATTTTACATTGATTTTTATATGTTGAACTTACCCTGAATTTCTTAAATATATCCACTTGGTTATTGTGTATAATCATTTTTATAAATTGCTGGATTCTATTTGCTAGTATTTTGTTAAAGATTTTTGTGTCTATATTCATAAAGGACATTGGTCTGTAGTTTTCTTGGTTTCTTTACCTGGTATAGGTTATTGGGTAATACTGGCCTCATAGAATGATTTTAGAAGTGTAAACTTCTCTTTCATTTTTGGAAATGTCTGTGAAGGATTGGTGCCAATTATTTGGTGGATGTTTAGTAGAATTCACCAGAGAAACCAGCTGGTCTTGGGGTTTTCTGTAAGATAATTTTCTTGATTTTTACTTCAGTCACTTTAATTTTTACACATGTATTCGTATTTTCTATTTCTTCTTGAGTTTCAGTAATTTATGTCTTTCCAGAGGTTTTTTCATTCAATCCAGTTATTTAAATTTTTTAGATAACTTGCTTATAATTGTTTATAGTACAGTCATCCTTTAATAAACGCTGGGAATTGTTTCCAGGAAACACAACTCTCCCTACCCCTGTATACCAAAATTCACATATATTCAAGTCCTGAAGTAGGCCCTGGGGAACCTATGTATACAAAAAGTTTACCCTTTGTATATATTCAGGTTTAACATCCTGAGAATACTGTATTTTCAATCCATGTTTGGTTGAAAAAAATCTACATGTAAGTGAACCCATACAGTTCAAACCTGTGTTGCTCAAGAATCAACCGTATTCCTTTATAATCCCTATTTATTTCTGTAAGGTTGGTAACATCATCTTCTCTCTCTCTCTCTTTTTTTTTTTTTTTTTTTTTTTTTTTTTTTTGAGACAGAATCTCGCTCTGTCACCCAGGCTGGAGTGCAGTGGCACGATCTCAGTTCACTGCAACCTCCACCTCCTGGGTTTAAGCGATTCTCCTGCCTCAGCCTTTTGAGTAGCTGGGATTACAGGTGTGCACCACCATGCCTGGCTAATTTATGTATTTTTAGTAGAGACAGGGTTTCACCATGTTGGTCAGGCTGGTCTCAAACTCCTGACCTTGTGAGCTGCCTGCCTGGGCCTCCCAAAGTGCTGGGATTACAGGTGTGAGCCACCCTACCCGGCCCCCTTTCATTCTCTATTGTATTAATTTGGTCTGCTCTATTTTTCTTGGCCAGTCTAGCTAAAATTTTATCTATTTTGTTGATTAAAAAAAAACTTGATTTTGCTGATGTTCTTGGTTTTTCATTAGCTATTTATTTCCTTTGCCATTATTTTTCAATCTACTATGTATTATTTCTTTCTTTCTGGTTACTTTCTGCTTATAATGTTCTTTTTCTGGTTTCCTTAGATGGAAAGTTAGGTTGTTGATTTGAGATCATTCTTATATTTATTACAGACACTTACAGCTATGCATTTCCCTCTAACCACTGCTCTAGCTACATCCCATAAGTTTTGGTATGCTGTATCTTCATTTTTGTATCTCAAAAATTTCTAATTTCCCTTGTGATTTCTTATTTGATTCACTATTTAGTAGTATGTTAATTCTCACATATCTGTGAACTTCTCTGACCCCTCTAAATTTAGGATTAATAAGTAGTTTTGGCTATGAGTATTCCTGTTGTATAAGTTATTTCTTCTTTCCTCGCCCTATTCCAAACCTTTAGAAATATTCTCAAAATTTTAGTAGAGACGGGGTTTCACTGTGTTAGCCAGGACGGTCTTGATCTCCTGACCTCGTGATCCGCCCACCTCGGCCTCCCAAAGTGCTGGGATTACAGGCGTGAGCCACCGCGCCCAGCCGCCAACTTGTTTCATAGCATTATATAAAATTTCTAACTTATTTTTGGTGGTTCTTAAGTGTATATGACATTGTTTAATTATTGCCTTTCAGTTTGGCATTTATATTGTTTACAATTTGTTAGTACAATGATGCTGTTAAAAGCATATTTTGCATTTTATTTTGTAGAATTTAGGATCATTTTCTTAGAATACATATATTGAAATGAAATTACCTTGCCAGAGGGTAATAATATTTAAGACCCTTGACATATACTGCCAAATTATTTTACAAACATGCTAATATCCATTGCAATATAAGTGTATCATTTCATATCGATATAAAATGATAGTGGACAGGTGGGGGTACTCACCACTATACCAATGAGGAATAAAATAATAGTTGAGTTTTAAAGTCAGAGGTCAACCAAATATTTTCGTTGTACTTTCTATGTACAGAAATAAGAATACTTTCTATGTACAGTAATAAGAATACTTTCTCTGTACAGCAATAAATAATGATCTGAAAGCTAGAGAACTTTATGACACTTATCCTTGATTAAGGGTTTGCAATATCATGAATTGCTAAAAAGTCATATAGTATATACTGTGTGCGCTTTGAAGGGCAGTGCATCATCTAGATGTTTCTTATAGTATTCTTGACTCCATGGTACTTTATGTAATTCATGGCAGCGTATTTCAAGTGCCAAATCAACGGTGGAGCCAAATCCTATGGGGATTCACAACGGTGAACAGGCATGCTGACTTGACTTTGTTTTGTATTTGTAAAGATTTATGGTAGAAAAGAAGATTAATTTGGTTATTAATTTGGAAAATTTTGCAGAAAGCATAAGGAGACTATCCAGGGAGACAGAACATTGCAAATCAAAACACAGATGTAAAACAAAGCTAAGATTTCGGGACAGGTGGATAAATTAAAGCAGTTTTTCAAAGTATATAATTCTTATAAAAAGAAGAGGATAGGTTAATCCAGCCCCCATTGGATTTACCCCAAATTAAAAACCTCAATTTGAGCCTGTAAATGTGCATGAATATCCTGCTTCTTCTCTTGGAGACGTGCTTTTTGAAGTTGACTGTGGCTGTAAGATTTGTTTTGCGCAATTTAATGTATGAGGCAATGATTTATACCACATGTGAACATAAGATTTGTGAATCAGAGTACAATCCTCCACATTTTTGTTCTTTGCCTTGCCAGATGAAACCTCATTTAGCCCATGTTTCTGAGTGACTACTCATATTAGTTTGATAGGGTTGCCATAATAATTACCAAAGACTGGGCGGCTTAAACGGCAAAAACATATTTTTTTTCTCACAGTTTTGGAGGCTGGAAGTCTCGCATCAAGGTATCGGCAAAGTTGTTTTATCTAACACTTCTCTTCTTGGCTTGTACATGGCTGTCTTCTCCACGTGATCTTCTTTTTGCATCTGTCGGTGTCCTAATCTCTTCTTCTTTTTTTTTGGAGACGGAGTCTCGCTCTGTCGCCCAGGCTGGAGTGCAGTAGCGCGATCTCCGCTCACTGCAAGCTCCGCCTCCCGGGTTCACGCCATTCTCCTGCCTCAGCCTCCCGAGTAGCTGGGACTACAGGCGCCCGCCACCACGCCTGGCTAATTTTTTGTGTTTTTAGTAGAGATGGGGTTTCACCGTGTTGGCCAGGATGGTCTCGATCTCCTGACCTTGTGGTCCGCCCGTCTCAGCCTCCCAAAGTGCTGGGATTACAGGCGTGAGCCACCGTGCCTGGCTAATCTCTTCTTCTTATAAGGACTACAGGCATATTGGATTAAGGCCCATCTATGTGACTTCATTTTACCTTAATTACTTCTCTAAAGGACCTATCTCCAAATACAGCCCCACTTTGAGGTATTAAATATAAATATATAAATTTATATAAATATAAATTTGGTGGAATGCAATTCCACCCATCACACTGCCATTAGGTGGACTCATTGCTGACCCACCAGACAAGTAATATGAACAAAACTTTAACACTTTTTTGTACACATTGAGTAGGATTTGGATGCTTTACTTACTGCAGAATAATCTAGAGAATACTGAATGATATATTTCACTCAATAATAGTATCTTATAGGTCAATCTGTGCTAAGAACAGTGAGCAAAAAACCCACAATATTTCTGCTCTAGTAGACTTGCTTAAAGTTTTAGTGTGTAGGGGTAACAACTGCTAAACAGAAAAAGTCTGATTGGGTAGATGGGGGGTTAAAAGCTGTTGTTATTTGTTATTCCAATTTGTTAACAAATTTGGAATTATGAACTTTTTTGAAAATTGATTCATGTATCCATATTAATTACATATTAAAACAATTTATATAAAAGTAATTGAAAACTATAAAACACTTTAAAGAGGTATTTACATTGTTGCCCTCTGTTACACAAATTGTGTATTTTATACAACTAGGGCTTTATCTGTGGTGAATCTGAGGGCCAGAGAGCTTAATCAAATTATTTAACTTCACACAGCTAGATGGGAGAAAAATTTTAGGCCCATGAAAATGTGTGTTTCCAGACTTTGCATGTTTTTTCTAGTTCATCATTGCATTTTCACTTGATTTGTCTGACTCCAATTTCAATCTGAAGACAGTAAGTCCTTGCTTTAAATTCCTGAAGGATAGATGAACTCTTCTGCCCATGGACAATATAATTCTCCTTCGGTCCTGCATAATTAAGCACATAACTGGGTTTCTATTTCATATCTCTTAAATACACATTTTTTGGTGTAAACTAGAGAACCCAATGCATTTAATCTATATGTTCTTCTGATATATAGATATTAATTCTTTAAGCTGAATTTCTAAAATATCTCAATTGACAAGAATTCACTTTTTACATCCTGAGAAGTTAAAGCATTGATAGACTTCAGCATTTTATAATTATAACTAACTTGATTTCTTTATAAATATAAAATTAAGCCAGATATTGGCCTTTTTCTTTTTGTGTCTATGGAATTGACAGGTTATTTTTTGCCTTTATGGAAAGATATAATTATGAGATTATTAAAATCCTACTAATATATGCGGACGCTCTTTATAAGATTAACAATTTCTCTCTCTGTAGTAGTCAGTTACATGTTTCCCAAAGATTTTGCCTCTACCTGTGAGCAACATCTTCTATATTATACATGTCACCTGACAGTGTAATAGTCTGGTAGAATCCTGATTCAAAGATGGCAGTACAATAATAAAAAGTAGTCCAAAATATTCAATAAAAGAGAGAAAAGTAAATGAAAAATATTTGTTTCCTGTATACTTGAGCTTGCATTAGGAATTCTATAAATAATTTTTTATGACCCCAGAGGTCAAGAACAGAACTCATTAATAAACATACAGAAATTCCAAATAACTAGGCTTGAGCTGCCTCACCCCATCCAAAAAAAAGAGAAAAAAAAATTAATTAAGACAAATTGGTATTTCCTGTGATTGAAAATTAAATGTAAGGCTGAAGAGATACAGAACTTAATAAAGACTGTACTGTTTTGATTCTGGAAACAATTTGTAAATTAAAGTGAAATTCCCCCTATTAAATTTAATACATTATCTTTTACTGTTCTGAAGTAAGTTTATTCTCCTCTCCTAATTTTGTTTATGGTGAAAGAAACAAAGATGTATTAATCATTACATTATCATGTTTTCTATTTTCAAGTTCTTCTAGGAAGTTTTCAGAGAAACGTGTGGGCCTCTTTAGGTATACCCGGAACTTCCTAATAAAGGAAGCATCAGTAAACTTCTGAGGTCCATGAATAAGTGCTAGCTTATAGGTTATATAGCTACATATGAAGGCTGATTAATGAGTTCTATTATTTTTTTCCGATCATTTTCTTCAGCATTAAAGATCACATTTTTAATATGAGTAATTTTCCAGAAATTGGCACACTATTTTAATTTGGTAAATATTAATATCTTCCCTTAAATTAATTCAGATCGCGTGAATCATCTAAAACCCAACTGATTTTGATATGTAGGTACAACATACATACATGTGATTAGTTTTGTTGATGTGGGCACTTTATTTTCCCCAAAAAAATTTAGACTACAGAGAGATTCTTGAAGTTTATACTAGCAGATGTTCTGCAATCGTCTCAGGCCTCCCATAGTCTTGGATAGGTGGTCCTAATAACACTGTTTAAATCTTTATGAGATTTAGTTCCCTCATTTTTAAAATAGAATGATAAATCTTATTACCTAGATACAGACAGACAATTTATTTCATAAAATTATCTTGTGATTTTTATTCCTTTTATCCTTTCCTAAATTAAACTAGTTTAGTATGTGGATCCAGTTATGCATTACGGAGTCTCCAGAGCCTTTCAAAAGAGCTTTATCTAGCTCATGTAACTTCTTTGTATTACTTGATCTTATCATATTCCCCTATTAATCTCTGTAGCTGATCTTACCTTCCTCGTGAATCTTTATCCCACCAAGTAGATGAGAGAGTTAATTTCCCCAATCAAAAGCATCCTATTCTCTTGTAGTTTATATATTCTCTTTCAAGTTTACATATTTAGCCTATTGAAAGTTTTCTCTCTCACATAATTGCGGTAAATAGGCTTGAATGGATGATTCAGTGTATTTAGAGAAATTACTAATCTCTGAGTTCTGTTATCTTCTTTTAGTCCCCTTCATGGTATCTGAACACATTAATATATAAGGACTTAACATATCTTGTAGTTGTGGGGAAAACAGGCTTCTATAAGGATTCAGTTTTCCTTGATTTTCACTGTTCTCTATTGCATATTGAGTAATTTGGGGTTATCCACTGGATTACTTAGTCCAAGGAATTTCTCATGATTGCTAAGCCACACCCTGGTTTACTGGACCAGAATCTGAGCCTCTTTCAGCAAATTCATCAAAGATGCAGGACCCTGTGGTGCCCAGCATTCCACATGTAGCTGAGGAAAAGCCAGGGACAAGGCATCAGTTTCATTTATACCAACATTTCACACCTACGGCACTGAACCTAGGCTTCTCAACCATATTAGAAGTACTAATTTGCACAGTTTCTCTTAAGGCTTGGGTGCCTTGGTCTGCAATGGTTTCAGACATCCTAAAATCACCTGAATCTCTCTCTCTCTCTTCTTTCCCACCACCCCAAGAAAAAAGGAGGATATGTCTGCTCCTATGTGTCAGTCTCCTTCTGCTTCCATCAGATCTCTGATCTAGCAGGGGCAGATTCTTTACACACTCCACATTTTCTCCAGGAGCTTGTCTTTCCTGGTAGGTGTAAACTCCAAGACATAATATGGCCTGACATGAATGCCGTTAATTAGATTTTAAATTTAGTATTTCTTATCTTACACTTTCATGTTGGCTTAAAAAAAAAAAACCACTATCAACTATCAAAAACCGTCAACTAAGTCAATGGAGTAGTAACCTCTTTTTCTTCAGGGACCCTACCTTCTCCTTCTCTTTCCTGGAGTGATAGTGTAATAGCTCAGCCTTAGGAGCATAAGGTTCTGAGAAAACTGATTCAATTGTGAAATAAAGGGAATAAACAATCTGTAGATGCACACTGGTATTTTCATGATACTAAACAATTTTGCACATATAAAACAATCTTGAATAATTCATGTGGGTTTTTATAGAATATAATTAAATGGAGAGTAAAAAAGAGCTTGAAATTATTATACCTAATAATTATATACATCTGCATGATTCATATGATAGCATAATTTAATGGGGAAAAAAACTAAGAGTTATGTGATCTGCTTTCTGGGTTTGTTTCTGCTTTGCAGTTATCTTTAAAGGCAAAACTGCTAATTTAATAGCTGATAATTCTAAAACCCTGCTTTAAAAAGCTTTAACATGTGCTTATGAGAATAAACTTGCTTCTCTTCCATTTATCAGTGAGTCTTGTCTCACCAGTTCTAGGCTTGTACCAATTTTGTTGCATGTAGCATTACCTATTTGTGTCAACAAATGGGCAGCTCTATCTGACTTTTTTATTGCGTGGCCATGCACACACTGGAAAATGTTATTATTTTTCAAAAATCAACTTGAACTTGGTATCTGTTAGCAGATGTCTTGGAAGATCAGGTTGGAAATGAACTAAATAATGAATTCTGACTAATTGTGATGCAGGAAGCAGAGTAATGCATGCAGATTGTATGCTGCATAGTGAGTCAGCAATTTTGTTTATTCCTACTCATGTTCCCTGAACTTTTTTCATAAAATGATTGAACAGTAGAGATATATACTTAACCAGTATGAAAGCAGATGTTAAAAAAGTCAAAGTATATTCTGCCTACAATTGATCATTACCTAAAAAGACAGCACAATATCTTAGCAGATTGCTGTAAGTGATTAAATTGGTATCTTCATCAATCAGCACTCCAATATCTCTGGAATAGATTCAGTTTCATTGGTACATGTCACATAAGAAGGGCAAACACATTTCTCTGACCTCAAACTGCAGGGCATCTTTGCCTAATATTGGTGGCACCATTTCAGTATGTCAAAGCATTATATATTTATGGAACATTGTCAAAAACTGTTAAAACTTGAGCAAATCACTTGATCTTGAGTTTCCGTTTTGGCCAGCACTCTTTTCCTTGAGTTCTTACTCTGTGCCAGTCACTGTTATGTTTCACATGGATTATTTTCACGAGAACCCTAAACTACAGGTATGCAGTATTTTCCCATTTTATGAAAAAGATAATGGAACTTAAAGAAAACATATCTATTGGCTAAGAACTTAGAGTAAACAGATAAGCTCAGTATAATTCTAGGCAGTCTGACTTTAGAATTTGTTTTCACTACCATTATATTAGGCTCAAAGATTTCTCCTTGTTTCAATATTTGGTTGGACCATTGATAACAATATTTTGTCTAGATATCTTGCAATAATACCAGAACTACTCAGATAGATAGGGAAAGACTTACATCTCAGGAGGCTAGCAAAGTTTAGACCCAGGGGCCAAATCTGGCCCACTGACTATTGGAAATAAAATTTTATTAAAGTATAGCCATGCCCTTTTGTTTACATATTATCTAGGGCTGCTTTTGTGTTACAGTCATAGAACTGAGTAGTTGTAATAGAGATTGGACCACAAAATAAAATGTTTACTATCTGGGTTTTTATAGAAATTTAATGAACCTTATGGACTTTTTTGCTGGCTTTTGAATCACTTGAAGTATAAACCTTTAGCTTTCAAATGTAGTCAAAGATTTTTAGACCTAGGTGGGGTAATGGGTTATGAGAAGTATCCAGCAGGTGACATACATAACATGGTGATTTTGGAGATATCAGGTAGAACACCAGGGCTAGAGGGAGATGGAGCTGGGAATCAGTGAAGTTGCATTCATTCATACATTACAACAAATTTTTAAGGAGTGCCTGATTTTTGACAAGGTTGGCAGTGGGTATCTAAGGTAGCATGGTGAAGAAGACAAAAATGTTTCTTGACTTCCTGTGGCCTAAGGGAGATCACTGAAAATGAGGGAGTACCTATTCATTATAATTCCTGGGGCTGACCATTTAAAAATACTTCTATCTTTAGTATTCCAGCTTGTGGAAGCAATGCTGTGTCCTTTCCTCTCTTCTCTACACTTCATACTCCTTCATTAGTGTTGTTTTCCTTTATAGATACTGTGAATTCCCCTGTATCCCCCAGTTGCTCACCCTAATTACTGCTCCTATTCTTGCCTGCTCCTCACCCTACTGCCCTGTTGTTCTGAGCCTAGGAATTTCACAAGGAGTTGAAGTGAAGCTGGAGGAGAAAGAACATCACAACAGTCAAACTCACTGAGAATTATAGGATTAGTGCCTGAGAGTGTGCAGTGGATGCTATATATCTGGAATAAAGCAAAGAATTTGAGGAAGTGTCTCATGAAGCTTCACATATAAAATTACTTCAAATTACTTGGGAAAAGAACACTGTCAAACTGAGAATTGGTAAGGGCCTGAGAGGCAGAAACAAAGAACTTTAGTCGGAACTGTGTGGGGCTCACAAATATCTGAGCTTCTGTAAATTGATGGAGGATGGGATTCAGATATTTTTAGTAGTGAGTTATGGAAGAGAATGTGTTATATTTATTGCATATCAATATATCAAGTACTAGGTTGTCTCTACCAATTTCTCTCCAGCTCTGGTCCTTCCCTATTAAAAAGATAAAGAAAATCAATTATTTTCATGTGGACCAATTCTAAAACCACTGAAGCTCATGAGAATCGTAGATAACATTAGATCAAATCCAGGATGTAAATAAAGTTGTTTTTCTCTTTTCTCTCTGCACCCCCACTGCAGGTACTTCCTCCTGACAAATGTTCTGTGTTCTAATTGTAATGTTTTGCTTCTACAGGTCTCTAAAACCGCTTTTCTCCTCCAAATCATCCCATTGCATTATCCTTTATTCTGTAACTGCTTTTTAGGCTTTATAGACTTGATTGTCTAAACAAATTCATTCTTAGCATCTCCTTCTCACCAACTGCCCACTTTAAACTCATCACTATTTCCAATGTTGTTACTCCTGTCCATCTTCACTGACTCTGCTGGAAGGAAATAGCACATAATTACTTGAATAAAGGGAAAGGATTTGTCTAGCAAACATCTCAATGCTCCAGAGAGTTTGTTCAAACACCAATGTCTGGGCTGCAGAGTTTCTGATTCAGGATTTCTGGGATGAAAAACAAAAATGAGAATTTGAATTTCTCATTTCTCAGTCGAGTTTCCAGGTTATGCTGATACTGCTGGTCTGGGAACCACAGTTGGAGAGGTGCTGCTGTAGGCCTTCAGGCTGTGTTTGCTGCCTTCTCCCACATTCCTTTGACTTTGCTGTCAGAAATAATTTTTAAATTCTGATAATATCAGCTCCTGATCACACTCCTAAGGCAGAATTCAGAACAGACTGCTTCCCATGTAGGATCTCTAATAATAAATCCCAGCATTTTGTTCTAGTCTCTCCTATTACTAATGATGCCCTCAGACCCCATCTGTCATATACTCTAAATTAACACCAAACTAATTTCAAATCTCTAGAGACTCCTTTCTTGGTCTTTCCATTGTCTCTACACATGCTGATTTCTTTTGTCTGCATGACAAACTGGCTCTCAGGCATTGGTGTACATAGACAATAGAACCTTTCCTGTAAAGCATTCACACTTAACCTGAAAATATTAGATACTTCATTCTCTACAGTTCTTGTATTTACATATGTTAGCACGATGATGCCATTGTGTTGCAATCATTTTCTGGTTTGTCTTTCTCTAGGAAGGGATTACATATTCCTTTAATGTGCCAATATTGATGGTTTGTCAATCTAGGTCTACATAGCCTTTTACCTGACACGTTTTAGATGCTGTCTCTGTATAAACAATTATGTCCTCCATTATGACACTTTATCCCAGGTCAGCACTGTGGGCCAGATCTTTCCTTTCTTCTAAATGCTTCTTCTACAAATCTTAAAACTAACCAATGCATTATACTAGCACTAGGTATAGGGGGCAGAGGGCTTTTTCATAGCCTTCAAAACCCCATTAGAAGGGTCTTGGCTACACCCCATGTAGAATCAACCTTAGAATAATGATATGATAATACTTTACAATAATGGCATATTTACTATTATTTCATTGAGAACTTTTTATGTGTTTGGAGATATCACAGTTTATAGCTCGCAAATCTTCAAAATAATGTTATCATATGAGTACTGTTGTTAGTTCCATATTACAGATGGAAGAATGGAGAAACTAAGGTTTCCAGTATCGTTCAGAGTGTAAAAGGCAGTGGGTGATACTGGGTGAACTGGTCTAATTTTAGTACCCTGGATGAAAGGACCACTATCTCTCTAGACATGTGTTTAAATTCCACCCTTGCAGATTAACTTGTTTCAATATTTGCAAGGTTCCCAGGACAATTATGTATCCTTGAATTTAAAGTAGATTCCCCTCAAGAAGTACTTTTTCCTACATTCTGCATACAAGGAATGCCTTGTCCCAACTGCATATTGTAAGGCTTCCCAGTCGAGTGGCAGTCCAGTGTAACACACCTGTGAGGCAAGACTATGTCCTTGACCCTTGGTTCTTGAGCAGAATTTCTAATTTGGTTGAAGCACTGAGAGAATGCAATTCCTTTTCTACTGCCAGAACCCAAAAATAGATGATGGAGCTTCTGGAAGACCTAAAATAGATTTTATGATTTAGAGGATCCTACAAGTCATGAAGTAGATGAAGTGAATGCAAAGGAACATGGAATAGAATGAGAGAGTGCTAGAATACAGGATATTCAATTGAGGATGTTCTGCTAGAATGATGATCTTGATTAGACAAAGGAACTCAATTTGTCTAATAGATTGTATCCTTTCACAACAAAATTAGAGATGGACCTCATTTTGTCTTTGTGATCACTGTACTGCATTATTGTATACTTATTTGTATTCTTCTCTGACACCACTTAACAAAAGTTTGATTTTCTCATCTAATTCTATCAGTATTCAAAAAGCAGCCACATTAGCCTCTTTAAATTATGTAATCAAAATTATCTTTAAAATAATGTTCACCTGTTCAGTTAAGCGTCTTCCTATAAATATCTATATGGTGAGTACTGTGGGTAAGTCCATGGACCAGGTACTTATCACAGATACGTGGATCAATAAGCCTCAGTCTCACTCTTAAAGAGCTTAACATTGAACAAAGGAGACTTTAGAGGATTTGATGTACTGAAAAAAAAAGTTTCAAATCAAGACAGTCAGTTGCCACAGGCCACAGTCAAAATCACTCCCTTACCTCCCTTAGTACTTGGGAATGATCCCTGAGAAGGGGACTGACATGACTGGACATACCTATCAGGAAGATTAGTCAGGAGTTCAGTGTTTAAGAAAATATAGCCTAGGAGGTGTGACCTGGAAAGAGATGGAGTAGAGTTCAAAAACTCAGACTTGTCTTATTTCAAATCCTAACATACTTTCTTGCTGTGTAATATGGAGCAATTTGTGAAACTCTTCTGAGCTTTATTTCCTTTAATGGTAAAATGAAGATACCGTCACCTCCCTCACAGTGTTGCTGTGATGATTCGTATGAATTAAAGTGATTGGCAATTACCAAGTATTCAATAGTTGCTTACTATCAATACAATTGCACTATTATTATTTCATTGATTAGTGTTGGGGGAAGAAAGATACACATATTAGAGACATCATATATGTAGAACAAAAAAAGATACACTTGCCAGGACGTGAAGAGAAGTGGAAGAAGGAGGTGTCAATGTGACTTTAAAATATTGATTCTGGGTGAAGGGGAAAAGACAGCATCATTAATAAACGTAAGAACCACAGTGATTCCTGCTCCTTAAGACATCTCCTGGCAATATAACTAACACTAACAAAAATACAAAGAAGGTGATTCGGATTCAGCCTTTTATTAACTCATTTTCAGGTCCACGTATCCCCAAACAGGCAGCTCAGAATTCACTGACTCAGGAAGAGAGCATGACAGCAGACCAACAAAATTATGCTGAGTGACCCTGTTTTCGAGTCAAAGCCACAGCCACTAAGGAAGCCAAAAAAAAGTCATTTGTATTTTTTTTTTTTGCAAATTACTTGTATCCATGTTTTTACTTTTCTTATTATTCATTTCTAACCTGTTAAATTCCAGACTTTGCACATCCGATTCCAAAATATTCCTCCTCAAAGATGTTTTGTTGATAAATGTCCTAAAGAATTCAATATTATAGACTTCTGACTGTAATTTAAGTATATAGCAATTTAGACAACACTTTAAAAAATAAATAACAATATAACACACTTCATAGTCTTGAGGGGAAAAAATATGAAATCTTTGTTTTAGTAACTTTATGACTAATTAAAAATCAAGTGATTCTTAGCCACTTGATTAGTAGCCAAATTCACTTGATTAGTTTGTACTTCCCTGGGCCAAAGGAAGGGAATCAGTGTCCGCCAAAATTATAATTGAGACCTGTTAAACACACGGGAAGACTTAATGGCAAAGCTGAAGCTTCCTCCTATATGAGATTATATGGAGTTGATTGTAAAAGCTACAAATTAACAGATGAAGCTACAATTATTCTCATTGCACAGAGAAAAATACACCTTATAATAACATATGTAAAGAAAATGGGTTTATAAAAATGGTGAAAAAAAGGTCTGTGTAAAGTAGCACAAAGAGAATATAAATTCTTGCCTTGACCTAGAATCCATCTGCTTCTGTCTGACGAACACCCAGGCACCTGCAGAGTACCCTTCCACTCCAGGAACCAACAGTGATAATTAGCCCACATAGTGATAGTATTTGATTAGAAAACCCTACTAGGCAGCTGTGTTGAACATGTCAAAAAATGTGTCCTGGACGTCCCTCCTGTGCATCTCTTACTGAAGCCAGATCTTATCACCTGCTCTTTTTATATCTGCGTCTCTTAGAAACCTAGGTTCTTCTGCCTGTTTCTTCCCATTCTGTAACCCAGCACTGTGGAGATGCTCGTCTATATCCAGCTAAATGACTATGTGCTGTTCTCTCGCCTTGTCTTTTCTGGTTCTTTGCTATGGATTGAGCTCCATGTTCATTACATTGTGCTTTCTTTTCAAGGAATTTTCTTGGGTTGGACCTTGATATTCCCATCAACTTCGCATTTTCAAAGCTGTATTTTCCCTTGCCCTTAGATTGCAAGGGCAATGTTTGGCTTGCTCTTTTTATTTGGCTTTTTTGTTTGTTTTTGTGGGTTTTTTTTTTTTTTTTTTTTTGGCTAGGTTCAAGTTGTCTAGGTTCATATTTGGACATGGCATAATTTTTAAGTATTTGAGAGCTATTTTACTCAGCCCCTAACAGTCCCCACCCACCTCCCAAGTTCACATTCACTCCCCCTCCTGTTCAATTTGATCCCTATCATTCTTAGGATGTTCTTCTGAGGCCCATTAAGCAAAAGCTTATCCTCAGCATTTAACACTGGAAATTAGAGTTAGATGAAGAAGAATCAAAACTATTTCAGGTAAATGAACATTTTGCTACACCACTACTCTGAATTTTCTGGAAACAAAATCACATTAAATGGCAAGTCACCATTTAATCAAATGATCTGAAATAAAGCTTTCCAGAAACATCAATATTTGAAAATAAATAGTAAATCATCAATTCAGGTATAGTAAGGATTCTGACATGATTCAAGTTTTTCTAGTTAACAGATCTGGATAAATGGTATGTATTGACTCTAAAGGATCCCTGAAATTTAGAAATTTAAACAGGCAGTTTTGGCCCAGTTGTTATTTTTAATTCTATGGTAATTATATATTAGATATGAAGAACAGAATGTCTCTGTGAGAATGAAGGTGGCGTGTACATGCATGTCAGGGACCAAGTGGATAAGCATGACCTCATAAGGACAGATACAATTTCATTGTGGTTAAATTTGTTAAACATTTAAAACCATATACCCATTATTAAAATAACCTAGGGTTTACTTGTGGGCATTTAGGTTCCCCCTAATAGCTCCAACTTCAATGAACAATGCCAGAAAGTTTAACATTACATTATTCTAAATTCATGTGATACTTACATCTTGGTTAAAATGCATATTTTTTTAAAATTATTCATATATTTAATTCCAGATTATTTTATGAGCATGAGATTTACTGAAAGTAGAAGAAAACTGAGAACACAGCTGAATAAAATGGCTATCTTTTTTTTTTTTTTTTGAGACGGAGTTTTGCCCTGTCGCCCAGTCTGGAGTGCAGTGGTGCCATCTCAGCTCACTGCCACCTCCGTCTCCCAGGTTCAAGCAATTCTCCTGCCTCAGCCTCCTGAGTAGCTGGGACTACAGGTGCCCACCACCACGCCCGGCTAATTTTTGTATTTTTAGTAGAGATGGAGTTTCACCATATTGGCCAGGCTGCTCCGCTGGCTATCTTAATAGTCTGGAGAAAGAAGATGGGGAGAAGAGGTGCAGAAAATGGAGTTCACAGCACTATACATTATTATAAACAAGACCTAATCCTCCTAGCTCTTGACCTCACCAAAAGACAAGCTCCTTCTGTGAAAATAAAATTGCCAAATATTTTTTCTTTAGTTGTTTTCCATTCATCATTTTGCTCTTCTCCTTTCCAGACCCTAATGCTAATATTCCAGAATCAGCTTGACTTTTATTACAGATTCGTTGTCTTTTGAGTCAGTCCATATTACTGTTGAACTACTCTAGCTTTGGAATATTATTTCTTAAATTGAGCTAAAATTGGACTCTCTTCCCTACTCTTTTCCTCTGAGGCAATTCAGAACAAGTCAAACCCTCGTTCTTGAGAGTTTTTCAAATAATTGATGGAACTGCCATGTTTTCCCATAAGTCTTACCCTCTAGATATTTATTATTTATATTTTCCTGGGTTTAATATGACACTAAAACCCAGGTTGGCAGGCTCTTCAACAATGTTGATCAAATCAATCTATTATTTTGGCATCATGCAGATATAACCCTATTAGTTTTTGAGATCAGTATGTTTTCTTCTTCACAACTCCTGCCTAGAAGGAAATATCGCAGGCTGAGAAGCCTTTTAAACTTTGAGTGCAATCTTGAGATTATCAAGGGAAGTGGTAAAATCAGTTTTTCAAAGATTTTGAAGTTTGTGGAGTCAGAAGAGCATAATATAGGAACAGATAGTCGAAAGTTATAAGTTTAGTTATTGACCACTGAAAAGCAAATTTCAAAGATAAAAATAACAACTTTTTAACTTCCTTAAATTGACTTCTCAAATTATTCAAATACATTTTGTGAGAAAATCTGTGTCCAAGTGATCTCATTGTTCAATTCCCACCTATGAGTGAGAACATGTGGTGTTTGGGTTTCTGTCCTTGTGATAGTTTGCTGAGAACGATGGTTTCCAGCTTCATCCATGTCCCTGCAAAGGACCTGAACTCATCTTTTTTATGGCTGCCCAGTATTCCATGGTGTATCTGTGCAACATTTTCTTAATCTAAGTCTATCATTGATGGACATTTGGGTTGGTTCTAAGTCTTTGCTATTGTGAATAGTGCCGCAATAAACATACATGTGCATGTGTCTTTATAGCAGCACGATTTATAAACTTTGGGTATATACCCAGTAATGGGATTGCTGGGTCAAATGGTATTTCTAGTTTTAGATCCTTGAGGAATCACCACACTGTCTTCCACATGGTTGAATTAATTTACACTCCCACCAACAGTGTATAAGCATTCCTATTTCTCCACATCCTCTCCAGCATTTGTTTCCTGACTTTTTACTGATTGCCATTCTAATTGGCATAAGATGATATCTTTTTGTGGTTTTGATTTGCATTTCTCTGATGACCAGTGATGATGAGCATTTTTTCATGTGTCTGTTGGCTGCATAAATGTCTTCTTTTGAGAAGTGTCTGTTCATATCCTTTGCCCACTTTTTGATGGGGTTGTTTTTTTCTTGTAAATTTGAGTTCTTTGTAGATTGTGGATATTAGCCATTTGTCAGATGGGTAGATTGCAAAAATGTTCTCCCATTTTGTAGGTTGCCTGTTCACTCTGATGGTAGTTTCTTTTGCTGTGCAGAAGCTCTTTAGTTTACTTAGATCCCATTTGTCTATTTTGGCTTTTGTTGCCATTGATTTTGGTGTTTTAGTTATGAAGTCCTTGCCCATGCCTATGGCCTAAATGGTATTGCCTAGGTTTTCTTCTAGGGTTTTTATGGTTTTAGGTCTAACATTTAAGTCTTTAATCCATCTTGAATTAATTTTTGTATAAGGTGTAAGGAAGGGATCCAGTTTCAGCTTTCTACATATGGCTAGCCAGTTTTCCCAGCACCATTTATTAAATAGGGAATCCTTTCCCCGTTTCTTGTTTTTTTGTCAGGTTTGTCAAAGATCAGATGGTTGTAGATGTGTGGTGTTATTTCTGAGGGCTCCGTTCTGTTCCATTGGTCTATATCTCTGTTTTGGTACCAGTACCATGCTGTTATGGTTACTGTAGCCTTGTAGTATAGTTTGAAGTCAGCGTGATGTCTCCAGCTTTGTTCTTTTTGCTTAGGCTTGTCTTGGCAATGCAGGCTCTTTTTTGGTTCCATGTGAACTCTAAGGTAGTTTTTTCTAATTCTGTGAAGAAAAGTCATTGGTAGCTTGATGGGAATGGCATTGAATCTATAAATTACCTTGGGCAGTATGGCCATTTTCACAATATTGATTCTTCCTATCCATGAACATGGAATGTTCTTCCATTTGTTTCTGTCCTCTATTATTTTCTTGAACAGTGGTTTGTAGTTCTCCTTGAAGTGACCACTTTACAATAGCCTTAGTTCTTAGTCCAAGCTCTCTCTCACTTTTGGGGTCGTATGCATATCTTTCCCCTTTGTTATTTGGTTTTCCTCCTTTAATTTTGAGGAGAAAGGGAAGTTATCATGGGTGATACAGCAAAACCAAATAGAAACATTTTAATAAATTAAGACATCGAAGTTATAGAAAAAGAAGTAATCAATATTATCTAAAAGTCTGAAAGACCAGAGTTGGTTGGTTGGTTTTTTTTGTTTGTTTGTTTTTTTAACAACGAACATCAAACTTTATGTAAGTTTTTCACTTGCCTCTAGAGTACAGCCAGGAGTGCAGAGGGGTAGGGGTTCCACAGGAGGTGGGCAAAGAAAGGCAGAAGGTGAAGAAAGGATTCCCAAACACTGTCTACACTGACTGAAAAGAATCTCAGGGAAATAAGACGCATTTTATGTCGTTTTATGGTTGGCTACTAACTTGTTTCCTTTTTGTAATGGCTTATACCAGCATTTCTTTCTATGTATAAAAAATTATGAAAGAACTAAAAATCAAAATTTTTGCTAGCCTGGAGATGCCTATCTTCAGAATCACTGTTAAGGCATCAGTCAGGAAGAAAAAGTTACCGGAAGTAGGTGAAGCCGTCATAAAGTCATGGTGGACAGAATGGAATGCAAATCATCTAACTTCAAGCCCAGAGCTCTTTCTCATATATTTTATCTGTGTTTCTAAAAGTGATAATATATTCCATGGCATTTTGTAAACTATAAAATACTAAACAAATCCACAGAATTAGTTTGTTGATATATCAGCTCTCCAAAAATAATCCCTTAGCTCCAAACACTGCATTATGCATTCAGTTTGGTCACTTGGTGGGCGATATATCAAATTCCAATTTATAGTTGAACGTTTCATTTAGAAAAACACAAAAATAGTGGCAAACTGGAAAATTGTCTTGCAAAATATGTAGCCTGACTTAGTCATATTTAATTAAATTATACCATGCTTATCTGACAAATATTCCCCAACAGAAAACACTTAGGGAAATAGATTTATAGCTCAACTATCCTTGATCCAGCTTGTTGAAGGGAACTTTTAGCCTTCAGGGAGTAGAGTCAGATGTAGCCAAACTTTGGCAGTACTCATCAGGCTCCTTATAACCTGTCACAATCTCCCTTAAGCCCTGGCTGCCAAGACTGCACAACTAAATTTGTGTTCAATTACAGTAACTCTGTTAGCCAAAGCATTTGGCATATTTACATCCCATTCTCTCTATATAATATTTGAACTTAACATTTACATGTAAATGGTCTTATTCTAAATTTCCCTTATTGTAAGCAAGCTCAAAAACCTTTAAAGGAGATGGGCGGGTGCGGTGGCTCACGCCTGTAATCCCAGCACTTTGGGAGGCCGAGGCGGACGGATCACGAGGTCAAGAGATCAAGACCATCCTGGCTAACACGGTGAAACCCCGTTTCTACTAAAAATAAAAAAAATTAGCCAGGCGTGGTGGCAGGTGCCTGTAGTCCCAGCTACTCGGGAGGCTGAGGCAGGAGAATGGCGTGAACCCAGGAGATGGAGCTTGCAGTGAGCCAAGATCGAGATCACGCCACTGCACTCCAGCCTGGGAGACAGTGAGACTCCGTCTCAAAAAAAAAAAAAAAAAACAAAAAACCTTTAAAGGAGATATAAATTAAAACTTCAATAAACAAAAATTAAATGAGTAAATACAGTTTTCAGGAGAGGGACAAGACCTGTCTATTACAATCATACAGTGGTATTTAGAAAAGGTCCTCACCTAAGAATGTACTCAAAGAGTAGTTGTGAAAGGGAAGGAAGGGGAGAAAGAAGAAATAATAAAAACTGATACTTTTTAAAATACATGTATAGCCTTCATACCCCCTGAACTTTGAGTTTGAGGAGCTATTCCAATTGTCTCATATATTTTTACCTTATTTAATCCTCACGCTAACATATCAGTAGACATTACTTGCAATTTGTTCATAATAACGATGATGAAATTGTGAAGTAAAGGACCTCTTTCAGAGTCATGGTAGAGCCAGGATTGACTATGGTGCTGTTTGACTGCAAAGCCCTTTTAAAATAATTGATTTCCAAAAATAATTAATGAAGATCATTATAGGTCAGGGTACTTTGGGATGGTTTCCTGCAGAAAATGACCCAAATTGTGAGGGCAGGCAGGATGTTTTAGACAGGAAAGCAGCATGATTAAGAGAGGCAGGAGTGTGGCATGCAGGTGTGTGCACCAATAAAACTTGGGGTAACAGGCAGACAGAATAATAAGTAATCCCAAGAGTGGGTCATTCACCTGATTTTTGTCAGATTTTATTATATTGGTGCACGAATTAAAATATGACTAATATTTTCTTTAAATGACACTTTTTTGTACTTGAATAGATTCATTTATAAACACTGTAGCATATCCACAAACAGAAACATGTTTTAATAGTAGGAAGTCATAAAATAAACTGAAAGCAAAGCAAGGTTTTGAATTCTAGCAAGGTATTAATGTCTACCAGCCTAAGATTCTGAGCCTGGAGTTTGCTTTTCCTTTTAACGGAAAATAATTATGACAGCAATAATGGGCAATAGAATCTGAGAATTTATCATATGAGAGTGACTGTTTTTTGAGTGCTTTATGTCTGTGTAATGCTATATTTGATCATAACAACTGCTTGAGGTAGGAGCTTTTATTATCCCTTCTTTAAGAATAAGGAAACTGTAAAATGAAGAGTCTGTAAGTGGTGGATAGAAAGATGTTAAAGATGTACTAGCCATTAACTAAGTCTTCCGACTCCATCAACTAAAACAGCTGAAAGAACCTGAGAAAGGAGCTGACCTTCCCCCCACAACATTTAATGTCATGCCCAGATAATTCCTCTGGTCAGATGTCTCAACACTTAATCTAATCCGTCCTCTTACCAGTGGCACCTCCTTCATACTTGGGAGCATTAAGGGTGGGGTTATACCACTAAAGTTATAACATCCTGTCTTTTGTGAGACAAAAAGCGGCATCATATTTGGCGTACAAACACATTCCTATGAGTGGGTGTAGGGAAGCAAGGACAGGTAGCTTGAGTGACTGCATACTTCTGTTGATCTAAAGTTCACATTCCTCAGGAAATGGAAAATAAAGTATACAGGAACTTATAAAGTGTAACAGAAGAGAACCCCAGTACCAATTGTATGGATTTTTCTTATACCAAAAATGAGCACTGGGAAGATAGTTTACCGATTGAACAAGGAAATCATTCTCAAACATTCTGAAGCGACTTAATAGCATTCTCCCACCCCCACCTTTTAAATTTTTAAGTAATTTCTACAAAAATGTCTGTTTACGCTGATTTATGCAAAGTGTTTGTGTTTCTTTATAAATATCATCAGAATAGATTTATGTAAGATTTATGAATCACAAGGGTCCTGAATTGCAAAGATGTGCAATCTTGATCAGTATCATGTCTGTAACACCATCACACAATTCGATTTACTGAGAGGGAAGGAAATGTACTAAAAAGCCCTCACTGCTTCTGTCTATTCTGAAAAAAAGAATTTGCAATGCATCCTAAATCATAATCCTGAGTGGTATTGCAGTCTCCAGAGAAGAAAAGCACCTTTTTTGGTTCATGCGAGAGGAGCAATTCTTTCTGGGGAAAAAAAAGACAGAAAAATGCAAGTTTTCATCCTCCTAGGAAGAGTTGGCCTTAAACAACTGATATTTTATTAGTTGTGATATGAGGCCAGACAAAGAGAATAGCTTGGTGACAGAGAAAGCTGCTTACCTTGTATAATTTGACATACACCAAAGGATATTATACAAAATGTCCTTTTGGTGTATGTCAAACACATCTTACCATCATGCCTTTAGACATTTATTAAATATAAAAGTGTAATATCTGAGATATAATGCACTGAGCATTGTCAGCAAACAGTATACTGCCACGGGAAAATTAGCAGCTCTGGGGATGACGCAGTCATTGAACAGGCACAGGAAGTAAGAGACATGGTTAGCATGAGATGCTGCCGATCAGAAAATGCATAGGAAGTTGTCATACTGAAAAACATTGAGAGTACTACAACAGCTTTGTGGAGAAGAAGTGATCACTGAGAGGGAGAGAGGATACAGCTGGGCTGAAAACCATATTTATCCATCTTATATCTTTGTTAAGGGTAGGGTCTGTATAGTGTATGTACAGGTAATTAGACAGTTAATTCAGTCTATGTAAGTATCAAGCATAGGAAAAGTTCAGTCTCCATAAGTTATTTCTAGAAATAAGCTCTGCTAAAATTATTTTAGAAATATGTACCTACATAATTCAGAACCCATTTCTGTCATCTAGCAAGGAGAATTATGAAAATGATAATCTTTTACTTATGTAAGTGAGCAATATTCACACACAATAATGGCTTGTTTCCTCCTGGGATAACTGTTCCTTATCCTCCAAGCATAGAGCAAGTTTTGTACCTACTGAGTCAGGTTTTACTCCTTTGTGCCATGACTGCAAACTTTTCTTGTTTCTATCATATCCTTAACAATTCAGCCTTATCATACAAAAAACAATAACCAAAGAACAAGGCAGCCAAGTAAATGTTTCAACTATGAATTGTTACAAAACTTTGGAGCAACAGAAATTTAAATCAATATGGTGTCCGGGAAACTTCACCAAGGAGCCAGTTAAACTAAGCATTGAGGAATGGGCATGGGATGTAGCAGAGAAGATACACCTGACTGCATTGATTACATGATCAAATGCCTAACAGTGGAGAAAAATAATGTCAAAAACTCCCTTTTCCTAGTTTATTTTCTTGATTAATATTCCCAAAGCATTTTTTAAAGTCTCCTTTTTTAAGTTTTTTTTTTAAACTTCACAAATTAGAAAGCAGATCAAAGCAGAAGAAAAGACACAACAATATGCATAAGTCATCTGGGCACTTGTGTTGCTAAGGCAACAGTTTCATACATGGAGGGAGGGAAGAAAACGTTACTTACCAGCAAATGATTGAATCATATCTACCTCTAATAAAAATGTGTTAGCTTGAGTTGTTCAAACCAATAAGTGCCTACAGTGCTGTGAATGTCTTCACAATTGTTTTGTGGATTCAACTTTCTCTAACAAAGCACAATTGATTTTATGCTAGCAACCAACAATTTGGTTTTCTTAATATACTCATATTGGCAATGAATTCTTACAGCAGCACCTTTCATTTTCTTCACTAGATAGATATAGGCATGCATACAAGGGCATGAATATTCTAGACAGATCTATTCTTCTAACATCTGTTGAAACTGAAAGAAGGAGCATGCTTTCAAAAAGAGTTTTCCCAGCCTGGACAGTCACATATCTAACCAAGATGATTAAACCCACATTCAGTACTTTCCCCAAAGGTCTGTAAATGTCGGTATAAGTTCCATAAACTGAAATACATTGCTGTAAGGTTAAGAGAATAGCATTGTTAACGATGCCCCTTAGTGCACTTACAATTTCCTTCTAAGAGTTATTGGCTGAGGGACATTCCCAAGCCATATGGACATATATTCCCTAGTCATTACGGAAATTCCAATGTGAGCACTGGTATTCTCAAATCTTACTGTGGGCTGCATGAGGGGCATAGAATGTCCTCAGTTTGCCTTTTTTTAAAAAAAAAATCATCTTCAAAGAGGACCAATGTGGCATACAAAATGAACTTCTTTTAATGCCAAAATTTCTTGGGAATGGTTCTGTACTACGTTTACATTTATTTTCCATTTAGGCTGGATTATTAGGTCTTTTAAGTTGCCGTCATTCAAGACATTTTTATAACTTTGTGCCAGGTGGCTGCTCCTGGAAAACTCTTGGTCCCACTTTACACCTTAATATGCAAATTCCAATCATCAAGATCTTCAAGCAGTAAGAAGAATCAGCTCATGAATTTGAAAAAGGAAGATACTCCAGGGGGTTTTATCACAGAACAAGGCTTTTGTACTCTAATGGAACAGGTCAGAGTATTCCAAAAACTGTTCCAGATTCCCTTTTAAGAATCCCATCAACAAATCCTACTCATTGCTGCTCAAGTTCTGCATTCCCTGTGAACCGGCCCGTAAGAATATCTATCCCACAGTACAGTCTCTTATCTGAGCAGCTCCTATATTTATGTTTAGTGTGCTTGATCCTAACCCTATCTATTTCATGTTGGAAACAACTGAATCAATTTCTTTAGAGGAAAATCCATGTGTTTCTTTGGCATGCCCAACACCAAAATCTAATCCTAAAGAAATGTTTAAGAATGTAAGCATTCTGTAAGCAATTTGCCAACTAGTAAATGATATATAATTATGTGTGTGCTTTTACATCTCTTCTCCCCCTCAAATATAATTGCAGGAGAAATTTGGGTGAATTTTCAAGTTTACAGGACTAGAACCTGGCAAAGATGAGGCTTGAAGGCAGATAAATTATTTATAACTTCAGAGGGAGAAACCTAATAGCTATCTCATTAACTTTTGGAAAACCCTTGCATAACTCTGATATAAAATTGTGACAATATTTTGATACTTTAGCCTTGACTCCCATCTGCAACCAATTGCCAATTTCTGGTATTATAGTCACCATTTACTGAAGGTCTAGGTGCTGGGCATTGTAATATGGATATTACATCGGTTGTCATATTTGATAATTTAAAGCAGGCTTCTGATGTAGGTAATATTATTCTCATTTTGCAGCTGAGAATCTGAGGCTTGGAAGAGTTCAGATTTCTTCCTGTGTTCATATTGCCATTAAGCCAAGGATCAGGGGAATCACCTGAGGTGTGTCTAGCTCTAAAACCTGAGCTTATCCCACTTTGCCACACTGCCTTGAATTCTCATCTTTTCACTATCCTGTTCTTTCCATCCTCCTCTCATTTTATCAAGCTTTTGTCTCCTACCATTTCTGGACAGTTATCATTACACCTTGCAGGACTCGACGTATCCAGTGATTCATTATCCCAAAGCTCCCCATTGTCTGGGCAATTTCTCTAAAGCACAGCTCAGCTTCATTGCCCGTTTTCCTAATAACAAGTTTTTAAGTGGTTGGTTCACTGATATTTGGTGAATACAATCTAAAATGTTTACCTTGATATTAAAGACCAATCCTAATGTTAATTCCAGATGCAGTTTTCTACAACACCATTTCAGCTCCAAATTCCATTCAAACGGTAGGGCATATCAGGTATACAACTAGTGTGTACTTTGTACATCTCCTGCCCATTCTGATATCACATCTTCCATCTGCTTTCTTCCAAATATGCTTAATGACAAATCAATCTGCTTAAAATATCAGTTTCAATCCCTCCTCACTCATCTCACTGCAATTGGCAATTTTCCACCCTCTAACTCCCCATAATACTTGATCTATTTTTCAGTTTTGAAATGTATTACCATTTACTTTGCAACTCTTTGCACATGCATTATTCGATCCATTAGCCGAGCAGATTGTTGAATAACCGAGAACTTTGACTTTCCTGCCTACACTCATATTTCTGAATCTAGCTCATCTTACCACCTGACTTGTCTACCTTCCATCTCTAAGTTTAGCATACTCACCACTTGACTTGACTTGCCTCATCCAGTTAGGCCATTCTGAGTATTGATTGCTTAGACTATGAACTTCTAGTTCACTCTATAGTGACAAACTATCTTGGCTTTCCTGGGACTGTACAACTTTCCTGGAATTGTCCTCATTTTAGCCCTACGTGATTATGTCTGGGGTAACTTTCTTAGTCCCAGGCAAACTAGGATGGTTTGCTGCTTACTTTTATCCAATAATTATGCCCTTCTCCCAATGTGGCTTTTAGTCAGCTGAGAGCTTACCCAATTCTATTTGATTCATAACTTCTATTTTACTTTTCTAGACTACTCATACTATTGTATTCTGTATTCCAAACTCTGCCAATATGAACTGCTGAAATTTTCCCAGAGCCTGGTCCTTTTTTTTGCTTCCACAGTAATAACCTAGCTTCTTATCTTTTCTGTATTTTCAGGGATGATACTTTGATTTTGTGTGTGTGTGTTGTTGCAGCTTTGTTGATGTTTTATCAATTCTATATAACTCCAATCAGGATATTATTTTTGACATTATGCTGATCATAAAGATCTTTCAACTATGGGCATGGTAACCTGTAGTCTAATTTATATTTATTTCCAGAGTTCAGAGTTCCAACTTTAATGTCTTATCTCTTTAATGTTCTTTTCTCTTGAGGAAGGCTGCCATATTTGAAACTTAATTCTAAGAACAGGCTTTCAACAGGTTGGCTGATGTCTCTCAGTTTCAGATTCACCATCTGTAGAATGTTAATAAAAACTTCCTATTGGCTCCTTAAAAATAATTAAAACTGGTCGAGAAATATAAATACATATTCCAATGTCTAGCATGCTATAAGTGCTCAATGAATCATAAATTATTATTAGAAAAGCATAAACCAGCGGAGGTGTCACTAACAAAAAGAGAAATGTCTAGTTTTCCAGTGATGCTGACTGCATGCCAAACACCTTGAAGTGGCCTTTGAGCACTGGGCTACACAGGCCATGAGGCCATATCTGTGATAATGAAATGGGAGGGAGAGCAGTCAAGAAATCCCATCTCCTTGGTTGGAGTAATCTCATGCCCTCTCTGCTGATGATTCTTTTGCACATCAATTTTCTTTTTTGTTTGACATAATATATTATGATGAAGCTCACCCTGAATTCTATTGTAAGGTGACACAAAAACAAAATTGCTCAATCAACATCTAAAAATACCTCCTACAGACCCAGGACTAGGGTAAGACAATAAGATACTTGCCTCAGCCACATGATTTAAAAAGATACCCCCCAAATCAGTAATCAAATAATATTTAACACAATTTTAAAAAATCAAAATTATTGGAAAAATTACAATGAACAATAAATTTTAAAATGTAGACATAGTTGGTATAATTGAATTCTTTTCTTTTGCAGTTTCCAAAGTCTTCTCACATCCTTGATTCCAATACAAATACAGAAAACAGAAAATCTAGATTCATAAAGATACAGTTAGAAGTGACTATATTAGGTACAAGGATGGAAAATATTCTCAGGGTGACCTCAGCTCACAGTTCTATGTATTTGGTTTCTAGGAGATGCATTAATAGGAATCTTTTGGTAGGCTGTGTGGTGATTGTTGTCTTAGAATTAAATAACAATAGCAACCCCTCTAAATTAAGGGGGACTTAGGAAGGATTCTAACATTTCCCTGGGATCTGTTGCAGACACAGAGCTCTACATGTATCATCTTATTTGATCCTCATTACAACTTATTACTATTTTAAACACTAGAAAACTGAAATTCAGGAAGGTGAAACAGCTTTCTCAAATGGTGAGTGGCACAGACTTATCAAGATCTATATAACTTCCGACCAAGTGAAGTTTTCTCTACCACTTTTGAGATTTGTCATGTCTTCTGGTAGTTGGAATAGAAGATGTCTAAGTAGACTAGAAATCTCCTCTCATTTTCCCACTCTCTCTCCCTCATACTCTTACTAGTCTAGTGGGCTTATAGGCCTTGGCAAATGTCATTGTCTCTCCCAGTATGTCTTCCCCTCTGTCTCCCATCTTATAACTTGATTCTTCCAAATATCCCATTAAGCAGATATTCAAAAATTCTGGACCATATATCCTCACTGATGTATACTAGTTTCATAGAAGTTATTTTGTATTTCTTTCTAAATATTCCTCCAAATATCTCAATTAATTCTGACAGGCAAGAAATCTTATTATTAATTCATTAACCTTTTCCTTTTATAACAAATGCAGTGCTATGGCACACTATAAGTTTAGTTTGGAGCATAAATGATTTAATGAATCAATTATTCAGTATTTTTATGATATTCTATGGTAATTTACTTGGATATTGAACAAAATTGTTTTTTTCCTTATCATAGAACTTTGCAGAGAATATTTGACTATTTTAATAAATTCTACTTAATGGAACATGATATCTTCATTTTGTCAAAGAAAGATTTACTTCATCACTGGAATGAATCTCACCAGGGCCAGGAATTGTAAGCAGACTTGCCAAGTGACCTCAGCTAGCTAAAATGGCCTACCCTTGGCCTTCTGCCACAGTGCAATGACGACATAACCATTTCAGAGAAATGACTTATCATGTGAAACGAATCAAAGATTTTAGCATCCCAGGATGTCATTTTGCAAATTATATTCTTGAATGCTACACCTATGCCCTGTAAAGTTCTGAGGGAGTTGAGTTGTCTTTGGAGAATGACAGATTGCTGCCTCAGGACAATTTACTCAACAGTGATAACACTAAAATTGAGATGGTGGACAAGCTGGAAAATAAATGATCATTGAGTAAATGGCAATGATGGGAACATTGGCCTGTCTTTTTTAGGAGACGTTAAGACTCATCCGAAAGAGCTTGAATATTCCGGAAAGAGACTAGTCAGTCTCCACCAAACAAATGACAAAGAACCATACACCTTTTTTTTTTATATTTTTGACACAGAGTTTCACTCTTGATGCCCAGGCTGGAGTGCAATGGCACGATCTTGGCTCACTGCAACCTCTGCCTCCCAGGTTCAAGTTATTCTCCTGCCTCAGCATCTAGAGTAGCTGGGATTACAGGCACATGCCACCACGCCCAGCTAATTTTTTATAATTTCTTTTTAGTAGAACAATTCTAGACTTCAAATGTGGATCTGTGAATGTTCTGATGTAATTTACTTTGTCCACTCCTCCTAGGTCTTTGGCTTATTAGTGAGACTGGATGACTAGCTTTCTAGTATAGATCTGAATGAAAAAATGCATCCTTACCATTATCTTGGGAAAAAAATGTAATAGATTAAGCTTGTGGTGATGACTATAATGGTAAAGGTAAAAAACGAAGTACAAAATCTAAAAGAAGATTAAGAGATTTATTCAGTAGTTGCTATCTTGTATTGAGAGAGCAATTGGTCGTGATGTATCTGATCATGAGTTTTACCTACACCTAAGCAAGAAGACAAACTTGATTTGGGAGCAATATAGTATGCAGAACTTAATTCCAGGGCATCAGAAGACTTCATATCTAATTGTCAGCAAAGGGTACTCAATAATAAAATGATGCTATAAAAATTCATTTATTTGTTCATTTATTCTTTCAAGAAATATTTATTTGATTGTTTACTATGTACCAGGCTCCCAACAAGCAGGATAAGTAGCTGAGTTCTAAATTCTATGCAATGAGAGGCTGAGGAGGCTGTATTACACTTCTTGTCTCTGTCAAGGCTGATTTCTACACAAACTTGTAGGTAAAGGTCACTAATGGACTTGGAAGAAGAGGTAAAGAAGCCAACAGAGAAAGTGAATAGGGATGGGGCGTGTAGGTGTAGCAGGAAATAGTCCATTAGATATTCTAGCAATTATTGAGGTAAACTTCCTCATTTGGGTGAACACATTCCTCATTTGGGTGTTTTACTCCGGCCCTTTTATTGAGTGACCTGAAAGGCTGCCAGTTTTGATGGGACTCCAGAACAGGAGAAGGCTCTGCAACAAGTCCAGGTTGCTGTGCAAGCTGCTCTGCCACTTGGGGCATATGACCCAGCAGATCCAAGGTGTTTGAGGTGCCAGTGGCAGATAGGGATGCTATTTGGAGTCTTTGGCAGGCCCCCATAGGTGAATCACACCAGAGGCCTCTAGGATTTTGAAGCAAGGTCTTGCCATCTTCTGCAGATAACTACTCTCCTTTTGAGAGACAGCTCTTGGCCTGTTACTGGGCTTTCGTGAAAACTAAACGTTTGACTATGGGTCATCAAGTCACCATGTGACCTAAACTGCCTATCATGAGCTGGGTGCTTTCTGATTCATCTAGTCGTAAAGTGTGTCATGCACAGCAGTGTTCCAGCATCAAATGGAAGGGGTATATATGTGATCAGGATCCAGCAGTTCCTGAAGGCACAAGTAAGTTACATAAGGAAGTAGCTCAAATGTCCATGGTCTCTCACTTCTGTCACCCTTCCTTCTGTCACTCAGCCTGCCCTGATGGCCTCATGGGGAGTTCCTTATGATCAGTTTACAGGGGAAGAGAAGACTAAGGCCTGGTTCACAGATGGTTCTGCACTATATGCAGACACCACTCGAAAGTGGACAGCTGCAGCACTACAGCCCCTTTCTAGGACATCCCTGAAGCATAGCAGTGAAGGGAAATCTTTCCAGTGGGCAGAACTTCAAGCGGTACACCTGGCTGTGCACTTTGCGTGAAAGGAGAAATGACCAGATGTGTGATTATATAATGATTCATGGGCTGTAGCCAATGGTTTGCCTGGATGGTCAGGGACGTGGAAGAAGTATGATTGGAAAATCGGTGACAAAGAAATTTGGGGAAGAGGTATGTGGATGGACCTCTCTGGTCAAAACCTGTGAAGATATTTGTATCTTGTGTGAGTTTTCACCAATAGGTGACCTCAGTAGAGGAGGATTTCAATAATCAAGTGGATAGGATGACCCGTTCTGTGGACACCACTCAGTATCTTTCCCCAGCCACCCCTGTCATTGCCCAATGGGCCCATGAACGAAGTGGCTATGGTGGCAGGGATGGAGGTTAAGCATGGGCTCAGCGACATGGACTTCCACTCACCAAGGCTGACCTGGCTACAGCCACTGCCTAGTGCCCAATTTCCTAGCAGCAGAAACCAACACTGAGCCCTTGATATGGCACCGTTCCTCAGGGTGATCAGCCAGCTAGCTGGTGGCAGGTTGATTACATTGGACCTCTTACATCACAGAAAGGGCAGAGTTTTGTCCTCACTGGAATAGAAATTTACCCCAAATATGGGTTTGCCTATACTTCATGCAATGCTTCTGCCAAGAACACCATCCATGGACTCACAGAATGCCTTACCTACCATCATGGTATTCCACACAGCATTGCCTCTGACCAAAGCACTCACTTTGCAGCTGAAGAAGTGTAGCAGTGGGCTCATGCTCATGGAATTCACTGTTATTATGTTTCCCATCACCCTGAAGCAGCTGGATTGATAGAACGGTGGAATGGCCTTTTGAAGTCACAATTACAATGCCAACTAGGTGACAATACTTTGCAGGCCTGGGACAAAGTTCTCCAGAAGGCCATGTATGCTCTGAATCAGCATTCAATATATGGTACTGTTTCTCTTGTAGCCCAGATTCACGGGTCTGGGAATCAAGGGGTGGAAATTGAAGTGGCACCACTCACTGTCACCCCTAGTGATCCACTAGCAAAATTTTTGCTTCCTGTTCCCAAGATATTATGTTCTGCTGGCCTAGAGGTCTCAGTTCCAGAGGGAGGAATGCTGCCACCAGGAGACACAATAACAATTCCATTAAACTGGAGGTTAAGATTGCCACCTGGGCACTTTGGGCTCCTCCTACCTTTGAGTCAGCAAGCTGAAAAGGGATTTACAGTGTTGGCTGGGGTGATTGGTCTGGACTATCAAGATGAAATCAGTCTACTACTCTACAATGGAGGTAACGAAGTGTACGCATGGAATACAGGAGATCTATTAGGGCTTCTCTTAGTATTACCATGCCCTGTGATTAAGATTAATGGGAAACTACAACAGCCCAATCCAAGTAGGACTACAAATGGTCCAGACCCCTTGGGAATGAAGGTTTGGGTCACTACACTAGGAAAAAACAACAAAAAACAAAGCAAAACAAAAACACACACACACAACCTGCTCAAGTGCTTCCTGAAGGCAAAGGGAATACCTAATGGGTAGTAGAAGGAGGTAGTCATCAATACCACCCATGACCACGTGATCGGCTGCAGAAAGGACCATAACTGTCATTAGTATTTCCTCCTTCTTTTGTTAAAAACATGTTTGTGAATGTGCACACTTGTACGAAGACAATATCTTCATTTTATTTCCTTTTTATCATGTGACATATGATTTATTGACTTCATATCAGCATTTAAGTATTAACTTTATGTAATAGTATTTGGGTTGGGGATTGGTGCATTTCTGCTTGTACAAAAGATAGTTGTATTACGTTAGGTGTAATTATGACCTTATTGTCTTTATTTGAAGATTATGTGTGATCTCAGGAGCTGTGTATGGCTTCAACTTGACAAGGGGTGGACTTGTGATGGTTAATACTGAGTGTCAAGTTGATTAGATTGAAGGATGCAATACTGATCTTGGATGAGGGTATTGCCAAAGGAGATTAACATTTGAGTCAGTGGGCTGGGGAAGGCAGACCCTCTCTTAATCGGGTGGGCACCATCTAATCAGCCACCAGCAAATATAAAGCAGGCAGAAAAATGTGAAGAAGCAAGATGGGCCTAGCCTCTCAGCCTACATCTTTCTCCTGTGCTGGATGCCTCCTGCCTTCAAACATCAGACTCCAGGTTCTTTAGTTTTGGGGCTTGGACTGGCTCTCCTTTCTCCTCAGCAAGTAGATAGCCTATTGTGAAACCTTGTGATCATGTAAGTTAATACTTAATAAACTCATATATATATATATATATATATATATATATATATATATATATATACACACACACACACACACACATATATCTCCTATTAATTCTGTCCCTCTAAGAGAACCCTTATAATACAGAAGGCCTCAGGAAACTTACAATCATGGCAGAAAGGGAAGCAAACACATCCTTCTTCACATGGCGGCAGTAAGAAATACAGAGCAAAGGGGTGGAGGAAGCCCCTTACAAAACCATCAGATCTCATGAGAACTCATTCACTATCACAAGAACAGCATGGAGGTAACTGCTCCCATGATTCAATTACCTCCCACTGGGTCCCTCTCATGACACATGGAGATTATGGGAACTACAATTCAAGATGAGATTTGGGTGGGGACACACCAAAACCATATCAATCACAAAGGTCAAGATGAGATTTAGGAGACTGTTTTTGCTGGGATAAATGACTGCAATAGTTATCAAGCCAGTGAAAGGTTTTCAAGTGTTTTGAATGCAAAAATCTTTCCTGAAAAACTCTTTTTAGGAGCCCACTATGTATAATACTTGGGGCCCTCTTGCGTACAATTTGTAGAATGCCTACTTTTTGTCCCAAAACCCTACTGGCTTCTAAGTATTCTCACTGGTTACTCCAAATCCAAATGTAACTATTGTAAAAACAGTATATATCTATAATGTCTTAACTGATTTCAAATAGGATACTTATACTTTTGATATCTAATGTTGTCATCTGCCTGTCTAGTGTTACCTTCCAGGACAGTGTCAACACACTCTACTTTATTTTTATAGTGAGTTTGCTTTCTATGTTTCAATATCTGAATTGTTAAGTAGGGCTAACTCAGTAGTGCTCATCATTTTTTTGTTTGTTTGTTTGTTTTTCAGATCAACCGATCAGGCAGATAAAGGCACTCTAAGTGAATGGAATATTAGATCCATCAGTTTTTAGTAAAACATAAGCAAAAGCAAGCAAACAAGCACAACACACCAGGTGAGAATTGAGACACCATACAAGAAATGTACATCTACATTGGAGAATAAAATTGACTAACTCTAAGCAACAACTGAACTGTGTATACTGGATTTGTGAAAATAGCTATAGACATTAAAATTGAGTAAGAAAAAACTATACCACTAAAAACTTACAAAGTACATTTTTTGTAATACTATATAACAATAATGTTAAGTATAGAGAAAACTGTAAATATATCTTTGTTCTACCTGCATATCTTCTCTTAAGAACCAATGCGTTCTTAGATTACATAATACTTTATAGTTTACTAAGTATATTTAATTCTAAGAAAACCTTGTAGTAATATAAGTCTTATTGTTACTACATTATGGATGGGGAAATCAAAATTAGAGAAATTAATTTGGTAACCAAGCCACAAAATTGATAAATGGTCAATCTGGGAACTAGACTGTAAACTTTAATTGTACAGATCTTTTCAGAATTCTTTTGATTCTTGGAAGAAACAGAGGGTAACATCAAAGGAGAAAGAGCAGAAACGGTTTGAAATATAGAATCCATATTTTTAATCATAAATTTCCATGCCAACTATCATGATAAACACATTTGCAAGATTTAGAAACATAAAGGTTAATATTTTTACTAATAGAGTATTTAAAATCAACTAGAAAAGCAAGCAAAAACATGCACAGGAGGTAAATTCACCATTTTTCCCACAATATTTATTGGGGGTAAATAGAGCTATGTGCTTTTTTCTTTTAACAGGAAACCAAATAGATGCTGATGGAGATTTTTTAAAACTCTCAATATCTGTCAGTGGTCAAGTGGTGGAACCAGGATTTGGGTCAGTCTAATTAATTCTAAGCATTGAACTTCTAAAAGCTATGCTGTGATATCTCTGCTGTAATACAATTCCTCTCCACTTAGTTCTCTGAACAGTAAAATGATGCATAATGTGTGTGAAGGTTTTTGTATAACATGTGACTGGGGAATGCCACTGACATTTATTTCACAGAGGCCAGAGACATGCTGACCCCAATGACTTCAAAGGTCCCTTCTTGACTCTAGCTTTCTGTGAGTGAATTGATTTTTAATATAATATGTATAAATGGTAGACATTCAAAATGCATTTGCAAAATCCAAAGTGTAAAGTTCAGTGAATTATTTTGTTTACTAATATATTTGAATCCATATTTGACAAAATTTCTTAGATTTTAATTTTTAAGGGGTTTTAGTACATTTCTGATTAATTTTTATTTACATTATTCTCTACTATAGACACATTAGCATTTCTTGTCTCACCAAGCCTCGTTACACTATCATTTAAAAAGCTAATAACAGTTTTTTCTTTTCCTTTTTTTTTTCTTCCTTTTAACCAGCTGGTCATCTGTAAAAAAGGCCCTTGTGACTCCAGAGATTGCAACCATCCTCAGGCCTTCTAGAAGTTAACAGGAGGTTTACAAATGACCTTTAGCTTCCTTCAACTAGGCTAGCATATGACATAGAAGCTAATATCTCCCACTCTGCTCCCTGTGATTGGATCCTTGTTTACATCTAATAGGATAATTGGCATCCCCAGTTTGAAAGGGTCAAGGAAGTCTGAGAAATTCTGAATGTGTAAAACTGCCGAAAGGTAGGGATTGTCTCCTTAACCCCTTCAGGTAACTGGTACTGAGCATCATATAGGGTTTCCCAAAAGACTGTGAAGTGATTCCCAGGGAATTTTCTTCTGTTTTACAGGTAACCAGATGATGTCCTATATATCTAGTAAACCCATTTTCACACTACATTAGGAATGTATCAAAGCAAGCCAAATAGCTTCTCAACCCAAATGAAGGAATCTAGGGAAGATTTCATGGCTTTGCCTTGCTTTCTGCCTCACATAATGATTTATAATAACATGTCAGTATTTCTCAGATATTTCTCAGAGCTCCTGTTGAGTTTATGTTTTTTTTTTTTTTTTTTTTTTTTTTTTTTTTTTTTGCTCATTTTCTATTCCAGAAAACAATAACAAAATCCTTTCATCTCCGCAAAGCAATAACTACCACCTCGCTGGGTTAGCACTGAATCAAGTTTTATCACTAAATTGTGGAATTTTCAGTGTTGGGTACCCAACTCCAGAGAAAAGTATTGAACATGCTAAACTGTCACAAAGTAAATGGAATATTATATGGAGTAGTATGTTTTCTGCTGAAGAAATCTCATCTCCATTTCAGAGAAAAATTAACATAATTTCAGCTATCGATCAACTCTATTGCAAAGTTTCTCATTTACTTATGTCAGTGTCTTTACAAATGGCATCAATTTAACTTGACTAATTTTAAGGAGAAAGACAGGGGAAAAATAATCTATGGAACAAGTGACTTGGCTGCTTCCTTTCATAAGAGGAGCATCTTTGTGGTAGTTCTTCCCTTCTGGAAAATTCATTCTCTTTGATTAATTTTGGTGTCAGTGGTACTTTGGGCAGGTGCAAATGCAGAAAGACCACTATGGAGGGTTATTACCGCAAGTGAAATCACCAGGAGCAGGGAAAGTGAGATGTCCCTCATGTCCACAGTTTTTCCCTCTCTGCCAGAGAGCTGAACACTTCCTTTTACATTTCACTTGGCTTACTCACGCCCCAGTGCCTGATGGCTTCATTTGCATTCAAACCTTCACCTAGGGGAAACCTGGAGAAACTACACATGTCCAGTTGTAACCATTTTGATGAAAGAATTGGGGCTTTATAAGAGGGGTAAGCAAATAGCATGCAGGCCAAATCTATTCTACTGCCTGTTTATGTGCAGCTCATGAGCTAAGAACTGATTTTACAGATGAACCTCTGTAATCTATTTGATAGTAAAGAACACTAACATCGAAGCCCAATTAAGAAAAATGTTATCCACCCAAAAAGAATTCAATTCTCCTCACTTATACATGTGTATTACCAAAAAATTACTAAATTCTTGTTATATTCTGAATTTGTTAATAAACATTCAGTAAAAATATGGTTTAACGGTTGTTACAAACACCTACGTAATAGCCTCATTTTTTTTCTTGGCCCCCAAAGCCTAAAACATTAATTTACTATCTGGCCTTATACAGAAAAAGTTGACCCCTGCTCTAGATGTCAAACAGAAATGTCTCCTACCTTACAAATGTACTAAATCTGCCCTTTACTCCTCATCAATTAGCATAATGTATCTTGGGCAGGTGGCAGAATATCTCCAGCTACTCATATAATAAAAAGTATTTTGGCAACTTTTATCCAAGAATGGGCTCAATCAGTATTTGAAATATTTATTTCTGTAGAATAGTCAGAAGCTCAGTGTTGCACTTGAAGTTCCCCTGACCTCTTGGGCCTATATCAGGTGGTAACTGACTTTGGTGATGAACTATGATTACATTATTTTCTATTTCACTACCTATGACATCCTCTTTTCACCTTCTCCCATTCACTAAGTGGTCCTCTTTCTGCAGAATTGAGAGAGGAAATATTCAGAGGTAAGTCCAGAAAATGTCTGGTGAGACTGATAGTCTTTGAGCTGGCTTTCCCCTTGGCCACTGCTTGAAGCTGTATCTGCCTTTCCTAGTGCTTTCCTGGATGACTCAGAGTTCTGCTTTTGAACACCTCTAGCTGGTACCACCTAGAAAATGGCCAAAGTCTCTTTTTTTCGGTTGTCTACCTGCTACCTCCCCTCAGCCTCTAATGAACCTCTAATGAATTCACCCTTTGCAGAAAAACCTCTCCAGCTTTTAAAACTTCCTCTGGCTAATACACCTACCACATCTGGTTCCCTAGAAACATGAAATTGTGTCCTGCTTTCAGTCAAAGAGTATTTATTTTCCCCAAATAATCTTACAACCTGCTTCCACAGACCACTTTAGCCAGCCTCACAATGGTAGTCTTTTTCTTTCTACTTTATTTATTTTGTAATGCTCACATCTCATGGAAGTCCACTCCAAGAGAACACATGATGCTCTCTAAAAAAAATCTCCTGCAATCTTTTCACTAAGGCTGAAATGAGAGAAAGCAAATCCCCACCTTTTCCATGGGAGAAAGACTTAACTGCATACTTAGATGGGAGAAAGATTTACTGCATACTTAGAACTCTCCCCACAAAAATATTCTCTTCCCCAGCTACTTGAGCTTAATCTTACGCTCTCAACGTGGGGATTAGGCTAATCGTTACTGAACTGATTTCAGGCTGTTTTACTAAACCTACATAGATGATGATCACCATACATCTATATAAATACTCACTCTGTTTTGGCATCTGTGGAACTTAGCTGAAACTTGACACAAAAGTGAATTTCATTTTTAACATTCAGTTGCACCAGGAATTCATTAACTGCTCCCTACCACAGTTTACATTTAGAAAGGAATCCTGATAAAAGCAACAAAGAAATGGACTATTATTGGTAGAACTTGAAACATCAGATCATACTATATTATGGTTTCAATGAGTATGACATTTCATATGTTTCTTCTATCCAGCTCCAACAAATATATTCAAAAAGCAATTTATGCTTTGCTTCTTACTGATACAGTTGGTTCCACTTGTAGATAAATCTTCAGTGAAAAAAAAGTTTGATGACAAGGGATATCTTACATGTAAAATTGGTAGATAAAATAAAAGACATCCAGTTAAATTGAAGTTTCAAATAAACAAAATCTAATTTGGGGGTATAAATGCATTCCAGGCAATATTTGCAATATGCTTATTCTTTAAAATAAAAGCTGTTTATCTGAAATTTGAATTTAACTAGGCATTCTGCATTTTTATTTGCTAAATCTGCCAATGTTATTTACATGCCAAACACTCTCCCTTTTTCTCTGGGATTTACAGAAGTTAATAAATGACAAGCCCACCATTAGCATTTGGCCAAACCTGGGCAGAATCCTCATTTTGCAGTTCATCAGCCAGACAATTCCATTGTTTAAGTCAGTGTAAATATAACCAATTAAGGCAGTTCTTGCCATAGTAATAGGTAGCTATCTAAGGATGTTGTGTGTAGATTCTATATTTTGGATGTGAAATGACCTCATAAACAAGAATAAATTACAGGGGTGATGAAATTAAATATTTGGCTCATTGTTAATTGGACAGATCTGTTACTGATTTATTGTGCAGTTTCAACTCAGTGCAGTCTGACTACGGAATTTATTATTATTTTGTAATCACTGTCTTTGATGATGCTCTGTGGCAGGGCTTTCGCAGCATAGGGGGAGAAGACAGGTCACATTTAGAGTTGACTTTAGAATGTGGAATAATTTGCATTCGGCTGTGGGACCTAACATGAATTCTAGGCATAAGACCTACCCGCTCAACTTATTAATTTATGTTTTTTGTTTTACTTCTTCTCGATGTTCCATACATATTCTCTTATTTTCCCACATTCACGTAGAGACTATGCCTAATTACCTCAGGGAAAGGCTGAAAGCACAAATAGCAGGATAGTGTCTGAGCTTTCATTTTCAGCAGTGATTAGCAATGAAGGGAAAGGCATGACAGAAGTGAGAAAGAGAATAACTTGAGAAAAAGAGAATTGAGAGAGCAGAGTTGTCCCAGAATTATAGCAGATTCTTCCAGACTGAGGTCACAGTCCACCTAGCCCAGAGACTTGAGGTGCTGACAGGTCTTCCATCTACCCTGCTAGTCTTCCTAGACTCGCCCTGAGGTAGGACAGCAGGTTTTGGCTACAAGGAAACAATGTGTCCTGGGAATGCTAAAAACTAGGTCCTTCTTCCTCCTGACTTTGCTAGGCCACCAAGTTCGCTAATACCCATGACTCATCCATTCACACCAAAAACACCCTCAGAATCTCAATTTTGTTTTGCTGATAGATTTCCCAGATTAAAAAAAAAAACAACAAAAAAAAAACAGGTTGAGTCAAGAACATGAGACTCAGTTTTCCAAGGAATATTATCTCACATTCATTATCTCTGAGTACAAGGACAGTAACACGTTTCTTGACTCATAAAGTTGAGACTCAGCCCTGTGCTCCACCTGGGAAAATTAGCCCATGAATCCCAGCTTTTTTTAGTTTGAGTGTCATAGCTAGGGACTTCATATAACTTAGAGTAGGCAATTGCTAGAGAAAAAGTTTAACTCCTTTTTAAAAAGCATTATATCCTGACCTTTAAAAACAGTTATTTACAAAAATTATTTTTAGAGACAAGGTCTTACTCTGTTGCCCAGGCTGGAGTTCAGTGTCGTGATCATAATTCACTGCAGCCTTGAACTCCTGGGTTCAAACAATCCTCTTGATTCAGCCTCCCAAGTAGCTAAGACTACAGGCTTATGTCAGTATGTCTCGACCTTTTAATTACTTCATCAGACTGTTTCCCTGTATAACCTCAATATATATTGCAATGAAAGGAGAAGCTGCTGTGAGTATTGGATTAACAGATGAGCCAAGGGGTTGCAACTTGTCTTCCTCCTATAAACTTCCACCCATCTTGTTATCCTGTCCCCTGGGGGATTTACAATGCCTTGTCTAAAAGGCCCTCCTGAAATTTTTAAGAAAATTGTCATAGTATATTTTTCATAGGGGAATATGCATCTAACAATGGGTAATTAACTGCTCATTCATCCTGATAACTATTTTAGCGTGCTGTTAATCATATGATTTCCTAACCATCTGCTTGCCCTTATCAACATAAACGTGATTGTAGATGAACAATTCTGGAGCTGGTAAAGATATTTAAAAACTTGATAGTATAAATCATTGAAAGCAAATTTTTTTTGTTCATAGCTTTACAGGGAGGGAGATTGTAAAGAACATTCCTATGTTTTTCCTCTGTTTCTATATTGTGTTTTTATATTGTAAATTGTACTTCTTTGTGGAAGAAAATTTAAAGCCTGTATTCTCTGTTCTGCTGTCATTCATTTCCTTTTCCAAAAGTAAATTCATTGTTGAGGCCCATATTGACATATAGCCACATAGTCAACTACCTTTTTTCAGTATTTCTTTCATCCAGTATTTCTTACATTAAGAACTCTTCTCGCCCAAACTTTGTATGTATATTAGAACAAAGGGAGGAAATCCAAAATTGGGATATGATGCTGTAAAATACGTCCTGAATGTGATCAATGGCCCTTTTAAGTCAATTTTCTTTACCTTGCTGAAACCCATATTTTTTCAATTTGCTGCCGCTGTATCATCTCAGTATCTAATATCCAATAGGTATTTAGTGTTTGAGGTTTAACTATGCATCTTCAGAAAAGTGATTCTGTTATTCTGGATACGGAAAGATTAGTTTAATATTTTATTGTTGCAAGCATTCCTATTTTAGAATCACAGAGAGGGAAAGTCTAAATGAAAAGGCAACAATGGTAGAATTTTCATCACTGGCATGTAACTGTTGGGGATAGAGAAATATGCTGAGTCCAAATGACCTGCCTAATATCCCAAGTATGGAATTCCTTAAATCAAAAAGTCCTTAAATTTTTTAAGATTCCAGTATACTCCTTTAATACTAGACTTTAAAAACAATTCCTTGAAATATTTTTGCCATAGTTATAATTTTCTTTGTGTTTGTTACATTATCTGCAAACACAAAGAACTGTATATGCCACAATTTAAAAAATCACTATGCTGATTTTTGTGTATCTCATTTCCTTGCTTTAGTTCATAGGGATGCTATAAAAACACCCCTAAAAACATAGCTTGGTTTTGTGTGTTTTTTAACTTTATGCAAATTGATTCATATTATATATATTTTATGTCTTTCTTTTTTCACCTAACATTGTAAGATTACCCACTTTTTTTTGTAGATAAAATTTATTTACTTTCAGTGCAGAAGTATTGCATTGAATGAATATATGGGTTTATATGAATATATGAATATACAGCTATGGGTTTTTTTCTATTTTTAGATATTAGAACAATGTCATTCATGTATGTATAAATAAATATATATACACACACATATATACTACACGAGTACAATGATTTTCATGCTCAGAAATTTCTTTTTGGTATATACTTAGAGGTGGGGAGCCTGGTATATTAATTTTCTATTTCTATGTCAAAAATTATCACAAACTTAGGGGTTTAAATCAACACAAATTTCTTATCCCACAATTTTACAGTTCAGAAGCCTGCATTCACTCACCTGGGTTTGCTACTCAGGATATTATAAAGCCATAATCAAGGTATTAATTGAGCTTGCCTTTTGGAAGATTTTGCTTTAGTTCTTGGTGGTGGTAGGACTGAGGTTCCTAAGGTTGTTAGGAGCCTCTCTCAGGCCCGGGAGACTAGTCACAGTACCATGTCACGATGTGTATGTATTTTTACAGCAAAGAACATCCCTCTTTTAAATCTTCGCCGTGCTCTGAATCTTCTTCGGCCACCTGCTGGAGAAAACTTTACTCTAATGGGGTCACGTGTGATTTCACCACCCACCTAGAAAATCTCCCCATCCTAAGAACACTGATTAGTAAATCTAAATGCATCTGTAAAATCCCTTTTGCCACGTAAGTTAACATAATCATGGGAGTAATAGTAAGGACCAAAGGTCATGAGTTCTAGGTCATGAATTCTACATCTAGAATTCTGCCTACCATAGCAGGGCAATAGTGTTTGCATATCTTCAAATTCACCACATTAATTCCAACTCATGTTCTTTTTTTTTTTTTTTTTTTTTTTTTGAGACGGAGTCTTACTCTGTTGCCTGGGCTGGAGTGCAGTGGTGCGATCTCGGCTCACTGCAAGCTCCGTCTTCTGGGTTCACGCGTTTCTCCTGCCTCAGCCTCCCAAGTAGCTGGGACTACAGGTGCCCACCACCACGCCCGGCTGTTTTGTGGTTTTATTAGAGACGGGGTTTCACCGTGTTAGCCACGATGGTCTCGATTGCCTGACCTCATGATCCGCCCACATCGGCCTCCCAAAGTGCTGGGATTACAGGTGTGAGCCACCATGCCTGGCCAATTCCAACTTATTTTCTAACATGATTTAACCAATGTACATATCCGAAGACAACATATGAGACTTTGTATTGCTCTATAGCATCATTAGTACTTGGTATTATTAAACTTTTTAATTATTGCCAAACTGGCAGGCATATCTTGTTAAACTTTGGGGACCATTTGACCACTATTTATTTGTATTTAAAATGTTTTCAAACTCCCAGAAAGGTTGGGAGGCTAGGATAAAGACCTTTGTTAGTCCTGATCCATTGAGAAGTACCTTATTGACATGATATCCCATCATGCCCAATTACTTCAGTTTATTTTTTCTATAACCAAGAATATTCTCCTATATAACTGTAATATAACCATCTAAATGAAGAAGCTGACAATGGTTCATTACTGGTATGTAATCTATAGACTGTGTAAAAATTTTGCCAGTTATCACATTAATGTCATTTATTGAAAAAGATCCAACCCGGGATCAAAAGCTACACTGAACTGTTGTATTTATTTCGACTCCTTTGATTTGGAAGAATTCTTCAATCTTTCTTTGACTTTCATGATACTGACACTTTTGAAGATGACAGGCAAGTAGCTTTGAATAATATTCCTCATGTTTTCTCATGATTACCATTCAGATAATACATTTTTGAAAGAACATCCCAGAAGTGTTGTTATACTCTTCTCATTGCATCCCATTGTGTGGTCTACAATTTTGATTTGCCCATTACCTTCTGAAGTTAACAGGTGACTTGATTAAGGAGATATTTGCCAGGTTTTCAAGTGAAACAAAATTACCCTTCTTTTCCCTTTATAATTAAAATGCATTTTTGTGAGGAAGTATTTTGAGATAGGAAAATATTGTTCTTCATGAAACTTTCACCCACTATTTTTTGCATCTACAGTTATCTCTTGGTACTCCTGGAAGATTGGTTTCAGCACTCCTGTCCCAATGCCAAAACCCTCTGATGCTCAAGTCCATGACTTAAAATTTCATAGTATATGTATATAACCTATATGTATCTTCTTATGTATTTTAAATCATCTCTAGGTTACTTAAAATATCTAATACAATGTAAATGCTATGTAGTTATTACCCTGTATGCTTTTTAAAATTTGTGTTTTCTTTGTTTATAATTTTACTTGTTTTTATTTTAAATGTTTTCCACCCGTGTTTGGATTAATATCTCCAGATGTGAAAGCTGTGGCTAAGGGAGGATGAATTGTATTGATATTTTTTGACTGAAATAAGTTTTTACTATGTTGGCTGATAAACGCTGAATTTTAAATTTTATTATTTCTTCTTGATTTACTATTTAATATTCACCTAAAACCAAACAAAATTTCATTGTTTTACATTGTTGATGTTAATCGAATCTTTCAATGTTTCACTATTAATTATGATGGTTGTGAAAACTCTATCAAATAAAGGGTATCTCCTAACTCCAAGTTTCCAAAAATTTGTTTTGTTCTCAAAATCATAAGTTTGCCTTAAAATTATATTGAATTTTTTCAATAGGGGTTTTTTCTACATAATTTGATATTGTCATGTTGTATCTTTTTATCCTTTTACATATTACATTGACTAATTTTTAATAATAAAACTATGGTAAACCCATATTTACACAATAAATTATGCTATTTATTACTTGATTCATAATATTTTGCTTAAGAATTTTGCAGCTATGTTTATGAGTAAGATTAAACAGATATTTTCCATTCTTCTGTCATTTTTGACAATGTTTTATAGAATATCCTGGCTTCATAAAATGAGTTCTGAAATATACACTCATATGTAGTCACCTGGAAGTTTATGGCAAATACTGCGTTTATTTTTATATGAATGTTAAATACAACTTGGTGATGATGTCAGCTAAACATAGGTTTTCAAATTCTGCCTGTGTCAATTTTTGAAGTTTTATTTTCTAGAAATTTTTTCAAAGTTTCAATTATTGACAGTTATTCAAAATAGTATTTTAACATCTTCAGGATATGTAAGATTCTTTTCATTCATTATATAATATATTTTTCTTAATCAAATATGAAGATCAATTTTAATAATCTTGTCAAAGAATCAGTGTTTGGTTTTGTTATTAATTTCCATTATATTAGGAATATCTCTTTTTATTAACTTAGGCTCTTTAAATTTTCTATGTTCTACTTATTTTTCATTATGTTTCTATTGTGTTAGATGCTTAACTCATTGAGTTTCAGCTTTTCTTCTGTTCTTATTCGTAAAACAAGGTAATTATATCCTTACTGTGGCAGAAAAAGAGTACTTCCATAAGTTTCATTCTTAATATTTTTCCTGTTCATCCAAAAATATTGGTTGACTTATTTTTATCACTTAAAAAAATTTAACTTTTATTTTAAGTACATGGGTAAAAGCACAGGTTTGTTACGTAGGTTAGTTTGTGTCACTGGAATTTACTGCACAGATCATTTCATCACCTAGGTATTAAACCTAGTATGCATTAGTTATTTTTCCTGACCCTCTCCCTTCCCTCGCCCTCTACCATCCACAAGCCCCAGTGTGTGTTCTCATCATTTAGCTCCCCTTTATAAGTGAGAACATGTGGTACTTGGTTTTCTGTTCCTGTGTTACTCTTTTAAGAATAATGGCCTCCAGTTCCATCCATGTCCCTGCAAAGGCATGATCTTATTCCTTTTTATGGCTTCATGGTATTCCACTGTGTATATGTACGACATTTTCTTTATCCAGTCTATCATTGATGGGCATTTAGGTTGATTCCATGTCTTTGCTGTTGTGAATAGTGTTGCGATAACCATATGTGTGCATGTGTCTTTATAATAGAACAATTTGTATTCATTTGGGTATATACCCAGTAATGGGATTGCTGGGTTGAATGTTATTTCTGCCTCTAGGTCTTTGAGGAATCACCACACTATCTTCCACAGTGGTTGAACTAATTTACACTCCAACCAATAGAGGATAGTTTCTTTTGCTTTGCAGAAGCTCTTTAGTTTAATTAGATTCTATTTGTCAATTTTTGCTTTTGTTGCAACTGCTTTTGGTATTTTCGTCATGAAATTTTTGCCTGTTTCTATGTCCTGAATGGTATTGCCTAGGTTGTCTTTCAGGTTTTTTATAGTTTTGAGTTTTAAAGCCTTTAATCGATCTTGAATTAATTTTGTATATGGTACAAGAAAGGGGTCCCATTTCAATCTTCTGCATATGGCTAGCCAGTTATCCCAGCACCATTTATTGAATAGAGAATCCTTTCCCTATGGCTTGTTTTTGTTAGGATTTTTGAAGCTCAGATAGTTGTAGGTGTGTGGTCCTCTTTTGGGTTCTTTATTATGTTACATTAATCTATGTGTCTGTTTTGTACCACTACAAATCTGTTTTGGTTACTGTAGCCCTGTAATATAAAGTCAGGTAGCATGATGCCGTCAGCTTTGTTCTTTTTGCTTAGGATTGCCTTGGCTATTTGGGCATTTTTTTTTGGTTCCATATGAATTTTAAAATAGTTTTTCTCTAGTTATGAGAAGAATGTCAATGATAGTTTAACAGGCATGGCATTGAATCTATAACTTGCCTTGGGTCATATGGCCATTTTAACAATACTGGTTCTCAAGTTAACAAACTAACACAACAGAAAGAACTAGAGAACAAAGAGAAGACAAATAATGGGATTGTTAGGTTGAATGGCATTTCCAACTCTAGGTCCTAGAGGAATCACCACACTGTCTTCCACAATGGTTGAACTAATTTACACTCCCACCAATAGTGTATAAACATTCCTTTCTCTCTACAACCACATTAGCCCCTGTTATTTTTTGACTTTTTAATAGCAGCCATTCTGACTGGTGTGAGATGGTATCCCATTGTGGTTTTGATTTGCATTTCTCTAATGTTCAGTGATGTCGAGCTTTCCTTCGTATGATTGTTGGCCTCATGTATGTCTTCTTTTGAAAAGTGTCTGCTCGTGTCCTTTGCCCACATTTTTATGGGGTTGCCTCAATTTGTTTAAGTTCCTTATAGCTGGTGTATATTAGGCCTTTGTCAGATACGTAGTTTGCAAAACTTTTCTTCCATTTTGTAGGTTGTTTACTGATAGTTTCTTTGAGTGCAGAAGCTTTGCAGAAGCTCTGTAGTTTAATTAGACCCCACATGTCAATTTTTGCTTTTGTTGCAATTGTAAACCAGCTTGGAAAACATATTTCAGGATATCATCCATGAGATCCCTAACAGAGCTAGAGAGGCCAACATTCAAATTCAGGAAATGCAGACAACTCCAGTAAGACACTTTGATAGAAGATTATCACCAAGACACACCCATCAGATTCTTCAAGGTTGAAATGAAAGAAAAAATCTAAAAGGCACGTAGAGAGAAAAGGCAGGTCACCTACAAAGGGAAGCCCATCAGACTAACGGTGGACCTCTCAGCTGAAATCCTATAAGCCAGAACACATTGAGAGCTAATATTTGATATTCTTAAAGAAATTTCAACCCAGAGTTTCATATCTAGCTAAACTATGCTTCATAAGTCAAGAAGAATTGAGACCCTCTTCAGACAAAAAAATGCTGAGGAAATTTGTTATCACCAGACGTACCTTACAAGAGATCCTGAAGGAAACACTAAATATGGAAAGTAAAGACCATTACCAGCCACTACAAAACACACACTGAAGTACACAGACCAGTGACACTATAAAGCAACCACATAAACAAGTCTGCAAAATAATCAGCTAACATTATGATGACAGAATCAAATTCACACATATCAATACTAATATTAAATGTAAATGGGCTCAATGCCCCAATTAAAAGACACAGAGTGGCAAGCTGGATAGAGAACCAAGACCCTTTGGTACGCTGTCTTCAAAAGACCAGATACCAGAAACGTTTGATGTATAAATTAGAATAGAGGTGCTTATAAGATACCCTATTGAGAAGTTCAGTAGGTTTACCAAAACTTGACTCAAAATACTGGGTATCTATAAGGTCTGATAAAGTGTAGCAGAGGAAACTTTTAGCAACTGCAAACATTGGTATCTTCAACTTAGTTATCTGTCACCATGTCTAGAAGGTGAGGCTGTAACATTGGAATACTTGAACTGATTACAAAGATAGAGAAGTGAATATTCCAAAAAAGAGTGTCAATTAATTAATGGCAAGTCCATAAAGCTAAAACTTCATACTATTAACTTATTTATTTATTTATTTATTTATTTATTTATTTATTTATTGAGACAGAGTCTTGCTCTGTTGCCCAGGCTGGAGTGCACTAGCGCGACTCACTGCAAGCTCCGCCTCCTGGATTCACGCCATTCTCCTGCCTCAGCCTCCCGAGTAGCTGGGACTACAGGCGACCACCACTGCGCCCGGCGAATTTTTTGTATTTTTAGTAGAGACGGGGTTTCACCATGGTCTCGATCTCCTGACCTCGTGATCCACCCACCTCGGCCTCCCAAAGTGCTGGGATTACAGGCATGAGCCACCACACCCGGCCACTATTAACTTATTAATATAGCCTAATTTGTTATATTATTATATAGTATAAAATAAGTTATTTTAATTTTATCATGGAAGCTTTGATAAATTAAACATTTGTATGTTTTGGGATTTATTTGTAGTAGCCATATATATACTACCATTCTACAGATACCGTGCTGGATAGATTTAAGACTTATAATCAACGAGCTATGATTATTCAAAGTCTTGCTGATCAAGCCTGAATATTAGCACAGAAGTTATGGGGGATCTAAAAAAGCATGAGGTTTGGATTCATACAGTCCAGATGTGGCTTATGTATTTAATCATTATATTTTTAACTTCTCTGAGTATAAATTTTCTAATTTGTAAGAACCGATAAAAATACTTAATTACAGCAGTTTTGTGAGGCTGTTAAAGCATACTGTTGCTATGTAGTGTCTGATGCATTATAGGCTCTCAATGTATACTTATGTTTGGTTTTGGTTTTACTCTAGATAGTAGGTAATAATTGTTCTCAAATGTTTTGAAATATAAAGGGAATGCTTCTAGATCCATAGCTTATCCAACTTGGAATGAGCTAATAAAACTCTTCTAATTTTGTCAGCATCCAGAGAGGTTAATTGAGGAAAATAGTCCTCAAGCAGTATTTTTTGCTATTCATTATGCTGCCTATTTTAATAAGGCAGGACCAGGCAAAAAGAATTAGTGTTAGTGATGGTCTGAAATTCAGGACAGCATGAGATTACACTGAATATTTTTTCAGTAAATAATCTGGAAAGTTTAGACCACAACCACAAAGTACCAAATATTTATGAAATGCATTAAGCAAGTGCTTGCGCTTGCTGTATGATTATTGAGAAATGCAAAGCAACAGGACTTGGGCTGGTAGTAAGAAATTAAGGATAAAGTGCTAAATAAAGTGTGGAAGTAAAGGAGCGGAGGAGCTAATACACTGTTGTTCTTTTGCATACAATATTTGATCTGACAATTAAAAAAGAGTGCTAACTGGCACAAACAAACTCTTCATTAGGAATGCATCATTTTCATATATTTGATCGATAGGGATGGGATGCTGCTAGCAAAACTCTGATGGCTGGTTGAATGCACATATTTAGGGCAGTGCTGTTGAAAATGGATGCAGTATAGTTAGAGAAAACGACTGTGAGGGAGGCAATAAATAGTTGAAGAGGCAAAGGAAAACAAAGCTGCATGGAAATATTTAGCTCATGAGGGGGATCATGAAACATGGCTTGGTCAGCATTCATACTGAGAAAGGCAAAAAATGATCAGGAAGTTAGAGATGAATTAGTATCTTAGTTCACAAGGATTTAAAAAAAAAAATGAAAGGACAGCGAGATAGGAGAGTTTGAAGAGCATTATCATAAAAGAGGTGACCCTAGAAGGCATGGGGAATAAATGGTTGTTAAACACGAAAGAGTTTACAACCTTCACCAAATTAATATGCTATATAACTGGCATTGATCTCATAGGTGCAAAAGTCAGCATGAGTAGATTTTTATTATTTGGAATTGTAGTACAGAATTCAAAAGTCTTTTATATATTTTTATCTTAGGATTTTGGTGGGTAAAACGCTGGCATTGATTCACCCAATTCAGGAAAAAGGCACCAAGAGACTTGTGAAGACTGCTTGGGATGAAAACACAAATTTTAGTGAGCAGCCTAAATTCTATGTTTAAAAGTTATAGCAGTCTTCAATCAAAGTATGCAAGACTAAGAACCTAGCATCTTAGATAAAGTAATGAAAAGTCCCCTGGTGGGCCTAATGACAGTGAAGGATCTGCAGCTGGGGTTCGGTTGGGGGGCATGGTAGAAATATTAGATATAATGGCAAAAGGGTAATGCATGCTTTATGTTCTACCATTGGACAATGTGACACAGAGAGAAATATGACCAGAGAGAAACAGGGACATAATGCAGTTAAGCAGAGCAACTATGAGCATCAGAAGCATAACCAGAAATTCAAGGTTTGAGATTTGGAATCTGGAACTCTGGCACAGGTAACCTTATGTCAGTATGGAGAAATCACCAAGCTAAAGGGAGCCTTTGATTTCAGCATTAAGATAACTCTTTCTGGGAATATTTAACATTAAGTCCTATCATATCACAGTCTAAAATATTATATACCCTCTTTAGGAAAGTAATCTGGATGCTTTATCAGATAAAAAGCTTTATCTGATTCTTTATCAATTAGTGTTTTCAATTCTCAGTACATGTTTTGCTTTCCTAAATTTCACTCCTTTCTTCCAAGTGATTTGCCGATATGATTTGGTACAGTGTCAATTATCCCTGCTATAACAACTGACCCCAACACTTTTCTCCTCTATTCTCTTACTTGGAAACTTGTTGCATAATTATAAACGCCCAACAGATTTTCTGCAAGTCTAAATATGACAAGATGAAACCGCTGACTTCTTTCACATACAGTTGATCCTCATTATTCATGAAATCTATATTTGTGAATTTGCCTACTCACTACAATTTATTTATATCCCCCAAGTCAATTCTCCTGGCACTTTCATCATTCGTGGGCATGCACAGAGTGCCAAAAAATTTGAGTCACCTAGTGTACATGTTCTTAGCTGGTGTCAAAAAGGCAACACTCTTCTTCTTTCAGCTCTCATGATACAAATGTATCCTTTATTGTGGTCTATTTAGCCTCACAGTTTTCACATTTTCATGCTGTTTGTTGATGTTGTTGTTTAAATTGGCCCCCAGTTGTGGTGCTGAAGCACTGTCTAGTATGCCCAGCAGAAGACAAGTGTGGTGTGCCTAACAGAAAAGAATTATGTTAGCTAAGCTATGCTGAGGCATGAGTTACGGTACTGTTGCCTTTGAGTTCAATGTTAATGAATCAAAACTATATATTAAACAAGGTGTCTTTAAACAGAAACACACAACAAGATTATGTGCTGATTTGTCATTTTAAATGTGGTGAATAGATGTTCAAGGAATATAACTATTTGCAGTAGGAACAATGCCTCAGTATTTGATAATTCAATAATCTTGGTGACTCTATGGAACTATTACAGATAACCAGAATTGATTATATATTACAGTTACATTAATTGTCTACATTTTTGTTAACTTTGGTTCTGGTCCTCTTTTTCATCACACCGTGGATGAATGATCATAACAAAAATAAATTCTAGGCCAGAAAATAAAATTATGTATGTGCCATATATATGCTATATACATATATATATATATGTGTGAGGCCCAAAAGCAAAATGCATGTTATAGTCTGAGTTCCTTAAAGATGGGCAGGCAAACGTGAACTAAGAAACCTACAAGAAGAATGCAGCAAATGGAAGTCAAATTTAAACAGCAATCTCAAGATCTTCAGGGGCTTCAGCACCAAGTTAAAGACGGGTAGAAGGTGATTCTGACAACAGTCATCAAGTGCGTCCTGCCTATGGTACATCAGCCTGCCTTCAAGGCAGTGGGTATGAAGACCCACATCACTCTTGATATCCTTAGACTTGTATCTATTCTGCACTGTCAGTTTTTTATATGTCAGTAGTATATCTTCTGTCGTCTCCAGCTTTCCTTCCTACCGACTTGTCCCCTCTAAATGTGTTTCTATTAGAATGTTTCACATTGCCAAATATTTGCAGTTTGACCCTTGAGCTCTCCCTATAAGAAGCCAGCATTGTAAGGAGCCATGACCATCATTTTCTCTGTTCATATGTAAAGATACCAGCTGCCTATATGTAGCATAGGATGGCTATGACAATGTTAGGGATGTCTGAGAAAATATTTCTGCCAATCTGTGGATTCTCATAGCTTTCATGCCTAGCCCCTTGGGGCTTCCCGATTGTCTGTTTAAATCATGTTTCCGGAGAATAGGTAGAAGTCAAAGCTGATTATTGATGATCTCCAATCAAAGGTATCTTGTCTGCAATCCCTAACCCTGTGTGGTGCATTTTATAGTCTGCTCAAAGGAAATATCTAGGGAAAGTCTAGATTGCCCTGTGAGTTCCAAAATGTGTTCTGGAATGCTGAAACCATGTGAGGCAAAAACTGTTATGCAGCAAAAGCTAAAGGATTAGAGTTTGTAAAGATCTTTTAAATTGTATATCCTGGTACTAAGCCATTTTTTTCTCTGCCTACTGACAATATTACAAACAAATACAATTCATTCTAGAGATGGAAATAAATGTGAGATTCCATTTTAATTGTTCCACATAATAACAAGTGAACTTGGAATTTTTCAGTGCTAAATTGTGATAATTTGTTAGTACTGTACAATGGAACTTCAGCATCAGAACACTCATACATATGGGTAGTAGGAGGTGATTTCATAGACTTGATAGGGCTGCAGCTTCAGCCCAAATAAGTAGAGATTAGATGTGTAAATGCCAAGGAAAAGATAATGCTGGGTGTGCAATCAGCATGGACACATGCAGGATGTGGGACTAAAAATATTTTCTGAATGCTACATTATGGCTTCCTGGGGAAAAGATGGGATTTATGCATAGGGGCAGATATATAAGGTAATTACAGAGACTTTTACTTGATTTAAGAGATAGTCACTCTGTTTTCTTAAGTAGATAAAAATATGTCTTAGGCAAAGTAAGAACAGATTGGGAAGGTATAGGAGGAAGACTAAAAACAGAGCAACAAGCTGAGATGGTTTCTTAACCATTTCGGATGTCCAGTCTGGAAACAATGATACCCTGGCCCAATAGTTCTCATTGACTGAAGCTCCTGGGAACTTAGCTAAAATGTTTGGTATGAACTGGCATGGACATTTGCTTGTTTCTAGGTTCCATGGCCAATAATAACACCTTGAAAGTATTTATGTCACGGCTTCTAATCCCTCTTACTAAAATAAGCTCCTTAATGGTTTCCTATTCTTACCTGATCATCATTTTATCTTCTGAAACCCCAAATCAGATGATGTTACTTCCTAAATTAGGTATATTATTTGTCCTGCAGCTTCATTGCCTGTTGAATGAAATTCATCACCCTTGGCATGCCCTGTGAGATTATTTACTATTTCAAAAAAAAAAAAATTCTCTGTCATCACTTCTTGTTAAGAGCTGTATGCTAAATACACACTAAATTAGTATATTTCCTGATTATGTCATTCTTATCATGAATTTTTGCCTTTCCAATTTTCATTTCTTTGGTCTATAATAACCTCCCCTCCCCTCCCCTTAGGCATCTTGAAACAGTCAGATCTAATGAATTTTCTAATGTTTTAATGTCTTTATTCATGAATTTTTTTTTTTTTTTTTCTGGAGACAGAGTCTCGCTCTGCTGCCAGGCTGTAGTACAGTGGTGCCATCTTGGCTTATTGCAACCTCTGCCTCCTGGGTTCAAGCGATTATCTTGCCTCAGCCTCCCAAGTAGCTGGGACTACAGGTGTGTCCCACCACGCCCAGCTAATTTTTGTATTTTTTGGCCAGGATGGTCTCGATCTCTTGACCTTGTGATCCGCCTGCCTCAGCCTCCCAAAGTGCTGGGATTACAGGCATGAGCCATCGTGCCTGGCCATGAAATCTTAATTCACTCAAGTTGAACTAGTTTCTACTCTGTGTCCTCAGAAGAAGCGTACATGATTAAGAAAATTGACTTTATATTTGGACAGAACCACATTTAAATATATTCTACTTATCAACTGTGAGATTTGGCTTTATTATTATCCTGGTTCTGTATCTCATCTATAATAACATTGATATATCATGTGGTTTGTGAACATTAAATGAGATCAAACATGACATGTGGGATATTAGATATATTTTAATAAAATCACTAATTGTCACATAACAGTTGTCTCACTATTGTAATCAGTTTTTAATAACTTTCCCCTATATCTGTATTACAAAATTATAAAAAGAGAGTTCTTTATTTTTCCATATCTCCTAGTTTATATCACAGCATCTGTCACACAATAGGCCTTTAACAATTTTTTTACATCAATATGTAAAGTTCATAGAATTACACTTAACATGAATAATCTTATTTATAAAGTTAGAAAAAAAAAGAAAAAGTCTTCAGAAACCTAGTTTTCTATTATTTCTTCTTTAGTAGAATGTTCTAAGATGTGGTTTAGATAATCTGAGTCTTAAGACTATTTTCTTAGTCTTAAGAGGTCTCTGACCAAATAACATTAGACATAGCACACTAAGTATTGTTTTTAATAATTTATAGTTACACATTAAACTCAAGGATTCATTTAGTAAGTGTTTAACACAGCATTTTCTAATATTACATGACCCTTATCCCTATGTTTGTGTGCATGAGTTGTGCCTAATTCCATCCACAGAAATAGTTTTCAAAGTCACATTCTTTGAGAATTTGTCACTGTAAGGTCAACTCTTTTCAAATCAAATTCTTAGTTGAATCAGCTTTATTTTTTATCTAGATTTTAGTAAATTTTTCTTGAGTTAAAAAAGCCCTTCTTACATCTAGATTTGGGTATTGCTAGCCTATGTTACAGGAGTATCCTGAAGAACTTGTTCCAATAATCATTTGTATCTCTCTACTTCTCACAATTTTTTGTAATTATTAGTTCCAAGAAAATTCTATAAAGAACTATGGCTTAAAGTAAATTAGCATCAAAATAAAACAGATGATTATTTGAAGAGATCTAACAAAGTTTTATGGGTCTTGAACACAAAAAGACTATGAGTGATGTATTAACTAATATTATTGCTAAGATTCTATACGAAAGTTTTTTTCTTAAGGAAAAAAACAAAAACTTTCTTATCTTTCGTGTGTTACTATGAGACATTTGTCTTATAGAAGTTATGTGTAAGGGATGGCACTGAACTAACATGATGACGTTGGAAAAAGAGTTTTACATTCTCAACATGTTCCTTTTCCTTTTGATGTCTTTTTAAGAAAGCTAGAAACTATCTACCTTTTTTGTTTTCCCACAGAAAAACAGCGAAAACTTGATTGAAACTCAAATTCTTCATAATGCTAAGGAGGCACTTTGCATGAGAAGTATACCTGGAACCAACAAAAGCCACAGATAGAGAAATTGCTTATTCTTCAGAGGTAGATTCATGAAGATTATCCTTCCAGATGATAAAGAACTATGCCAACATTTTCTGTTCATGCTATAAGTGACAGGATTATTGGAGGAGATGAACTGGTAATGGGGGAAGCAATTTCCATTTGAGAAGGTATAAGAGCATTTGAGATTAAATGATCTGAACCTTGGCAATGTTCTACTTCTGTCTCTACAACTAGAGCAGAACCAGACTGACCAACATGCATGACCTACCTGGCAGTGTTAGAAATGCATTCTCTGAGATTGTCAACTATAATTTAGATGTGTTATTAGAAACATGGTATTACCAAAAACTAAAGGTAATTATGGCAATGTGCATTCATTACTGTTTACCAAGCAGTCTTGTTACACAACTGGTGAGTTTGGTAGCTTGGCAGGTGTCAACCCAATGACCACAACTAAGGAGAATTTAGCAAGGGAATTTTATTACTTATAACAAGTTAGGGGAATATCCCAGGGGTAATTTCCAAAGACGCATCTCTTGGACCTGGGGACTAGATCAGGTTTTATAGGGTAATGAGGCATGATCTGATTTGATCTTGCAATGAGGTAATGTCAGGTCACATGATCTGACTGGATTCTGCCATGGAGTGATGCCAGAGCTCCTTCTCATTGGATCCTGGATCCTGCCATGTTGTATCTGCTCTTAATTCAGTCTCCAATCCTCAGACTGAGCATTTAGGTTCCCACTGGGGTTGCACCCTTGGTTCATCTGGGTATGCTCAGGTTACATGATCTTAGGGTTCATGGCAACTAAAAAAACAACTGAAAACTTTGTTACATAAAAGTCGAAACACATTGGTTTTTTGTGGCTAGCCTCTTTCATATTTGATTATCTATACCATTTTATTGATGAGCAGAAAATGCTTACTAAAAAATTAGACCAGACAGCAAAATAATTCCATTTATACATTTTTATTTGAATTGTTTCCTATGTCCCCAACATAGGAATCCTATTAACTTACATACAAAAAATAGAATTTCAAAAATGTGGATAGAAATAAAACCATATGGTTGGTTTTTTTTTTGTTTGTTTGTTTTTGAAAAAAAAAAAAAACAAAACTGATTCACTTTTTGTCCTCAGGTAAGTCCCTTCAGCTTAATGAGAACCGTTGTTCTCACCTGTATTACTAATCAGTCGGAATGCAGTTTTTATAGCATACACATTCAATAAACTATGTTGAGAATGAGTTTTTTTAGTGCTTTAAAAAACTAAAATAGAGCCAATAAATGTAAAAGATAAATGTTTGCAAGCTACATAAAAGTGTGATTATACAAAATGTATACAATTCCCCATCATTAGCCTAGCACTCCTATCACATTTTTTTCTTCACAGTAATGTCATATATATTTTTCCTTCAAAAATCTATAATTAATTTTAGGAATACCATTACAGCAAATGGTATAATTACTCATTAGAGTTGTGGGCAACCGTTTAAAAAGCCATTAAGAGTTAGTCATTGTCCTTTATTTGATTTGTTAACTAGAAAATTATTAGGACTTTTTCCAGAGGCAAAATTAGGGGGTAAAAATGTGTATTGTAGTATCTATTTTCATCTTCTGAATAAAAATAATTTTTAAGGTCTTGTCTTCAAGGCGGAGATTTCCCATTCTATTCTTTTAAACCTGAAATGACTTAGTACTTACAAGCCCCATGAAGGTTCTTGCATAGTACCAACTATGTACTATTATTAGAATTCCTCCAGAACTTAATCACAGCTTTATACCATGAGAGGCAACAGAATATCTTATAGATTTATGTTTAAACTTCCTTGTTACGCATGTAAAGAAACAGAGGGACAGTGAACGCCTTGGAAAATTATTTATTTACCAAGATGTTCTTCACATCCCTCTCAACTCTAGAAGTAACTGCCTTACTCCTATTCCTCAACTTGAATATTTCCTATAATTCCTATAAATAAACCAGATTGGTCTCAGTCTTTCTTTTCACAATGCTATTCTGGAAATTAATGTTATATAACAATATATACACTCCCTCCACCCCCACGCACACATCTTATATTCCTAAACTATCCACATTACAGACTGTGCATTCCTAATGTGAAAATCTGAAATTCAAAGTGCTCCAAAATTTGAAACTTTTTGAGTGCTAACGTGACCCCCCCAGTGGAAAAATTCTGCAACTGACCTTACGTGTTGGGTTGCAGTTAAAATGCAGTCAAAATTTTGTTTTATTTATAAAATTATTTAAAACATTATATAAAATTACCTTCAGGCTATGTGTATGATAATATGTAAAACATAAATGAATTTCATGTTTAGGCTTGAGTCCTATTTCCAAGATATCTCATTATATATAGGTAAATATTCCAAAATTTGAAGAGAAAAAGAAACCCTGAAATGCAAAATACATCTGGTCCCTAAGCATTTTGGATGAGGAATACTCTACCTACATATTCATTTTTCCAAGTCCAACACATGCCCTATCTTTCCATGGTGCCTTCTCTAATCATTCCAAATACTGATCTCGTCTTTCTTTCAATATTTGTAGTCTTGTATGTTTTCCTAATAGGAAAGAAAGAAAACATATAAGACTACAAATATTGAAGAAATACTCATTCATTGCATATGTGTTCTGTTTGCATAAGTGGCTTATTATGTTTGACACTATGTATTATTCCTGGCATCATTATTTTGTACTGTTATTTAATCTTTTGTTTTATAATATTTGAAGGGACTATGCCAAAAATAAATCTAGGTTGTAAACTTCTTGAGGGAAAGGACCATGGCCCATGTAATACAATGTCGCCAGGATATAGCATACTATTATGCGCATGGTAGTTCGTTAATACCAAACTGTTGGCTGACTGGCAGCCAAATAAATATATACCCTTATCTTGATTGGTTTTACCAATGTCTGTCTAGTAACATTTTGGTTTTCTATTTTGTGAACAGGGTTAAATGAACCTCTTAAAATATTGATAAAAATATCAGAGGGGAAATTGCAGGGACAATGGGTCTTACTGGGTCTTTCCTTAATCCTGTTGGCTCGCCTGCCATACAGCCTATGTTCATGTTTTTCCCCTTTCCATCTCTTTATTCCTCAGAGGATAGTTTTAGTAAATATACACACATACAAAAGTTTATGGCTTAGTGATGTTATCCACCACTGTAGAATCGTTTTGTCTTTATTGCTGTAAGTTATCTTATTCTCATTTATTTTGATATGTTCTTATACCTTTTCACATAAAAGAAAGACTAAATAATGTTATCTTCTTACAATAAATCTAAATGCTATTAATATTTCTCTACATGCTCACTTCAGGAAGAGTTTTACAGAACACATATTACTCAATCAGAAAAATTAACACGTTCTACTTTACCAAACACAGAGAAACATGCAAAATAGGGTAGAAATAAACAAAAACATATAAGTCAAAGCTTATATTTATATATCAGATGAACCAGTAACAAACTAAAAATCATAAAAGAACATTTTCTTGTCATTTTCTAATCATTTTATGTAATGTATACCAATATTCACTTGTAATTGAGAAATTCCTTTTTTTTTTTCAAATGGTTTCCTTATGCCAAAGAGAAATTCTTGTCTGTAAAGTGGGGAGATTAAAATTTTGACACTAAAGAATACTACTGGGGAAAAGAGAGGGGTGTGGGATGAAAGAAAATCGAGCCAGCTGTACACCTATAGGTAACCAGTGTAGGTCATTAGAACACAGGCTTCACACTGCATGCTGATCTGCAAAGTGAGGACATACCAGTGACAACTTTGGAATCTGCATCCAGCCACAGGTAACAGATGTATTGCACCAGACTCAGATCTAGATTTTGTGATGACTATATAATGAACTAGAAGTTCAAATTAGAGAAAGAAACAATTCAAAATCAGAAGAAAGGTAAAAGCAAGTGGCCACATGATCGCATTAAAAAAGAAAAAGGCAAATATCTCAGTAAGTACATCTGGCACACATAGTCAGAGGAAGCCAAGAAACTTGAAATTTAATTTGAAATGAGATATTTTTTAGCAAGAAGGATCATATCAGCAAGCCAAGGAGATAATATTTTAAAATTTTTGTTTTGTTCTAATGAAAGAAAAAATATGATATTAAAAATCTAGAAAGTTCTTTCTTCTATGACAATTTTTATGTTTTTTAATCCAGCAAAACACAGCTCTGTTCCTTGTGTGTAGTGTTCTTTATTGTTCTTCTATAAAAATGTAAAGTTCAGGGATGATGGCTCACGCTTGTGATCCCAGCATTTTGGGAAGCCAAAGCAGGCAGATTGCTTGAGCCTAGGAATTTAAGGCCAGCCTGGGCAACATGACAAAACCTCCTCTCTACAAAAAATGCAACAATAACAAAAATTAGCTGGGTAGGCATGGTAGTGTGTGCCAGCAGTCCCAGTTACTCAGGAGACTGAGATGGGAGGATGGCTTGAGCTTGGGAGGTTGAGCCTGCAGTGAGCTGAGATCACACCACTGAACTGCAGATTGAGTGACAGAGTGAGACCCTGTCTCAAAATAAATGAAAGAATAAATAAATAAAACTATACTTTAGCTCTTTCAAGTCTGATGGTGAAGAATGTCTTATTCAGTTTTGTATCTGAGGTTACACCACTGGTATATGGATCAAAGCTTTAACTATTTGTAATTTTCTTCACTGTATATTTCAGTTATGTCAGATATTTTTTGGCACTGCACCCAAAGTCCCAGCTACTTGAAAAGCTGAGGCAGAAGGACCAGTTGAGCCTAGGAGTTCAAGACCAGCCTGGGCAACATAGCAAGATCCTCTCTCTTAAAAATTATTTTTTTCTTAGTTTCATAAATCTCCGCTATATTTATGTCATAGATAGATAACAGCATATGGTAATCAGTTACAATCTGGGACACGTTATAGGAACTAAAAGTTGATTAATTTACTCATTAGTTATTTCACAATTTAAAAATTTATTAATACTTGTACAAAATCTCTCCTAAATGTAAACAACCAAAGTTATGTTTTAGAGCAAATGACCTTTATTATTTGTTTTCATATATGTTAAAAATTATAAACATTTTGTTATCTTGTATATTCAAGTAAGTTTTATTTATATACTCAACATTTTAATTCACTGTATCATGTCTGTGTTATTATAAAAATGAATATGTATAGTTTTATGTCTTCAATCATTTTAAGAAGTTTTTCTTTATATATTGCTTGAAAAAATTATTTGTTTTTCAGTACACTGTTTGTAGAGATATTTTATAACTCTTTTATCAGAAATATGCTTATAAACATTTATAAAACATTCTGTCAAAGAGGGTTGTTGATAATTTGTAGAGTTTTCCCATTTTAGTAGTATAAATGTTATACCATAGCTGATTTCAATCTACCAGTGTGACATAACTAAATGCAAAGCTTGGTACAGATGTGCAAATTGGCTCTAGTACATCATTCAACTGAACATTTTTTGTATAAGGATGCTCTTTGTTGTAGAATGTAAATATCTATGTCTACCTCTGATAGTTTATTTAAGGTATATCATAAAAGAAGAAACACTATGTCAACTAGTTTATCATTTTTAAAGCTCTTTATTAATACTTTTGGAAGTGTACTAAAATACATTCTCATCATTGTTTTATGATATGAATTATTTCGTAGCTCCTTACTCTGATGAATCATACTTAAAATTTAAACAAAAAGTGTTTCCTATCTAATGGATATACACGGATCTCATTGCTTTTGTTTTTTCAAACCTGGGGATGAGAGGGAAGTCAATCATTATGTTTTCTATCAAGGATTAGGCAGGAAAGTCAGAAGTCTGATGATGGAAGGGATGAGAGAGAAAGAAAGATGCAAAGATGCTATCCAATTGCTTTAAAACTGGAGGAAAGGCCGGGCGCGGTGGCTCACGCCTGTAATCCCAGCACTTTGGGAGGCTGAGGCGGGTGGATCATGAGGTCAGGAGATCGAGACCACCCTGGCTAACACGGTGAAACCCCGTCTCTACTAAAAATACAAAAAATTAGCCGGGCGTGGTGGCGGGCGCCTGTAGTCCCAGCTACTCGGGAGGCTGAGGCAGGAGAATGGTGTGAACCCGGGAGGCAGAGCTTGCAGTGAGCCAAGATCGCGCCACTGCACTCCAGCCTGGGTGACAGAGCGAGACTCCGTCTCAAAAAAAAAAAAAATCCTGGAGGAAAGCCCTCACAAACCAAGGAAGGTAGTAAGCCTCTGAGAACTGGAAAAAGGGGGACTAGATTATTCTGTAGAGCTTCAAGAAGAAATACAACCCTGCTGACTCATTTTATACTACTGCCTCCCTGAACTCTATGATACTAGAATTGTATTCATTATACCACTGAGTTCGTGATAATTTGTTACAGCAGGTATAAGAAACTAATGCATGCTGTCTACAAGAAATTAACTTCAAAATATTGATATAGCGAGGTTGAAAGTAAATGGAAAGTAACCATACAATAATTCAAAATAATTATTTTGATATAGGATAAGCTATTTTAATATCAGAAAAAGTACACATTAGAGCAAAAAAAAAAAAAAAAATGCCAGAGTCAGAGTTACATTATGTAATGTAAAATGTTCCACCAAGAACACAGGTCAATAAAAAACATACATTCAAACAACAGTGATACAAAATATATAAAGCAAAAAATGATAGAACTGAAAGAAGAAATAGACTAATCCACAGTTATAGTTGGAGACTGCAACACCCTCTCTCTTAATATTTGATAGAACAAATAGAAAATCAGCAAGGATACAGAAGAATGAAACAAAAACACTATGATGTCAGGGGTCCACAAAGACAATTCTCAGTCTTGATAATTCTCTAGAAGGACTTAACAGACTAAAAAAGCTATTACACTCATGTTTATATTTCTGATGAAATAACATATATTAAATATGCAAGAAATTTTTTTCACATCTTGACAACTGTGAATAGTGCTGCAAAGAACGTCAAAGTGCTAACATCTCTGAGATCCCAATTTCAATTTTTTGGGATAAATACCCAAATTTATCCAAAATGCTAATAAATGCATTGCTGTATTATATGGAAGTTCTATTTTAATTTTTTTAATCAACCCCCATACTGTTTTCCATAGTGGCTGCAGCATTTTGCACTGATCACCAATATTATATAAGGATTCCAATTCTTCCACATCCCCACCAACACTTGTCTTTGGCTTTGTTTTCTTCTTCGGTAACAGTCTTTCTAACAGGTGTGATGATTAGTGACATTAAATATCTTTTCAAATACCTATTGGCAATTTGTATGTCTTCTTTAGAAATATGCCTGTTTAAGTCTTTAACCCATTTTAAAATTAGATTATAAGGTTTTATTTTAATGTTTTGGGTTTTCTGTTTTAGTATTGAGGGTTTGAGTTTCTATATATTTTAGAACCATTTATCACATATATGGCTTGCAAATATTTTCTCTTACTCTATAGGTTTTGTTTTCACTGTGACTTTTTTCCATTGCTATGCAGAAGCTTTTTTAATTTGAGGTAGCCTGACTTGTCTATTTTTGCTTTTGTTCCCTGTGCTTTCAGTGTCATATTCAGGAAAACACTGTCAAGAACAGTGTCATGAGTCTTTCCTTCTATGTTGTCTTCTGAAAGTTTTATATGGTCTTAGGTCTTACACTTAAGTCTTCACTCTATTTTGAGTTAATTTTTTGAGTGATATAAGAAAGAATCCAATTTCATTCTTTTTTCATGTGGATATCCAGTTTTCTCATAAACATTTCTGGAAGAGTCTATCCTTTCTCTATCATATATTCCTGGCTCCCTTGTTGAAGATCAGTTGATCATATATTCCTGAAGTTATTTCTGAGCTCTATTCTGTTTGATCGTTCTACTTATCATATCTTTATGCCAGTCCTATACTGTTTTCATTACTGTAGCTTTGTAATATATTTTGAAATCAGAAGTATGAGGCCTCCATATTAGTTCTTTTTTAAGATTGATTTGGCTATTTGGGGTCTTTTGGGATCCACATAAATTTTTTTGTATTTGTTAAAAAAATACCACTGGGATTTCAACAGGTATCATATTTAATCTGTAGATTAATTTTGGTAGTATGGGCATTATAAATTATTAGACAGTGGTTGCCAGAGGATGGAAGGAGGGGAAAAAGAAACAATAAGAATAAAGTTTCAGTTAAACAAGATGAATAAGTTTTAGAGATGTTCCACACAATATTGGGCTCATAGTTAATAATATTGTATTGTACACTCAAATTTGTTAAAAGGGTAGATCTTAAGTATTCTTACCACTAAAAGCAAAAACAAATCCTCATCAAAAGGCATTGCAAATTATTTAATCTTTAGTTATGTAAAAACAGTGAACAGCTGCATAATTGTTTTTATGTATAACTATGAAAATGTTATTTTTATATCTATAATACCTTTAAGCAGCCTGTTTTGTAGCATTTTTCAGATTGTTTTCCATATATTAACTCACGCTTATGGTGTAATTTATATAGAAAGTTACTTTTTTGTTGAGTAATTTTTTTAAGTTCTGTGTTTTAATTATTTTTTGGTTTTATATTTATCATAATTAGAAACTCTTCTGCCAATTATCTGAATTTTTAAGTTTGCTGGTTTTTCAGCTTTTCTTTAGAGAGAAAAAGTAAAAGCCTTTCCTATTGTGAGAGTACATATTATTAAATATGTGATTCAAAAGAAAATAAATCTTAATGTTTACAAAGAGCTAAGGAAAAAGATGCCCAAGATAAAGCCCATGAGAGACCAGGTGCAAGTTTCTAGGTGTCTCTCTTAGAAGAATCACAGTTTTGCCTAACCATGGTAGGCAAAAACACTAGCAAATGTTATCAATCAGGGAAGCTCAGTGAGTCGTGGTATTTGGGGTTTTTATTGGGAGATCACTCACCCAGAGCAAAATAGGCATTCACTACAAACTTCATTGCTAGGAGAATGTATCTGATTAAAAATGTACCTCATGGCCCAGTGCTTCAGAAATACAAAAACCTGCTTGTCAGGCAGAATATTCCAAGGACTCAGAGCTCATTCCCAGGATATAGGCAAAGCCAGTCCTGAACACAGGCCTTAATTAGAAATGTGCATGGTTTGGGCAACCTAGACCTGCTAAGTTACACTTTGCTGCATAACCATAACAAAAATATATTTATAGAACACCCAACAAAAGCAGAATACACATTTTTTTTCACGTGCCCACTGAACATCTACCAAGATGGACTACATCCTGGACCACAAAGCAAATCTTCTTTGACCAGAATAGAATCACACTAGAGATCAATAACAAAAAGTTAACAGGAAAACCTCCAAATGCTTGGAAACAAAACAACACACTAATAAATAATTCATGAGCCAAAGAGAAAACCTCATGGAAATAAAAATATACCTATAGATATGTTTATGTGTCAAACTGAATGAAAATGAACCAAATGGAAATGTTGTATAAGCCACCAAGTCCATGACATTTTGTTACAGTAACCAGAGCTAAGACAACACTCAAAACTCAACAGTAAAAAAATCAAGCAATACAATTATGGGCAAGAGACATAAAGAGACATTTCAGTGAGGATGCTATACAAATGGCAAATAATTATATGAAAGTATTTTCAATATCTGTCATTAGGAAAATGCAAATTAAAACCACAATGAAATGCCACCAAACACATAATGGCTAAAATTGTAAAAAAGTGACAATACCAAATTCTGATAAGGGTGTTGCAAAACTGGATCACTTATACATTTCTCATAAAAATGCCAAATGGTGTAGCACCTACAGAAAATAGTAATTTCTTAAATAAAACAACAAAAAGCTAAACATGAAACTACCATATGACCCAGCAATTACACTTATGAGCATTTATTCCATGAAATACTACTGATAGATGAAATGGAATACAGATAGACTCGAAAATGCAGATTAATGTTTAAAGAATTATGTGAAGTGCAAGAAATATCTATCCTAAGATATAACATATTTTGTTATTCCATTTATATAACATTCTTGAAATGGCAAAATTATAGAAATGGACAACTGATTAGCAGCTGACAAGTGTTAGGGAGAGGGTAGGTACAGGAAAGCAATGTTTCTTACTAGGCATATCTATACAAAGGTTAAAAGGAAGAATCCTTATGGTGATGGAAATGCTATCTTGGCTATATGTATGTCAATATCCTGGCTGTAACATTGTACTGTATCTTCCCACGATGTTACCATTATGAGAATCTGAGTACAGGGTACATAGGATACTTTCTATTTCTTACAACTGCATGTGATTCTACAACTGTCTCAAAATAAAAGTTTATTTAAAAAATAGAATTCTTATATAACAGAAACTAACACTCATTCGAAATATCTACAGTTTATACAAAATGAGAAAATAAATCCATTTTTTAAAAAGAACTTTGTGGGGCATATTTCAAAATATTATCCAAGTCCACAGTAGAAAAACTGTATGCCATTTCTCCATGAATGTCTAATGGAAAGACAATGTCAATATCATTAAGAAGTAAAGTATTTCTACATTAATTTCTAATTTAGAGTAATAAAATCACATCACCAATTGGGATTCAATAAACTTGATAATGTAATTTTAAAATTCATGTGGAAGATCACTAGGCCAATAAGAAGAGTTGTCAGATATATTAAGAGTTAAAATGTTTATAGTAATTAAAGCAATATTACATTCATAAAAGGAGGGACTAATCTCATGAAATACAATAGAACAGAAGCCCAAGAAACTATGAATTGTTTGGCGTATTACAGAGACTGCATAAAAGGAAATGGGAAAAGAATGGACTAGCCATTTAAGTGTCCTGAGTTATTCAGTGCATACATACATACATATATATACATATGCATATATATATAAAACAATTAATGAATCAGATAATATATCAGATAAAGACATAAACATACACCCCCTCTACCCCCAATTATAGTGGAAGTAACATCTGCAGGTAAAAAATGAAACTTAAAAGGCTTTAGAAGAAAATATGCAACAATTTTTCACTTTGAGTAATGAATTCTTTTTTAACAGGTAATATTTGTTTAAATAAAATGCTTTGAAGAATTCTGGATAGGGTTAAAATCTTATCCAAGGAGTACATTACAAAAAAAAATTTCAGAGTTATTATTTTAGTTTAAGGCAAGCACCAAAGCTACCCTGTCAATTATGTACAAAGGTTAATGTGGTAAAAACAAGCTGTGGATATCTTTAGATAATTAAATATTGTATTATATTCAGTTTTCTTTTTGGAGATATTCAGAGAGCAGATATTCAGAGGCTGGGATGAAAATAAGCAGCGGATAAAAATAGGTAGGAAAAAGCAGATCCTGTGAATAATTGAACTGAAATCAGCCAATTATTTTGATTTCCCCAATAAAAACAAAAATGTTATTAATTGCAATTTTTCATTCTTCTTCAATACAACCTCAGGAGACTCTTTTAAACTTCACGTCTTATTTTTTCTTCAGTTTACTAAGGGTTAACTTAGTTACAAAAGTGCTGCACTAAGAGACAGGATGCCCACCGTCTAGCTGTGGCTGTGTTCCTAATATTTTTCCTGTGATAAGAGGCAAGTCATTTGTTTTTCGGAACTTTAGTTTCTTCATTTATAGGGAAAAAGTTTGTGATACTTCATTGGTTCTAACCTAATAAGTCCCAACACTCTCTTTTTGCCTCAGATTTATGGTGAAATTGCTTTATCATGAAATCAAAATAATAAAAATGTAACATGCATATATTTTTAAACCATCAATATAACACTAACAATACTATAAAGGTAAGATAAAAAGAAACATTTATAATGACAATAATATATAATTTCTAAAGCTTGAGTACATTTAAAAACTCCCTTTAGGGGAAAGTACTGAAAGGATTTCCTAGATGTGTTCCAGTCCAAAATCTTATAATATGCATTCAAAACCTTTACCCTTGATATCACCACAATTATGCTGCATATGTGTGTGTGTATATATATATATATATGTACATATATGCATCTATTAAATTTCTCTAAGAACAAACTTTTAATAATCCTATTGTATTTTTTTCTATTCTTCAATTAATACTAATTACAGTTTTGTTCTATGCATTTGTTGATGTGTGCTCAGAGAACGCAAACTAAAAAGCAAGGGAAAATATCTGTAAGATGATAAATTTGCTGAAAATATCTTACTCTATGAAATTAAAGTTTTTCAGAACTATAGATTCTCCCAAATGGCAAGGGTCTTCAGAGCTTATCTCTTGATAAACCCACACTATCCTAGACCACACATATATTCAACTTCCTCTTGAATGCATTCAGAAATGGCGAGCTTTCTAATCATGGGTTTTCAGGAGACAACAAATCACCCTGAACTCCAGAAATATGATCTTTTTTTTTTTCAAACTCAACACTTCCATGTGATTTTTGAAACCCTTCAGCAGAGAATGCTCCCTCAGTCCTCCTGGACATGAGGTCAGTCAGAAGGCTAATAACCACAGTTAAGCTGCCTTGAGGAATTGAAAATGACAGGCTATACCTAAATGTTCCCTCTTCTCCTGAATACATTTTTTTCCTCTCTTCATGTTTAGCAACAGAGATTTGTATAATAAATGACTTTATGATGTATGTCAACTCCTGAGCATTAAATTATGACTTTTACCGCAGGACTTATCATTCATAGAACATATAAAGTACCCAGAAGGTACTTCCTGTGAGCAATACTGCTTACAAGTGCTGAACCAAATTTAAATCTCCCTAGACTCACAATGAAATTACTTGTTCACCTGATGATTTTATTCAACTAATGATTTTGCAATATCACATTCAATTGAATAATTATACAAGGAGAGATGCTGAATGCCCATCTTTTCTAGATTAGAATAATTTATAAATGCAGTTTTTCTATTCCAATAAGCAGTACCACCTTTTAATGAGACATAAGCACAACAGGGCAACATAAGGATATGGAACAAACAAGAGAAAGACAATGGATTTTGGGCAGGCAGAAATGTTACTGAAATATCCGCTAGGAAAAGGATTTTCATTATGAGAGAACAATATATCCAGAAGAGATCTTAGGACAATGCTCACAAACATGTATTTATATTTATATATTTAACAATAAATAAATGGAAGTCTCGGAAATTGACATGCTTCTCATTTTGTATGGATGATTAGTAGCCGAACCAAGTCTAAAAATTTTACATCAGGACTTGTTTTCCTCATGAAATAGGCTGAGACCTGTTCTCGGAGCATGGATAGTATGGGCATTTATGTCCCACTTGATAATTTATGGAAAAAGTTATCTTTTCTGCCTTTTTTCCCATTATACCGAAGCCCCCAGTATGTTTTCCTGTTTTTGCCATGCTGTCCCTCTTTAAACTCAGTTTAAATCTGACAGTCCAGTGCTATTTATGAAGGCCCCCCTGGGATGCCAGATGGCAGAACTCTTCATCTCTCCTATGGGTGCTTGGCCATGGGCCATAGGTTATTCATTTCTAGTCTTTAGCTCAACTGTGAAATGAGAATTGGTTATAACATGCTACTTTTGAAATAGCAGCACCTATTTTTAAAATGGCCTTAATATAAGTGTACTAATATAATTAATTAGGACAAAGTAGAAATATTTTACATTGTTTAACTAAATGTTTATGGTTTTTAAAATATCTTAGTCACAAGATATCTAGGTGCTTTTTTAGAAAAAAATGATTTAAGTTTTGTATATGTATGAAAACTATAATAGGAAGTTATTTCAGAACCATACTAATCATACATTTAAATCAGATAATCAGCTACATATTGTGCCTTTATGTATACAGTGCTTCATATCATGAGCCCATAACACATGATCTTTGATTCCATAAGAATACCATTTAATTGCATACAGAAAGAAAAAACATATTTAAAAAAACTAAGTAATTGGTATTATAGACTAGTGTTTTATAACCTGTGATTTATGTGTGTGGATGTTACTGCAGGGATCAAGATTGGGGGGTTAATTATGCCTAGGTTTTTCCAATCCCCACTTCACCCAGAGCATATATTTTTTTTTTTATCTAGCTTTTGTGTAAAACAGGGCCTGATTTTTGGAGGTGAGAAATAGTCTTTACTAAAGCCTACCAATTATTATTGAAACTTTATAATCCAGTCACTCTGGGGGTATCTGTGTTTCCTAGAGGAAAAAGGATTATGTATACATAGCACTAAAATATTTTATTAATCTCAGGACCCATATAAGTCTCTGCTATGAGATGTAGCTAAAATTGCCCCAAAGGAAGAAATTAGGAATTACACATTGGATCAGTGATCTGAATTGTGGCCATTTCCCCAATTTCAACAATGCCAAGATGCAGAGCACAGCATGAAGAAGTGGGCCAGAGAAAGCATTTCATAGATGCACAGCACAGAGATTTAAAGCAAGGCAGTGCTGTGCTGTGGTCAGTGGCTGAAGAGAGTGACCACCAGCAGGAGAGACAGTCTGAAGAGGGGGCACAGATGTTCAGAGAGTATTTACCAAGCAATGGGGGTGCTCCTATGTGAGAAATGAATCACTAATTAACGCCATCTTATTTTTTCCACTACAGGCTAATGAGACCTAAGAATGTTCTGGTTGAATGCAATGATCAAAAGGGCTGTATTGCTCTGTGACTTGATGTAATTTTTGAAGACTAGAAAAAGTGGTTTTCTTCGAAAATGATGACGATTATTTGCTTCTAACAATGATAAGAACATTTGGAAAATGAGAAATTTTTAAAACAGTTTTGTCAATGCTGTTATTTTCATGGTTAACCATGGCTTCTCTCTAGTCATAAACTACAATATATCATAAGTGGTATTGCTTTAAAGGTGACATTTTTACCCCAAATCTCCAAACAGCAAGACTGAATAAACTTCTAAAATTTTGGCCTGTCATTGATCTGCATTCTATCCTCAGGCACATAGTTTATTAAGTATGTTTTTTAGAACATATGTTTTAACCCCTCTATGTCTTATCTATATAATGGAGATAACTGTTATGAAGCAAATTAAAAAAAAAGCACTTAGTTCTGTGATTACTAATTCATTAAGCATAAAATAAGTCATAGCAATTGCTATTTTGTACTGAAAAAGAAAATCAAGTCTTCACTCAGGCTGTCTGGGTGGGACAATTTTAAAAAGGCATCTTCATAGACACTTTGAAATCTTACCACAGAGACAGATGTCAACTTTGCATAAGAGACACTCAATTTTGTTTTGGTTTCTGTTTTTTTCACAATCAGCAGAACATAGAAGTATTAATTTTCTAATGAGTCTCATGCTGTAACCATTGTCTTCCATATATGTATATTTTAGGGTATTTCTTAGGATATTTTTATCATTGAAATAGGATAATTCCTGATATTTAGAGTTTATGCGGTTAGCTTAATGAATTTCTGTAGGATTCATTTCCAAAACATGAAATTCGTGAAATGTTAAAGCATGTCTCATTTATTTCAGAAAATGAACCACCCTGGTGTTGAAATTGCATAGTCACATCAGAAATGTCACAAAACGGACCATTTTCCTGTAATACATCACTTTTCTGTTTAGATTGAAAGTGATAAAGAGGGCAAGGCAAAATAATAGATGATATGTTTCATTCTTACTGCTTTTTTACTCTAAAAATTCCCCAGAGCCATCTGTTATCACACGTCAGGTTGCTGCGAGTGAGTGACATTTTTCTTTTTTATTTGAGAAGAAATTTAAGGAAGTGCCGAGCAAAGTTAATTTAAAAACATATGGTGATATTAATAAAACACCTATTTAAATACTAAATCCTGATTATCTTTTGCATTTATGGACTTGGATTAGGTTTCTAGCTCTATAGTGTAAGCTTCAGAATAACTCTTACTGCTCAAAGTAAAGTGGAAACTTAGACTGTGCAAGCAAGGTGAGATCGAAATTGTATCAATTAAAAAATATATATTTCTAGAACATTAAGCATATTCTCCCTGGAAAGTAGATTGAGGTTAACATGTAGCTTTTTCTAATTTTAGTAATGTATTTGCCTCTTGTCTCTTTCTTGTGTTTATATATATTCTTGAGCACTCTGAAAACTGACATCGATGCATAAACATATTGAGTAAGGGAATGTGCAGTTAGAGATAAAGAAGAGCTTCTTTCTATTTAAGTTAGACCTGAAGTATTCCAGGGGTGGTTGATTTGACAGGTGAATGTTTTAGAGATTAAGGAAGATGATTCTTTTACAACATCTCTAGGATGTGAATGTAGAGTATTTTTTGGTATTTCCTTATTAGAGAGACGTGGTTGGTTAGACTTAACTAAACACAATTTATTTCAATTACACATAATTTAGTTCCTTTCCAACCATAGATTGGACTCCAATCAAAGCTGACTTATATGTAAGCAGAGTAGGTGGTCCCTTTGTGAGATATATTATTTTAGAATCTCTAAGAAGCAATTATATACACAAACTTAGTGATGCCAGAAATTTGTAAAATGGGGATAATTATTTTTGTACCAAAATTTGAGTTAATGTTTTAAATAGATAGAAATAGAAAATTAATGACTCATCTGAAGTAAAATATATAACATAATACTACTAATGTTGCTATGATTACATTCACATGAAGAGATAAATTACTATTAAACTAGGTCATATCTAAGATCGAATTTTGTAGAAGGTATGGAAAGGCAGCCTAGGGGCTTATCAGATCCCTAAAGAGGGGATGGGGAGGATGGGCATCTAGGGGGAAATAGGCAGAGAAAAAGAGCATCCATGAGATAGTAGCAGATTGTATTTAATGTGATTCTGGATGCCAGCTTTTTACATAAATAGCAAACAAAAAATGTGGACTTGAATTATTTTCTCTGTGAAATCCCAAATATTAATTCATCTCAGTCCTTTATATCACAATTGTCAGTAATATTGTGTCCTATGAGAGGTTTTCAAAGAATTGCTTGTGAATTATACCCCATCAGCTCTACATGTCCCAGCCCTACTGGATAGTGTTTCCACTAAGATAAACATTTTGTCAAATTGGACATTTCTTACAAATACAATTGTTTCCTTAGAGAATAAAGTTGTAATAATAATACTATTAAACCATTATCAGGAGACGTAAAATGCCATGTAGGGAACAAGAGGGCACATATCAAAAGGAAGAAAAATAGAAGTATGTAAAGGTGGAAGAGAGCTTCCACATAGTGACCACTCTTCTGAATTTGCTTTATCCATGATTTATTGCACAATACCATTCTAAACATAGCCATGGCTGAATTTTGCCTTTGAACTATAACATTCAAGTAAAACAGCATGTACACACATTCCACAATTCCAAAGTTGAATGTCTGCTTTAGCTTAGTTATCAGTTTTAGCTCATATGTGATGATGAAAATACTTTCTAATTGAGCTCTTGAAAGGATTAATCTTATAGATACTAGCTCAGTGCATGTAAATTAATATTAATATGTATCCAAGTGCTATTTCCTTCCATATTTTAAAGTTATTTCTCAGGCAAAGTTTGTTTGCCATTTTCCACTCATATTATTTTTCCAAGGACAGAGAGAAAAAAGGCACCCATGATACTATGGTTTCTGACTAAAACTGGCAACTCTTCATGACAAAAGTCAAGCACAGAGCAGTGACTCAGGTGCTCTCAATTTGGAGATACAAGTAGCACAGGTTTTGAGCCAGAAAGAGTCAGCTTTAATTCCTACTTTTATTTCCTTGGGTAAAGAATATGTTTCCTCTGAGTTTCTGAATCATCATTTTTAAACTGAGGAAGATGATTCCTACCTTATAGAGATATTCCATTAATAAAAGTTGATAATGATTCTAAACATTTAGCATGCTGCCTAACATGAAGCACTTTCCTTTCATTCACTTGGAAAAATGGTATATCAGAGTTATGGAGCTGGCTTTTAAAAACAAGTTTGATTTTTACCAACTCACTTAATGCTTTTAAATTTTCTCTATTATTGTAAACACTGACAATACAATAGTGCTTGCTCTTCCCTAATCTATCATGGCATTAGAGTTGAATCAATGAGACAGTAGATGTACATGATTTTAGAAAAGCACAGTGTTGTACTCATATGGAAAGTGAATGATAATATTTTATTTCTCACTGAGCTTTGGTTCAAACTTAATCATAAAAGCTACTGACTTTATAAAAATAATTGTTATCAATTTAAAAACTTAAATAATGGTTCCTAAGAGATGCATGTTAAAATATTTAGATTTGAAATCTCAAGTCTACAACTGTTTCAAATAGTTTAGCAAAAACCATCTACCTACCTACCTATGCAGTCATCAATAAATGAAGTCTATGTGGCAAAATATTGATGACAAAATAATTTAAAAGTGTGCAAATATTTACTGAGACAATTTCAACTTTTTTATAGGTTTGAAATTTTGCAAAATAATAGTGTTGGGGAAGCATGAATAAAAGTTATCTGTCTTTATTTGGTTGATAATTAGATCATTTTGGATGACTAGCTATTTAATCTTCTATCATGTTTGTACCCACTGTGTGCGTTGCATACATTTATCATCTTATTTAACCCCTACAGTCCTAGAAGGAAGACATTATCACATTTTCCAAACGCAAAAACTGAAATCTCAAGAGGATTGTCTCAAAAGCAGCAGGGCCACATTCTACTGAGAGAGAGATAACTTAGTAAGGAGAAAGTCTATGTCAAACATCTTAAATTTTTGAAAATACTTACTAAAGTTTTTAAATATAATTTCAGACTCAATGTTACCTCTTAAAGAATACTATTGCAAAAAATAAAGGTCTATATAACAGATCAGATGAAGGCCTATAAAATATGTTTACTAAATCATTGTGTTAATGGTCATCTCTTCTTATTCATATTGCTCTTTTACCAAACATCCAAGTGTGATTCTCAGGAGATGTAGAGAATAGGGTAGGTGGACTGAGTTGTAGGTGAGGGTTGTTTTTGTTTTAAAAAATGTTTTATCACCTACTAGTGAGGACTTACATCTTTCTTTCTTTGCTCAGTCATCTTTATTGAAAGTAAAGCAGAAGGAAATGAGGGCTATGGTATAGATATAACATCCTAGACCAAAGAATAAACAAAAACACCATGAGTGCTTCTGCTCCTGCCCTCTCTCTCTCTCTCACACACACACACACACACACACACACACACACACACACACAGAGGGAGGGAGGGAGAGAGAGATCTACTTCCTGATCTGGGTTGTGAACCATTTTTTTTCTACAGAATTTTCTTTCCAATTATAGAAAACTAAGAATATACTCCCAGAAATGACAAATTTGAATGTACCTATTTATGATACTGTGAAGGATTTATACAGTAATCCTGCCTAACTTGAGATTCCTTTTTCCACCTCATTCTTTATTTTGTTTATTTTAGCAAGTTATTCCAGAATTTTAGAAGGTCAAAAAACCAAAGTCTTAAAGAACCAGGTAGGGGTAGAATTAAGACATATTTAGAAGCTATAGCAAATTTAAAAGTACAGTAATGGTGAAGGGATATACAAAGAGATGAAGAGAATAGGATTCAGAGTTCCCAAATGGTGTATCAGAACTTCTATTGGTCATCTGGGTAAAAGAATGAACTATTCAATAATGTTTAGATAATAATAGTATGTGTGGAAAAATAAATCTAACTTCTGTATTTCGTATAAAGCCAAGAAAAAAATTGTGAAAAGTAAAAGATTAGCAAAATATTCTCTAAGAATTATTAACTTTCTCATATTTTGTCATTTCTTTATGATTTGCCACCAATATTTAGATTAATGAGAAGTGTAAACAGTTTTAACTCAAATTAAGTCGTTAAGGTACACTTGATTTTTAATATGACTTGCTATTTGTATTCCCACTTCGTTTGTTAAAAATGAAAAATTTAACTTGTGCTAGTAATTAAGAGTGTTGTTAGGATAGAAACAAATTATGTGACTAAAATAATTAACATGGAATAATTATATGCAGATATGTTTAGTATGATTTCTGAAATTATACAATAGAGGAGTCATTTTAGATTCCACAATGGAAACAATTAGTGAACTGTTTTTGAAATCTATTGCCATTGAGAACTGCTTTATTCTAACTAAAAATACCCATTTCAAACCTCCTCAGTCTTTTGCCCACACTGAATATTATTTACCCAGAAATGTCTAAATCAACCTGAAATCTCAGTAAGACATATATCTCAGCTCAAATGCTACTTTATACTTCAATCCAGTTTCTCTGTCACTGAGATATACACGCAGAGAGAGAGGAGATAGAGAGATATATCCACACATACACATACATATAATTAACACTTTTCACATCTTATAATGTAAGTTTCTTAAGCATGTATTAGCTTAAGTGCACTAATATTCCTAGAAAGCATGTATTGAAACCAGCCTCGCAAGGGAGAACTCATAATCAGGTCCATATTTGAAGAATGAAGATCAAGAATAGCTGAGGTTGAGGGATGTTACTACAATCCTAAAAACAAAGAACTTTTGCAATGAGGTGCCTAATCTAGATGTAATGATGAATCACATGAAATATCAGCATGATAGCATAAGTAGCTGAAACTATAGCAGGCAAGGGTACTTAAGATACAACCAGCAATGAACTTTAAGTACACTAGATTTCAGCTATAATGTACCTTATGTCTGTGGTTCAGAGTGAAATTATCAAGTGAATTTATGCTAAGGTCACAGAGA